>NC_000001.11:63493228-63796259 GCF_000001405.40 Homo sapiens | reverse complement strand
CTAGTTAGAGGTAGGGCTAGGAGATAAACTCAAGTTTATTGACTTTCAGTCCAGAGCTCTTTCTGCTATGCCCTGATGTCATCCTTTGTAGAAGGGAAAAATGTTTCTGAAAAAAAAAAATCCCATCGTCCTTTCCCATATAAGACAATACTACACACATATAAATATGCACATACATACAGGACAAGAGCTAAACTCTCTCTCTCCCAGTTTCCAGCACAGAATGTTGCCAACAAAAGATACTCAAAATACTATGTGTCGACAGATTAGTCTGATGGGGGTTTTAATGAAATGTTCTGATTAGAGTAATGCTTTTACCTTTGTCATCTCTAAAGACTCCCTTCTGAGCAGCCACCCCCATCTCCAAAACCTTCTGTACTTACATACTAAGTTTCCCCTAATGGCATTTTCTAAATTAAAATTTAATTTATGGGGAGAAAGTTCAAAACAAGCTATTGTTCTAAATCAATATTGAGGCAGAAGATAAGGCTATTCCAGTAGCGGCAAGATATTTTATGTTCCTGCATATCCTTTGCACTAGACCATCTAAGGCACGTGAAGTGTTTGAAGAGTAGTACTTAGCAGTCTAAGTGTTCAAACAGCATTCAAAGCCTCTCTGCCCTCCCACCATTCAGAATCACTCCAAAGGGCTTCTGTGGCTTGGAACTGTATTTTCACGATCTTAAGAGTTCAAGAGAGCTTACTCCATGAGCTTGCTCAGCTCAGGCCCAAGCACACGGCAGGTCCACAATATGTCCCTGACCCAGTGTCAGATCCAGCACCTAGAGTCACAAGTTTTCAAGGTTTCGACAGGATTTTCCTTAAAAGGTCAGAAAACATACCCTCCAAGGGAAGAAAAAATGGCTGTTTAGACTTCTTATTCTATTCTACCACTGGTTGAAATTAACAAATTCAATGCAAATACTTTGGATTTGAATCTTGCCACACTAGGAAACCAAGAGGACAGGAGGATAACACTTAAAGGCACAGCCAATTTTTCCCCTTGCAAGAGGGAACCTCCGGCATAGCTCCAAAGCCACAAGAGCCCTCTCAGCGGGGCTTCTGATGATTTCTAACTCGAAGAATGTAATCCATCAGCCCTCTGGAGCACCAGCCTGGCTGCCAACCCTCCCACCAGAACCTTCCTGAACCTGCCCTCCCAACCACAAAGTCCGCTTCCCTGGATGCAGGGTTCCAACCTCCCTTCACTGCATGGCATTCGAGGCTCTGCACACACAGGCAGCCTCGTCTGGGGTCCACAAGTCACTGTGCAGATCTCTCTTAAGGCATGTACCAAAACAAATTCTAATTCCTCCGGTTATTATGTCTCTCCACCCACCCCAAACGACTGCACCCCACCACTATCACCAGTTTCATGAGTGCGTGAGCCCCTAGAAAATGGATAATGTTCTGGACCCTGTGTATCCCAGCACAGTCCCGGGCATACAGTCAGGACTTACAAAATGGGAGCTATTATTCTTACATCATATTGATATGTTCCCTCCGCTGCTCCCTTCTTGCTCGCTGCTTCCTCCAGTGGGCTTCCTAAAACAAATTTAGGGCTGGAAGGGGCAGTCAAGCCACTGCATTTTACAGATGAGGAAATTGAAGAAGACCTTCAGGTGATTCCATCACTGCGGTCCTGCTAGCAGTCTAGCTGGAGAGCCGCCCTCTGGCCTCTGATAACAGGTCCTGAGCTCCTCCTCATTCTGTCTCTCTGGACCCAGCCAGCAGGGCACAGCAGGCCACCACCAGTGAGAGAAAGAAGCTGGTTCCTTCGTGGCCTAGTGCTGGAGGCCGGGGAAGCCAGTTTCGATGCCAGACTCAGGCACTGAGGAATTCAGGGTGGTTATTTCTGATCAAGGCCAGGGTGGGCCTCGGGTTCCTCACCTGGAACATGGTCATCTGAGCTCTTGTTGATGGACGACTCACCATGCACACTCAGGACATGCCAGTGACCGTCAGCATTGTCTGATTTTTGCCCTCACCAAAAGGTAATGAGGTAGATATGATTAGTACCCCAATTTTTACAGATGGGGAAACCGAAGCTTTGAGGTTTGCCTAAGATCACAGTTAGTTGAATGGGTTTGGCTGACTCTCGGAGCCCATATTTTGACTTTGGTCACATTAGCTTTGTCAGAGGCCCCTTTGGCCCTAGGAAGCGGTGACAGTGAGGACGTCCTTCACTGAGAGCAGATGGGAAGCTCACCCTGTGCTTCCTGGTTCCCCAGCAACCAGGGCCCTTGCCTTTACCTAACTGCATTAGCGGCAGTTCTATCTAATCCTAGGTGCACACAACGGAGACAGGAGTCTTTCCCTGGGGTCTCTGCTTCTCCTGAGATTAGCCACAGTCCCCAGGAGGCTGTTATCCCAACCCCAGCGGGGAGGGCAGCACAACCAAGATGGAGCTTACTGCAGGAAACCACTGCTGCACTGGGAAAAACAAAGCTCAGACTGGATGGCTCGGCTCTGATCACAGGCACCAGATGTGCCAGCTACACAGGTATATACCTGCCAGTCATCACCAAGTGACCGCTGAAGCAACCACCACTTCTTTCTGGAGGTCCTGGGAGGGGAATCAGCAAGCATTCCAAATAAAAAAACATACCCTGAGCTTCTCCTAAGGGCATTCCCTAGAGCAAGCACCCAGGTCCCTGTCTCATTCACCACTGCATTGCCAGCACCCAGCACTGTGCCTGGCACATAGTAGGTGTTCATCGATCATTTGGTTAACTTTTTTTATTGACACATAATAGATGTACATATTTTCAGAGCACATGTGATATTTTGGTACATTCATAGAATGCGTAAAGATCAAATCAGGGTAACTGGGATAGCCATAATGTTATGCTAGGAACATTCTAATTATTCTCTTCTAGCTATTTTGAAATATATAATAGATTATTATTAACTGTCATCACCCTACTGCCAATCGATCATTTGATTGACAAATGAGCTTACCATCGCCATCATGGTAGAAGCCAACGATGCCTCACCAGATTTGAGAATGAGTATCCAGGCTCACCATCAATTATGAAGTTTGGGATAACTTCCTTCACCTGAGTTTTTCCATTCTGTAGCCCCAGATAATAATACCCATCTCGCCTAATCCAGTAGGATTTAGCCATTCATCCCACAAGACTCTGGGACAAATGCATAGAATAATTTTAAAGGGCAGCACTATTTGAGGCCACTTACTTTTTTGGGTAGCTAATCTACACAATGTGAAATCAGAGAAAGCTGTCATAAGATTCTGGGTCTGAGGATTACAGGTTGTCTGGTATTGTGGAAGAGTGGACTGGGAGTCCTAGCACCTCAAGTGATTCCTTTAGAAATGTGAGAATCCTCGGCACCAACTTTATCTCACAGTCCCTTCATCTTTCAGCAAAATACTTAATTCAACTGGATACTCTAGTTAATTCACTCCCACAGACATTAGTAGAAAATAAGTTTTCAGGGAAAGAACCAAGGAAGTTAAGTAAGTTGCAAGTTTCCATTTTTCTCTCATTCTCTCTCTTTGCAAGAGGCAAGGAATGAGAATTGGCGTAATAAGAAGAAGAATAAAGTGATATTCTCATGGTGCCCTGCAGTTTGAAACATTCTTTCACTTGGATCTCTCACTTAATATACATAATAATCCTCTGAGATTTTATTAGCCCATTTTATAAATCAGGAAACAGAAGCCCAGAGAGGTGAAACATCTTGCCCTAGCAGCAGATGAGTAGCAGGCCAGGCCCAAACTGAGATTTTTTTTCTTTCCAAACCATACACTGTTCCCTCTGTGCAGGGCTGTGACTTATACACTCCCCATGTAAATGAGAACTGCTCCCTCTTCGTATTATCTGGATGCTTGGTTTGTTCTAAGAATGCCTCATCTGTGACATGGGGGAAGGATAAAAATAGGACCTACCGAATAGGGTTGTCGCGGCACCTGAATACTGCCTGGCACACAGTATAGACTCTATAAATATTACCAGTGGTAGTAGAAGCAATTGCTGGTTGTACTGTAAACTGATAACACTCCCATTTCAAGGCATTTGCTTTGAATGCCTCTGCACTCACTGCTCCTCCCTCAGACAGTCTCAGGGGTCACCCTTTCCCTTCACACAGGTCTCTCTGCTCAAATCCCCTAAACCTAGAGGCCTGCCAGACTGCCCCATGCGACAGCACCCACCCCACCTCCTTTACAAGCTCTTTACCCTGCTCATTCTTCTTGGCCCTTCCTGTTACCTGCTGTCATGTATATTTCTGTATTTCCTGACTCCTCCATGACCAGGGTCTTTGTTTTGTTCACAGCTTTACCCTCAGTATCAAGAATGATGCCTGCCACGTAAATATCTGTTGAGTGAATAAAGGAGGCCTCATGGATCCTTCTTCACCAAGAAATGAAGACAAAATGGTACTTGCCATCTAAATCCTCGATCTCAGATAGGATTTTAGGTTTACAAGGTGACTTTATAGCCTTTACCTCCTATAATCTTCCATAATCTTCAGGGAATGGATTATAATTCCCATTATAGAGATAAAGAAACTAAGACCTCTTATCCCCAGAAAGGGCAGAGCAACATTCTGGGAAGACAGATGCTAGGTAAGGTCCTGAACCCCACCCTCATGCCCATCCACCATGCCCATCGATTAGCAATGAGGCATGGGGGTCTCAGCCTCCTTCTGAGTTGCTTTGACTCTGGTGGAGCAGCTGAGGTTCAAGGGGATGGTGGGAACTGGCTTACAGAAAGGGGCCTGGGAAGTGAGTTTTATCCCTCAGTCAAGAATCAACATTACAGGCAGCACAATTTTGTGAACTCATTTGTCCAAATAAACCCCTACATTATTACTAATATCATTTTAAAACACATAATGGGCTCTTGTTTTAGTGCCTCCCAGACATATTTTTTTCCAGTGAAAAAAAGGTGACTCCCCTGAGTCACCTTTCCTGATTCTGTCTCCAGCACTCTAACAGGAGCCTGCATTGGCTGCTCCCTCTCCACACCTTCCAGGACCTGTGCCCAGACTCTCACTGTGTCACCATCATTGTTTTCACGCTGCCCACAAGGCCAGACTTTGAGGTCCTAGCAGATAATCCTGTAGCCCCAACACCTGCCCAATGCCTGGCACCCAGCAGGCCTCCATGTGCCTGCTGACCAAGGACCACTCCTGACTCATAGCAGGTGCAAGAAATAAAACAGCCCAGGCTTCTCTCCTCCCCACTACTGCCTCAGGCCCCAAGAAACCCCAGCAAAATTTTATTAAGCTCCCCTTTCTCCTGCATGAAGGAAAGATGTCCCAGCCTGAAGCAGATGGTACTGGGAGGCTAAGGCAGAGTTGCTGTAGGAAATCCAGAGACAAGGGGGCATTTCTGGCCATCTTTGCATCCAGATGGCTTGCAGGTTCAAAACTGAGAACACTTTCCCCTCTACTCATTGAGAGAAAGAAGAGAGAGGAAGAGCTCCCCAGGGGATATTTCCCTAGTAATGAGACCTCTTTCAAAATTCCTGAGAAAAGACAGGGAAGGGCAGAGCAACAGGGAGGGAGAAAAAGGTGCTGAGGGCCGGCAGCCAGCATTCACCACCTCTATTCCCAGCTTGCAGGTGCACCGTCCCTGTAGCACAGTGCCAGGATTTTCCACACCTTCTCTCAAACACAGTCCACACGAAAAAGGAGAAAGAGGAGGATTGTAAGGGAGAATCTGAATTGGTTGCCAATTAAGAGCAGGGTGACCCTAATTTATAGCAGCAAAACCCAGTTATCACAGACTCCATGTTGGGAAAACAGCCCAGCTCTGGAGCTGCCCATTGCTCTCCTGCAAACAGAACTCACAGCAGGTGTCATTTAGCCTGATTGACTTTTTACAGGGCTGGATTCCTCAACTGTTGGAAGAGATAGCCTGGAGATTTTCAGTTGTTCGAAGACGCGTTTTTAAATTCCTAGATAGTCACACCAAGGTAAGCTGGAGTTATCTCGGCCTCTAGGAAGGAAGAACAATGCTTAGTAAAAGTAAAAGCAGAATCCATTCAACTGGCCCAGGCTCAGGAGATCCAGAACCAGACCCTACTGTAAGGAGCATCCAACCCAGTGATAGAGAAGATCCCAAAAAATAGTCATTACACAAATAAATATTCAATGACAAATTATAATGAAGGTTATTTAAGAACACAAAGTGCTAGGAGAGCATGTGAGTGGAAATCTAATCTCACCTGTTGAGTCAGGGATGTGACATCTGAGCCAAGACAGAAGGACTGTAGCTGATGGGTGGGGGAAAGGTGCTTCTGTGGGAGGGAACAGCCCATGAAAAGCCAATATGTGCATAGGTGCCCTATGAGACCACAGAGGGGGTTGTAGACAGCTTGGGAGGGCCTGCCTGAAAGTCATGTCAGTGGATCCTTGCTTTGAAAAATATTTAATGAGTGTCTCTTTGATTTGTGCCAGGCTTAATGTGCTGAACACTGAAGATATGCATGAAAATTAAACACCATTCCTCCTCACCCAGATCTCACAGTGCAGAGGGAGAGACAAACATATAAATAAGTAATCCCAAAAGAGAGTGACAGTGCCTGTTTAAAGACAAAAAAAAAAAAAAAAAAAAAAGGAGAGGAAGGATGGGTGTTTTTTTCCTCCTCCTGATTCAAATGCAAAACCACAATCCACTGTTGTGCCCCCACCCTCCTTCTCCTCCACTCTATTTCTTTAGGTCTTAATTTCCTGGCACCCTGTTACCTGCCAACTTCCTTCTAGATACCATAAGTCTCTTCCTCTGTCCCTCTTTGCCATGTTCACATTGACTTATTTTCACTTCAGAAAAGCTCAAAAGTAATCATTGTCTTAGGCAGTGCCCAGTCCCGACAGCAGGCAGTGCTCAGGTGTCCCCATTCACTGGCTTTGCCCACTCAGAGGCCACTTAATGGGAGGAATCAAGTCAATATTAGATCACTCACCTTTCACTGCTATGGTCACAGCCATGAGTATGCTCAGGCTTCAGAAGAGGCTTGCCTCTAGGGTCCTCCCCTGTGGCAAGAAGAAGGTCTGGTTGGACCCCAATGAAACCAATGAAATCTCCAATGCCAACTCCTGTCAGCAGATCTGGAAGCTGATCAAAGATGGGCTGATGATCCGCAAGCCAATGACTGTCCATTCCCAGGCTCGATGCCAGGAAAACACCTTGGCCTACCGGAAGGGCAGGCACATGGGCATAGGTAAGCGAAAGGGTACAACCAATGCCCGGATGCCAGAGAAGGTCACGTGGATGAGGAGAATGAGGATTCTGTGCTGGCTGCTCAGAAGATACCGCATATCTAAGAAGATTGATCACCTCATGTATCACAGCCTGTACCTGAAGGTTAAGGGGAACGTGTTCAAAAACAAGCGATTCTCATGGAACACATCCACAAGCTGAAGGCAGATAAGGCTCGCATGAAGCTCCTGGCTAACCAGGTTGAGGCCCAGAGGTCTAAGACCAAGGAAGCATGCAAGCGCCATAAAGAGTGCCTCCAGGTCAAGAAGGAGGAAATCATCAAGACCTTGTCCAAGGAGGAAGAGACAAGGAAATAAAAACTTCCACTTTGTCTGTACATACTGGCTTCTGTGATTATATAGATCAGCCATTAAAATAAAACAAGCCTTAAAATATATATATATATATAACATATAATATATATATTAGATCACTCTGTCAAGCCCCACCTCCTTCAGAAAACCCTCCCAGTAATTCCAATCAATGCCGGCCTCTTTCCTTCTTGATCCACAAAACCTACTGCCTGTAACTCCCTGTGGCACTTAATTACATTGAATTTAACAGACAGTCAACACGTTTTAGTGATTTGCACTGGTTTTGACCCTAGAGGAGTTACTTAACATCTCTGAGCCTCAGTTTTCTTTTGGGAATAAAAGCATAACCTCCTTTTATAAATCCACGTGTATAAACACAATCAGAAGTTATCTCTGAATGGTAGGATAATGGGTGAAATTTGTTTTCATTATACATTTCTGAATTTGCTTTTAATGGATATAAATGTTCTCATCAGAAAAAGCAATCAAACTGCTTCCTCTTAGCTTTAAAAAAAGGATAACACCCACTTCATTTTGTTATGAGGATTAGTGAGGTGAGGCTGTGTGCATTGTAGGAACACAATAACCTCATGAAAGCAGCGTCTACTGGCTCAGATAAGGAAACCCCAGGGAGGTGGAAAAGAGATTGGCAGGCTGTCAGACCTCTTCTGCCTCTCAGGAGTGCCTGCTCTGGATATGAAGTCATTCTCTCCTACACACCAGCTTCTTTCCTGGGCTCAGACATGACCAAGGGCATCTCTCAGCTTCCCCATCCCAGAAGGGCTGCCCCTAAATCCCAAGGAAAGACTATGATTAGTTCCTTTTGAAACTGATGAAGGGGCATTTCCCAGAATGAGGGAGTGACAGATGAGGGATTGAAATCAGGGCGATAGGCCGGGTGCAGTGGCTTATGCCTGTAATCCCAACATTTTAGGAGGCCAAGGTGGGTGGATCACTTGAGGCCAGGATTTTGAGACCAGCCTGGCCAACATGGCAAAACCCGTCTCTACTAAATATACAAAAATTAGGCAAGCATGGTGGCAGGTGCCTGTAATTCCAGCTACTCAGGAGGCTGAGGCTGGAGAATTGCTTGAACCTGGGAGGCGGAGGTTGTAGTGAGCTGAGATCGCACCATTGCACTCCAGCTTGGGCAACAAGAGTGAAACTCCATCAAAAAAGAAAAAAAAAAAAAAGAGAAGGAAGGAAAGAAAGGAAGTCAGGAAGGCAGGAAGGCAGGAAGGAAGGAAGGAAGGAAGGAAGGAAGGAAGGAAGGAAGGAAAGAAAGGCAATAGTTCTACAGGGAGAAAATAATATGATTCCACTACAAAATACAAAATGCCTTGCCAGGTGCTGGGTCCACAGTCAATGCTTAATACTTGACAGTGACAATTATTGCAAAGGTGTTGGGCTAAATCAGCATAAGCAGGTGTGATTTAGACGGCCTATGTGAGAATACTGGTGGAAGGTGAGACGACAAAAGAAGGACTGACAGGCTGAAACAGGCCAGGGTGCCTTCCTGGATGTGGATGCAATACAGTTTGAAGAACAAGAATTCAGCAAGAAGAAATGAAAAGAGGAAAGAGTCTGAGCTGGATATGCCAGGGAGGTAGGCCGGTGTGAGGGTAGAAATTCCTGGAGGCTTCAAGATAGGCAAAGGGCCCTAAACCAAGGGCAGGCCACTGACATTTGGATCAATTCATTATTCCCATACCGTTTGGGGTGTATCAGTCTTGCCTCCCTAACAAAAACAGTAAACTTCTTACTGGAGAGGATATTGCCATATTTCTCCTGCATCCCTTTCAGTTGCTAAATCAGTATTTAACCAAACCGAAGCACCAGTGACTTCTTGTTAGTTTACACAGGACGTCTCCCTCGGGCAGGTGGAGCTGCGCCTCTTGGGCCCCTCCTTTCCTTCCCTCCCATCCACCAGCACTCAGATCAATTGCTCTGTGTATTTGATGAGTCTGGGGGAAGCCACTTTCACCCACATCCTGGGATGGCTAAGAAACTTTCTAAACCTAAGCCCTCAGGAAAGATGTGGGAGGATTATTTCTAAAAGGTTTTGACCACCTTATCTACATAGTTTTAACCCCAACACAACCATCAAATCTGACAATTGCTCCTTAAAAAAAAAAAAAAAAAAAAAGGCCAGGCGCGGTGGCTCACGCCTGTAATCCCAGCACTCTGGGAGGCCGAGGCGGGAGGATCACGGGGTCAGGAGATCGAGACCATCCTGGCTAACACGGTGAAACCCCGTCTCTATTAAAAATACAAAAAATTAGCTGGCCGTGGTGGCGGGTGCCTGTAGTCCCAGCTACTGAGGAGGCTGAGGCAGGAGAATGGCGTGAACCCGGGAGGCGGAGCTTGCAGTGAGCAGAGATTGTGCCACTGCACTCCAGCCTGGGCGACAGAGCGAGACTCTGTCTCAAAAAAAAAAAAAAAAAAAAAAAAAAAAAAAAAATCAAGTTGTAGCCAGCGTAAGGGGGGAAATGCTTTATTCCCTGTGCCAGGTGCTTTCTTTCTGGGGAGGAAGACTAATCAGTGTTAAGTCCTGGACTTTCTCTGCACCTTTACTAACTCCTCCTTGCAGAGGCCCGGAGCACAGTCCTAGGCAGCAACTTAGGGATGAGCTGGGTAGCACAGACTGGACATGCTCAGTTCAGCTCCCCCCTTCCTCAGTGGGGAAAAAGGACATTAGTTATCACGTGTCCCCTGGGAGGCCCTGACAGCAGACTCTAACCCACTGAAGACTACCTGGTCACAGGCAAAGTTTTCAATGCTTTGACTTAGGGACACCAGATGTGAGTGGGCAAAGCGCTATGAGCCGCACAGAGAAAAAGAGGTTTAAATCACTGGTGGATTAAGAACATCATCGAAAATTGTTGCTGCGTAGGCCGGGCGCGGTGGCTTACGCCTGTAATCCCAGCACTTTGGGAAGCTGAGCGGGGCAGATCACTTGAGGTCAGGAGTTCAAGACCAGCCTGGCCAACATGGTGAAACCCTGTCTCTACTAAAAATACAAAAATTAGCCGGGCGTGGTGGCAGGCGCCTGTAATCCAAGCTGCTCGGGAGGCTGAGCCAGCAGAATCACTTAAAAAACCCAGGAGGCAGAAGTTGCAGTGAGCTGAGATCGTGCCACTGCACTCCAGCTTGGGCCACAGAGTGAGACTCCGTCTCAAAAAAAAAATTAAATAAATAAATAAATAAATAAATAAATAAAATATATATATATATAGTTGCTGCTTGTTTTCAGTGGTCTACACACCACTGGTCTCCAACAGGCAATATCTTGGGACTGAAAATCCCCATACAACACACAACAGTTCTCTGAAGGGAGGAGATAAAACAGTCATGACTGGGTTAAGCATTACCTCTTTAAGGTAGGCATATGAAAGGCTAATACAGTCCATCACCACAATGGAAGTTCAGGCAGAAAAAAGAAAAACAGCCAATACTCTCCAGGGGGTGTGAAAATTATGTAAAAACTTTGAAACACCCCAGTTGGAGTGAAATCCTAGAAGCAAGGCTATAATCTCTCTTATGGAGAAAAAGTAGAATAAGTTGCTTTCATGTACATTGTCTAAACCCATCCGGAAATGGTGTCAGTTTCCCATGAAGAACAGATAAGAGCCTTTCCAGGGTATCTAGGATTTCAGGCAGCATGTTCTATTTTTACCTTATGATGTTTAACCTTCACAGAGCATAAGAAAGTCCCTGCCCTTGAGAAACAATATAATTATAACCTAAGATTTCCAGGTGCTAAGAAAGTCCGTGTCAGAGATAACTGTATTATAAAATCATGCCTAACAAGGCGCTGAGAACTAGCAATTTTGCCCCATCCCATCCTGTGAAAAATCTTAAAGGAAGAATTGCTGCTCTCCATTCAATTGAGAGATGTAGCTTCGATCACACACCAACAACCAACTATGGCCCAGGCACTGTGCCAAACACTACCCATGGTCCTTCCCCCTCTGTCATGGTAGGCACCATTATGGCTCCCATTTTACACGTGAGGAAAGCCAGTCTCAGAGGTTACGTAGTTTGCTGACCTGGCAGAGCAGTAGTGAGCCTAGTCCATCTGATGCCAAAGTCCTTCTCTTCCTGGCTCCTCTCCCTGCCACAATCACCAACCACTTAGGAAAATCCTGTTTTTAAGTAACTTCTCTGTCTTTTTGCAAGTAAATTTTCCCAGGTTACAGAAATCCCAGAGCCAGGTCCCATCTACAAATGCCTTTCAACTGTTTCTAAAGACAACAGCTATTTGAAGATTTTGTGGATGAAACAAGTGAAAATCAGGCAAATTCACCTTTTGGTGAAACAGTAGTGAAAATAGTCATATATCAGTATATTAGAGGCACAAATTCCAAACAAAAGTAGTCTTTAGAGCAGAAAGTTCAATGGGCCCTAAGTCCAAGGGGCTGGGTTTTAGACAGGCCCTGACAGCTACAGAGTGACCTTGTGTGAGCTGCCAAACTCACCTGCCTACTTTTAAAAGGAAGAGAGAAATAAATCCTATTTAACTGTATTTTTTGGAAAATTAAAGGTAATACTGTACATAAAATGATTTTGTAAGCTGCAAAGCCCTATACAAATGGAGGATTTAATTATAATTATTTTGACTCAGCTATTTGGCTGGGATCTTACAGAGAATTTTAATCATCAGACAGAGTTGAAAAAAAAAACTGCAATGCAGTTTGGCATAATAATGATTAGGAACAAAACTCAGGCCTTAGGATATGCAGGTTCAAATCCTAGTTTTCCCATTTAACTCTCTGTGTGGTCTTGGGCAGGTTACTTACTTCTCTGTGCCTCAGTTTCCTTATCTGGAAAATGGGGATATCGTGGAACACACTGAGCACCCTGCCACATGCATTGTGAGTGTTCAAGGAGTGTTCAGCAGCCGGTGAAAGACCTGGTCAGGATTAATCTGCTTCTAAAGCCCATATACTCTTGCTCTGCTGTGCACCTTTTCAACAGACATGTGGTCGTTGGAAGAGTAAGTAGTTGTGTAGTTACCAAATAGAAGGGAAGACACCAAGACAGTTCGTCTTGTATTTTCTCCCATCTGCCCTTATCCTGGCTTTTAGCCTGGATTCTGCTTTGGGCATGGTGGAGGATTCACACAGGTGTGGAGCTGGAGAGAATCAAGATGCCTAATAGTGAACAATAATGCTCCTAGAACTCTGGCTTACCTCATAGGGTCGTCCTGAAGACTATGCAAGTTAAATCGCTTAAAGAACTTAGAATAGTACTTGGCCCACAGTATGCTCAGTGTGTTAATTATTAGTATACTATTATTCTTTTCATCAAGCAGACAAGAGGGGGAATAGAATTAAGTAGCCTGCACTATAAGAGAAAATGGCTGCATTAGAGACAATAAGACACCATCATATACCTTTGACAAGCAGCCCTGAAATGCACAACATTTTTAACTCCCTGGGACACCCTTTGGGAAGAAAGACAAGTCTTCAGGCTCCCAGTGAAACTGCTTCCTTCTCTCTCCTCCTCCACCCTTCATATGCTAAAAACACAACAGGCTTCATTCAACGCTGTCTTTCTTTTCTTCACTCTCCCATCCCCTGGAGATCAGCTTCATTCCACAGTGAAGGCCTGGTTTAAGAACTCAGGATAGTCTCAGCGAGTCCATGGAGACCCCCAGAGCAGCTGCAGGCTGCTGTGGAACTCCAGCCCTTTTCCAGCAGTGAAATGTCCAACTCCTCTTCCCATCTCCCATCCTTCAATCCCGCACCCTCTCAATCCTTCCTTCAAGGCTCACATCATATCACACTTCCTCCCGAAAGACCCACCCTTCTAGGGATTCTGCATATATAATTGCCAACTCTGTACTCACTGGCTGTATAAAGTGCCTATTTTACTGCCCCTAAAAGGTAAACTCCCCAAGGGTAAAGGCCACCCTTCATTCTTCTAGATTCTCTACAGTGCTAGAGGCACCCTATGTGTGCCATAAATTATTTGGGAAGGGGTTTAATTTACTGGATGGAGCCCCAGGTCTGCATGAAGTGGTCAGACACAAACCAGGTTTCCTATTTTATTCTATCTAAAAATGCTGGTCCTAACCCACTAAATTGATCTCACCACACACTGATTTACAACCTCATGTTAGTTAAGGTAACATTAGCAGCTGTAACAAAAAAAAAAACAAAAAAAAAAAACCTCAAAATCTCAGCCTTAACAATGGACACTTGTTTTTGGTTCACATAAAACCTAAACAAGTGTGGCTTCCACCACACAGTGATTAAGGGAGAGTCTCAGGCTCTTTCCACGTTGTGACACTTTCAACACATGACTTCTAAGGTTGTCAAGCCACCGAAGAAGGATCATACCGATTCTGCCTGGGGAGTTTTTTATGGGTCAAGCCTACAAGCGACAAAAATTACCTCCAATTTCATTTAATTGGCTAGTATTTAGTCACATGGCTTCACTTAACTGTGAGAAAGCTGAGAAATGTTGTCTAGTCATATGACCGGAAGAGATGGAAACATATTTGGTGATCAGCTAGCAATCTCTGCCATAAATCTGTCATTTGAAAAACCCTCCAAGGCAATGATCTAACCTTATTCATCTTTACATCTCCAGTGAGACTATCAGAATATTTGGTTCACTGTAAGTGCATAGAAAATGTATGATCAATGAATGAATGAGGGCAGGTGGTAAATCCTGGCCAGAGTTCTAGGAGCGCTATAGTTCATGATGAGACATCTTGATTCTTTCCAACCCCACATCTATCCAAATCCCCTCCCATACCCAAAGCAGTCCAGTCCTAAAAGCCAGGATTAGGGCAGGTGGTGAATATACCAGAGCAACTGTATTGGTGTCTTCCCTTTCATTTGGTGACTGCACAGTTACTTACTCTTCCAACAATCACATGTCTGTTTAAAAAGTGCACAGGGGAGCAAGAGTACATGGGTTTTAGAGGCAGATAAATCCTGATCAGGCCTCTCACTGGCTACATAACTATAGCAGAACACTCACTGAGCGCTCACTATGCACAGTCTGAGTGTGTTCCATGAATTATTTCATTGACTCTTCACAATAAGCCTATGAAGGAGGCACTCATGTTCTTCCTCTGACCCTCTAATCCCCTGAGAATTAATGTATTCTTCCCCATGTTCCCACAGCATTTTTTCCACAACTCTTTCCTATAATTCACTTGTGGGAGAGATAGTTGCCTGTGGTACCACATCTGCTCATTGGTGTCTCCCCAATCACACTTTAAGGATAACAAAAAGAGCATACATCTGAGAGTCAAAATACCTAGATTCAAATCCCAAATCCCAACTTAATCATTGTACGAATTTGGCTGAGATACTTACCTTCCTGAGCCTCGATTTTCTTATCTGTAAAATAGGATCAGAAGTCCAAACTCCAAGGAGTGCTGAGAAGCATAAATTTAATAGCTTTAAAAAAATGATACCTGGCATATAGCAGGTGCTCAAAAAAGTGAGAATTTTTCTCCTCTCTCCTTGAGGGCAAAGTTAATACTTTATTCCTGGACACGAATACTGTATCTTTCATGTGATAAATATATAATAAATGTTAGTTGAAATACACTGAGTGACAAGCTTCACTGTTGAAAAATAAAATATCAAACCCAACCTCTGCTTTGTCTTTAGAAGTCCTCTTTATCACCCCTCCTGCTTCCCACACGCTTCATTACTCTTCTCTCTTTGGGTAACATGAACTTTTTTTCTTCTACTCAGAAAATTTAAATGGCAAACAGAGCACCTCAGGATCCTTTCCTCCGGCCATTATCCTTCTCTTTCAAGTTGTGCTCAGCAAGATTATTTGGATATTGGAGCTAAAAACGGTCAGATTACAAGTGGAGGTCCCTGAAATGTAACATTCCCCATTGTAGGATTCTGGAATTACACTAAGCACCTGGGAGGGGTTGCTCTTCCCCAAAGAGCTTGCTGTTCTGAAAAAAGCCTTTGTTTTAAGGCATTGCAAAACTGCACTGTGGAATCCCTTCCATCCAGGTCCCCAGCACTGGCCTGGGTACTGCTCAGATCTAGAGCATCTGCATGCTCCCTATAAAACAAAACACTCTGGAGTCCTAAAACCTTGTAAAACTTGCTATTCTCTGAGCCTTGGTTGCTACCTTGCAGCAGGACCATCGTTTTGAAGCCAGATTTTCAAATTTCTTCAGTAAGCCCTTGATAATGATGGTGGCTAACATACTTCACGTTCACTAAGTCCATGGTGCTGTGTTAGGCGCTATAAGTTCATAACATCCTTTTATTCTCACAAAACCCCCCAGTAAGCCACATATTATTGTTATTCCCATTTTACAGATAAGAAAACAGAGGCTCAAAAGTTTAGGTAACTTTGCCCAAGAAGGCAACAAAGCCCCAATTCAAACCCCCATTCCCTATCAGGCTCAAATCCCATTCTATTTCCATTACTCCACGCCACCTCTTTAAGCAGCTATCAAAGGAAGTCCATCCTGTATAGAAATACTTGAAAAAAATAAAGTTTGGACTGTTGATCTTTTTTTTAGTCCCCCTCTCTCTCTTAAAAAAAAAAAAATCTATGGTTCTATGGAGAGAAGCAGGAAAAGGAAATGTAAGGAGGCCAAACATTATGAGGCTTGGCTTATCAGTATTTCATAACAGCTTTTGGATCAAGACTGTACAAAACCTTATTTATGGACAGACAGTTACTGTTAAGCAGAGCCTTTTTATACAACCTTTTCATCTGAGGATGTTGTAGCCTTCTGCTGCCTTTCTATTAGTGAGAGATGAGGTGTGAAATTTGCTGGCCCTGCCAAGATTATCCCATTAAATTATCTGCCCTCTTCCAATGTAATTCACTCAGGGGCAACTGTTTGAGACTCAGGTCCTATGGATGTCCATGCCTGGGTGTTCTGGGGGGTGTGGCTGGGGGCAGGGGATGAAGGAAAAAGTTCAGATGGTGGTAGCATCCCAATCACATAACATTAATCCACGTTTCACTGCCTTACCAAAATAAAGTGGATGCCACAATTATCCCATTCCTAAACAAACTGAAAACCCCAACTGAGCTTACTGCAACAAAGAGAGAGCCTTTTTACTGCTGTTTATTTTTATTTTGTATTCGTTAGCTTTTTAGATATTCCTGGCATGCAAGTCAGTCTCCGTGTAACAAGCAGCTGCATTTAGTTAAGGATTTTCGAAGAGTTGCCCCCATCCCCTCCCCCTTCAACTCCAGAGAACTTTCTCAGACTCTCCTTTCTCTTCCAGTTTCTACCGAACAGTCTCTCCCGTCACACCCCAGGGAATGGGTGAAGCCAGGCTAAGGCCCTTCTGTTTGAGAAAGAGGCCTTGAAGACGTGAGTGTTTCTCAGCTGGAGCTGGATTTGCCAGGGTCTGGTCCTCACTGGGACCTTGAGCTGGCAAGCCAGCTGTCCCACTAGACAGCACTCTAATAAATCCCCGCCTTCTCAGCCTACAACCACAGTTGTCCACCAAGATGCAAATACAAAGTCACTTCATCAAAATATAGCTTATTGATAGTTGGAAAAAACTGGCGAGCACACTTCTCAAACCACATCAAAGTTGAAGCTCATTACAAAAATGTAATTCTTCCAGAACCAGAGATCCAGGCCATCCAACAAGGTGCTTCCAGTCTATCTCTGAGTTTCAGCAAGACCGTCTTAGGGAACTCCAGCACTCGAAGGGAAATTGAAATTGGCTGTCTCCAATAATTTCTTATAACCTCTAGATTACAGCTAAGCAAGCTTCCCTTTGCTGCTGTTGGAAAACCTTGGGAAATACCACCTTTGTTCCATACATTAAAAGAATATAAATTGTAAGAATTAAACAAGGAAAGAATGTCTAGGACAGCCACTAAGGTAAGAGCATGAACTGTTAGGGCTTGTAAGCCCAGTAATGCCACTTTTTAGCAGTGTAACCTAAAGAAAGTAACTTAACCTCTCTGTGCCTAAGTTTACCCATCAGTAAAATGAGCTAATTATGCTATCTCCCTTATAGGGTTGTTGTGAGGATTCAGTGAGTTAATACTTGCAAAAGGCTTAGAAGAGTGATTGGCCCATTGTAAGGATTAGATAAGTGTTTGTTAAATAAACTGTACAAATTGCATCTCAGAATGCTTGGATTCAGAGACATATTTTCTTACTTGAGGTCACAAGGACTTGGCACCATTCTTCAGCTTCTCTCAGGCCCAATTAACAGCCTGCCTGGTGGAAGGGAAACTGGGAGGTGAGAAGTGGGGCCTCCATGGAGTGTGTTAACCTGGGATAAGGCCTAGAACTAGCCACCAACACTCAACTCCTTTCAGCCTCCCCAGGAAGACAACCCATTGCCTCAGGCATCAAACACTCCAAGTCAGCAGTTCCTATCGTTCAGAGGTTGACACTTTTCTTGGAAAATAAGATTATAGCTATAGCTATAAATACAGAACCGTAAAAATGCATATAAAATTGTGTATATTATTTCTGGAAGTTCACATATCCTTAATTTCATGTACCCCAAATTAATTTCACGCACTCACCTCTTGGCTGGGTGCTGTTCTCCAGTACTTTACATGCATGACCTCACTTCAATCTCATAACACTCTTGAAAGGCTCAGGAAAACTGACACACCCACTATACAACAGAGAAAAGATTCAAATCCAGGTCTGTTAAATGCCAAAGCCTGTGCTTGTAACCATTTAGCTTTACTGTCAAGTTCTGCTACACTACACTTCTTTCATACTAGAAGATGGGACAAGAAAAGGAAAAATCCTTGAAAATATGCCATGTTGCATTTTTACTAAGCAAAGCATATATCAGAATTTTGCATACAACCGAAAAAGTTATTCTCCATTCATTCAACAAATATCTATGGACCACTTACTATATATGTGTGTATATACATATGCTATCTGTACATATACATTTACATCAAAGTACATATAGCTTACAAAGTGTTCCATTCTCCATAGGATGCTGTGTAAAATTTTCAGAAATATTTGAAATGGGGTAGATGTTCACCATCAAACCACCAGCCAAACCTGATACTAATTTCAGAGCAAGTGACACTTTCAGAAACTTTCCAAAAGTCTAACTGGGGGCCTATGCTCAAGATACAGAAGAGAAAGGGTGCTATAGGGCAAAGCTGACCCCTCACTAAATATCAGGCAGATTATCCCAGGCATCAGAGAAGCAAAACAGCCTACCATGTATACTGAATCTATATTGGAAATTAAATATTTCCAAAACTGAAGGAGACAATTTGACCACACCCTTTGCCCATCCCACCTTGGTTCGGCTCCCCCTAGCCAGCCAGGGAGGATTTTCAGGCATCTCTAATAAAGTTGGGACTAGTGGACTTGGGCTCTCAGTGTTTTCACCAGAAAAGCTCACAGTCTTATTGCCTTCAAGACACTTCTATTCTAAAAGTACAGACAAATACCTATTTAAATGGCAACGGAAGGTTTACAAAATGATAGCAAACACAGTAGCAAGCCACCTCCCTCTGGCTCCCAGCAGCCAAACCACAGAATCTATAAGATTTTGAGAAAGGCCAGGTAGGTTCCTAAAGCCCTGGGCTTGGGTGCAGTTATAAGGTAAGCTTCAGGTTCCTAAAGAAGTTGAGCTTTGCATAGGGAGGGGGTAGATGAGAAATCAACAATGGACAGACCAGAAAAAATAAATTTAAAGGTTTTCTTCTCCTGGCTAACAAAATAGAAAAATGATGGGAGAAATGTTTTGTATCTTTTTAAATAAATACATGAAACATATCTCCGCTTAAGCTGATTTCCTGAGCCACTGGCTGGGCTACCTTAGGAATCTTGAGTCCAAGAGGAGAAAGTAAACGTGAGTTCTACCAGAAGTCTTGACCCCAGAGAAAAGATCAAACATTCACAAAATGGAAAGGGATTTATAAAACAACAAATAAGACAATAATAACAGATTTGAGCTCATTACTAAAGAGTATGGTGAGAGAAGAGAGACAGACCCTCTCATATTGTTTTATATTGTTTTATACTCAGAAAAGGAAAGAGAAGCGAAATTAAAGGCAGGTAGCCCGGCACCTAGGAACCAGACCTGAAACCAAGGAACCAGACCCGAAACCAGGCCTGGGCCTGCCTGACCTAAGCCTGGTACTTAAAGATCGACCCCTGACATAACTGGTTATGTTATCTATAGATTCCAGACATTGTATGGAAAGACAGTGTAAAAATCCCTATCCTGTTCTGTTTCGTTCTGATTACCAGTGCATGCAGCCCCCAGTCATGTACCCATCATGACCCTCTCACGTGGACCCCCTTAGAGTTGTGAGCCCTTAAAAGGGACAGGAATTGCTCACTGGGTGTCTGAGGAGTTTTGTCTGTGGCTCCTCCTGCTACAATGGAATAGGCAATACCTTTTTTAAACAACTCTAAAAGGCTGTAAACAGTTAAAGGAGACAGAATTGGGGTGGCTGCTGATAAGAAGGGTGTTTACAGTGAGCAAAATCAATGCAGGGACATGTATTTAAAGGTAAGTGACCCCCACCCCCACAAGGGGCTATGATCTAAAAGCAACTATTGTTGAAAGGTGAAGTACAAAGTAAAGGAGTCCACAGGGGAAATAACTGAATTAACCAAAGCCCCAAGCCAGGAGTCCCACCTTAGTTAAAATCACCCTGCTTATCTCCACCTCAATTTGCTGGGCAACCCAACTTGAGAAGGATGTTTACATTACTTAGGCAGCATGGCCCATTTTTACTTTTCACCCAGGTGTTGTGGCGCAAGGCCAGATGTTTGGCATCACCAAGCAAAACATCTATGTGACCAAGCTGTTTACATTTCATTAGGATTTTTCATCAGGAAGGTGCACTCCCTGCTGATGCACATCTTAATTACAATTAGGAGCTCTATTTACCCCCAGGAGCTTTCAGATTAGCACGACCACATTATAGGATCCGTTTCAGAAATCATCCTCAGAAAATGCTACTCTAGCTTCCAAAAACCATCTCTAAGAAATCAAAATTTCACACAACTTCCTTCCAGAGTGTGTTTTCTACCAAGAAAGTCAGCTAACTTTTAGTAAAAACTAATTCTGCATTCGTAGTCTATGTAGTGAATACATCTTTTTCCTCTCAACTGCTAAGTAGCGCAGAACTTTTTCTTTTCCTAAACACAGTGCTAACTTAAAAATGAAAGATGCATGATAAAAGAGCAGAGATCTATTTATCCGCTCAGGTTTAGGGCTGGGAGTGGGGGAGGGCAGAATCCAAAGGCTCCTCACCCCCTCAAGGGATGCATGTTAAAAGTGAGGCCCGAGACCCCGGAGACTTTAATCAACTTTCCCCCTCCAACCTCCAAAGAATGAATCGGTTGTCTCCACAGGCTCAGCCGGGCTCTTCCCTCTCATTGTGTACCGGCTCAGACGCAGCAAGGACCCCAGCTTCCCGCAGCGAACTAAGACGCTCCGGCTTGCGGTGAAGTCTTTCTCTAACTGTTGCGATTGTCTTTAGAGATTACCAAAATCAAATATGCATTAGATGGCTTTTCCCCCTCTTGTTTGTAACACGCACACACACACGCGCGCGCGCGCGCGTGCACACCCAAAGCACTTTGGAGCCGCAGGCCGCCTCTGACAGCACATTTTGCACAAAGTGGCAGCGGCTGCAGCGGCGCACAAGTTTTGGCCTCTATGATGACTCTCGGGAGGGCCGGAGGGCCGGGGGCGGTGGCGATGCGAGGCCGCCGGAGCCCCAGGAGGACAGGGCTTTTGTTTGCGTCGATCCGCGAGCCGCCTGGGCTCTGGCGAGCACCACTGAAAATCCAAACTCCCTCCTGGACCGCGCCTTCCGGGCCGGCTCGCAACTTGGGGGCAGGATAGACTTGCCTGAACACCGGCTGGGGCGCGCTAGAGGTCCAGGGAGACAAGGGGGGACGCCCTGCACAGAAGTGCCCCGATCACCCCCAGGACCCTCAAACCCCTCCACGCTTCCTGTCAGCGCTGACAATCGCTGCTGCGCACCGAGGAACGAGTCCCTGGGCGCGCCCCGGCCCGCCGCGGGGCTCCGGGGCAAACCCTGGCCTGGCGGGGCTCCGGGGCAAACCCTGGCCTGGCGGCGCCGGCGAGCCCCGTGGCGGGTGGCCGGACGCGCCCCGGAGCCAGCGCGGCGCTTCCTGCGTGTCCCGCGCCCGGCTGGACGGCGGAAGGGTGGCCACGGGTCAGGGGGTCTGGGCGGGCGGGGGCCGGCGGGCGCCTCTTACCTTGGGCAGCAGCCCCGCGTGCGGCCAGCAGCAGCGCGGCCAGCAGCGCCAGGAGCGGCGGGCGCGTCCCGCGGCGGCGCGGCCGGTGCATTCCTCCTCTCGCTGAGGCGGCGGCGGCGGCGGCTCCCAGGCCGCGCGCAGAACATCCACGGGCTCTTCCCGGGCTCCCGGCCGCCTCGTCCCGGCCGCTGGCGCTCGCAGGACGCCGGGGACGTCTGCAAAGCTCTTTGTCCCTCTAACCTGCTCCCTCGCCTCCGCCTGGCCGCCTCTGGATGCCGCGAGCGCGATCCCTTCCCAGCCCTCTGGCTGCAGCCTCGCCTGGGCCGGCGGGTCAGTCCCAGGCTGTCCGGGTCGCACCAGTGGGCGTGAGTCGCCCTGGGTCGGACTCCGAGAACAGCGCACCCTGCGCCCAGGGGCTGCCGTCCCGGGGCTCCCTCGGCGGCGGCGGTGGCGGCTGCTCCAGCTCTCCACGCTCCCTCTCTCGCTCAACTTGTCACTTTCCACCAACTCTCCAGCCCAGCGCCCCAGCCCCGACCAATGGGAGACGCGGCCCAGGCTGGCGACCCAGCGCCCTCTGCTGCAGCCTCTCAACGCCCGCACCCTCCCCGACTTCGCAGAAAGCGGTCGCGGCTCCCGCGTCTCGGGCACGCTCCCTCCCCTCCCCTCCCCCACACTCCTCAAACTCGCCACCGAACCGAGCGCCGGGGACCTTCGAGGCTACTTGACAGAAGGGGAAACCGAGGCTCAGAGAGACTTATCCGGGATCTCAAGCCAGTTCGTGGCTGGACGACAGTAGACCCAGGTTCTAGCAGCCTCAGCTGTGTCACTGTTAGCTGTGTGACTCTGGGTAATGGCACATTTATTGCTATCATACAATTTCCCTTTTGCTTTCTTCTTGGACCCAAGAGTTGAGAGAGTTCTTACACAAGTAATTTATACTTCGCCTTTTTGTCTTTAATTTGTAGTCTCACTGAATTCAATGTCATCTGTACTGCCTCCTGGCAAGATTTATTGAGGATTATCTGTGGTTATTTTTGCCAATGTCCCATGGTTTTTTGAAAGGTGTTTTTGTCTTCCGAATGTGAAGATAGAATACTGTATCGATTTATCTTCTTTGTATTCATTATTTTTTCAGGCCTTCTGAATCTTTGCATGTTTGTTTGTTTGTTTGTTTTTTGTCTAGCTGCTCTGCCATGAGCCAAGGGATCATTAAAGACCTCTACAATGAGTGTGTTTTTGTCCATTTCTCCTGGTTTAACTTTATGGATTTTGTAATTCATAAATACCCATAATGATTTGACTTTCCCTGTAGAGACTGCCTTTGATCATAAAAAGTGGTGAGCGCCTGCTGTTTTCAGGGCTGTGCTCTAGGCTCTGAAGATGCAAGGGTAATAGGACACCTGTCAGTCTTGCTCTGGAGGAACAGGAAGAAGCCCATAGTCTCTCAATAATCACGTGGCCACTTACTAAATACCTCCTGTTTGCCTTGTGTTTTATATGCATTTGCTCACAAATCCTCCATTGACACTAAAAAGAGTCATTAAAAGTATATACTTCTTAGCTGTTTTACATATATTATCCCCATATTACAGTTTTAGAAATTGAAACTCAAAGGGAAAGTAAATGACTTGCCCACAGTCTCACAGACATGGGGTAGCCAAGCCAGCACTCAGGCTGTTTCCACTGAGAGAGTTAAAGCCTGTAACCAGAGCCTGGCACATGATAAGCACTCACTCGGGAGTTGTTGCTGTTGCAGTAGCCTCTAAGAACCCAGCTTTAGGGTTTTAAAATGAACAGTCACTTCATGGAGGGCGAGGACTCTGTCTCAATCATCTAGGTATCTTGCTGGCCTCTAACAGTACCTGGAATGCAATAGGAGCTCAATTAATGAACAAAGGTTAGGTCACCATTTGGAAAATATTAATTTCTCATCATATTTGTTTTATAGGGGTGCATGGAGGAGGGACAAAATTTCATCCATACTCCTTGGCACCAGGAAAAGCAGATCCCTGAGAGCTGAGACATTAGAAGGGGGAAAAAATGCAGCCCAAAGTATGTCCCAGCAGGTCATGGACTCCAGACTCCCAGCCCTTTGCCTTCAGGCAGGTGAATGACTAACCCATGCGGGACAAACAGTCACTTATTCTTCTCCAGGACTTCATGGCAGGAGCTGTGTCGGTAGTTTTCCCCCTTTCTATCGCTCTGACCTGAGGTCAAAAAATGATAGACAGAGAGGCCTTGGGTCAACCAGTTCATTACCTACATTGATCTGTCCCCCAAGTTTCTCTGCCTGAGATCTATTCAATCCTGTCCCAATTATCTCGCTTCTTGCCTGAGGAACTTACTGCACAAGGTTCTCTTGTTGGGAAACAGTCTTTGATGGTCAGTCTTAGTATATCACAGCCCAGAAATCAGAGGATACTCAGTTACACTGCACAGTGCTGGGCAGTCCTCTGTTGTCTACAGTCAATACACACAGTTGTCAGACAAGGAGCCTTTCTCATCCACCCACCCTGCCCCCAGCCCCCACCCTATAACTCCTAGGCCCAGGTATCTTAGGTAACAGACAGCTGCTAGTGCTGAGTATACAGAACTTAATGGCACTTTTATCAGTACTTAAACTTCCAGGAACTTAATCACAGAATCATAGACATAAGGAATGTGAGACCTGGAAAGGGCTTTGGAAATTAACTAGTACACCCCCCTCAACATTTTATACAGGAGACATGTGGGACTTAGGAGAGTGAAACCGCCTTGCCCAAAGCTGGCCAGAGCCAAAACTAGGACCTAGACCTACCAGTCCAGACCTGGGTAAGGACCATCATCAAATCATCCCAGATTCCTTCAGTTTAGCTATAGCACACAAGTTTCCAAAGAAAAGGTTAGCAATGGCCTGGCACGGTTGCTCATGCCTGTAATCCCAACACTTTGGGAGGCCAAGGTGGGTGAATTGCTTGAGATCAGGAGTTCGAGACCGTCCTGGCCAACATGGTGAAACTCCATCTCTACAAAAAAATACAAAATATTAGCCAGACGTGGTGACACACCTGTAATCCCTGCTACTCGGGAGGCTGAGGCATGAGAATTACTTGAGCCTGAGAGGCAGAGGTTGCAGTGAGTGGATATAGCGTCACTGCACTCTAGCCTGGGCAACAGAGCAAGACTCCATCTCAAAAAAAAAAAAAAAATGCTGGGGTGGGGGGGTGTTAGAAAAGGCTTTTCCTGTTTAAAAAAGTAAAAGAGGTAAAATATATATAATATGCAAAATATATATATGTGTATATGTATATTTATTTATTTATGCAAGTTCAGTAAATGCCAATGTTTAAGAGCACAGGCTGGGGAGCTGGGCTGCTTGGTCTCAAGCTTCAGCTTCTCTGGTTTCTGCTGAGTGACTATGGACAAATATCTTAGTTGCCTGTACTTTTGTTTCTCACCTGTAAAATGATGATGATAATAATAGCACCTATTTCATGCTGTGGTTAGTGTTAATTGAGTTAACTCTTAGAAAGTGCTTTTATGAGTATCTGGCACAGAGAGACACCTAATAAATGGCAGATATTATCGTTATTATTATTTACTGCATGAACCTACTTATATCATCAAAATAAGGTTGGTCTTAGCCCATTTTTAACAAATGGGCTAAGTGAAGTGAGTTTTTAAAACTTGCCCAGAGTCAAAAAATTAAAGCAAAAAGGCAGGACTCCATCCCAAGTCAAATATCTCTCTACACTATACACCACTGTCTCAAACCCCTGGTGGGCTATGATAAAAGCTCCAAGCAATCTAAATGTTCCTCTCACAAGCCTCTTTTGGCCATGCCCTCTCTTTTAGGAAGCCAGAAGTTGACACAAATGGATAAGAGAACCCAGGTGAAGCTACTCACTTCCCAGGGGCCTGGCACAACCTGAGGTACTGGCTGAGGCTCCTGCTACTTACAGAGGCACTCATCTCCCCTGGCCTCTTGCACTGGCACACACGGTTCTGTTTATTATCACTGTAAGGCATAGTGGGAAAATGGAACAAGAGCAGGGCAATAGTAAATCATTGGGGTCAGGTGCCAAGGGGAGCATTAAATAGAAAACTATCTTTCATTTCAAAAACTTGCTGGTGGGAGAGACTCATTTGGGCCATCCGCTTGATTTACCCAACAAATACAACCATTAATTATTCTTGGAGAAACGGTGTAGTGTGATGCTTACCAGGAAGAGTTCAGGAGCCAGACTGCATGGATTCAAATCCTGCTCTGCTCTTAATAGTTGTGAGTACTGGGTCCCTGTATTTTAGTTTCTTCATCTGTAAAGAGGCATAATAATAATACCTACCTGTAGCTTTGTTCTGAAGATTAAATTAGTTAATACCTGTAAAGAATTTAACATAGTACCAGTTACACAGTAAGCAGCCAATATTTATTAGCTACTATTGTTAGTGATTAAGAGAATGGACTCGGGCTGGGCGTAGTGGCTCACGCCTGTAATCCCAGCACTTTGGGAGGCCGAAGCAGGCGGATCACGAGGTCAGGAGTTCGAGACCTGCCTGACCAACATAGTGAAACCCCATCTCTACTAAAAACAAAAAAATAGAAAAATTAGCCAGGCATGGTGGTGTGTGCCTGTAATCCCAGCTACTTAGGAGGCTGAGGCAGGAGAATGGTGTAAACCCAGGAGGAAGAGCTTGCAGTAGGCCGAGATTGCACCACTGCACTCCAGCCTGGGCGACAGAGCGAGACTCCATCTCAAAAAAAAAAAGAGAGAGAGAATGGACTCTAACATCAAACGGAGCTGGCTAGATGACCTGAACAAGTTGTTTAATTTCTTTATGATACAACATTCTCACCTGCTAAAAGGAGAGAGAGACAGATAATAGAACCAATCATATAAAGTCATTTTTAGTATAAAATAATGTACTTTATACTTTGAATACAAAAGTCACAAAACAGTGTTTGGGGAGCTGGGCATGGTGACTTGTGCCTATAATCCCAGCTACTAGGGAGACTAAGGTGAGAGGATCTCTTGAGCCTAGGAGTTTGAGACCAGCCTGGGCAATATAGCAAGACCCTCATCTCTGTAGAAATATATATTTTTTTAAAAAAAGTGTTTAGCATGTTACTTACTCAAAAAATTGTTATTATTATTGTTTTTTCTCTAAACTATATTATGAGATAGGAGAGAAGCATAAATTTGGTGATCATACAACCTGAATTTCTAGCACAATCTTGATTTCATATATTTTGTTCCATTAGCCTCTTAGGTCTATTTGTACATGAGTAGAAAAGAAGACTAAAAATAATATGTGTAGTGTCATCAGAAATTCATAAGTAAGAAACTTAAGAATAAGGGATTGTTAGTGAAGCTATTACAAGACGTTATAGACTATAATACTTCAGAAAGCATTGGAGAAAATCTTAGAAAATCTTGGATTTGGAAAAGATTTTTGACATCACAAAAACCATGAAGTATAAAAGAAAAATTTGATAAGGCCAGGCACAGTGGCTCATGCCTATAATCCCAGCACTTTGGGAGGCCGAGGTGGGCAGATTGCTTGAGCTCAAGAGTTTGAGACCAGCCTGGGCAACATGCCGAAACCCTATCTCTACAAAAACACACAAAAAGTAGCTGGGTGTGGTGGTGGGCACCTGTAGTTCCAGCTACTCAAAAGGCTGAGATGGGAGAATCACTTGAGCCCAGGAGGTAGAGGTTGCAGTGAGCCAAGATGGTGTCAGACAGAGTGAGACAAAGAAGGAGGGAAGAAAGGAAGGAAAGAAGGAAGGAAGGAAGGAAGGAAGGAAGGAAGGAAGGAAGGAAGACTTGATAAACTGGACTTATTCAAAATTAAAATCTTTTGCTTTTCAAAAGACATTGTTTGAGAACACATGGATACAGGGAGGGGAACATCATATACCGGGGCCCATTGGAGGTTGGGGGAAAGGGGAGGGAGAGCATTAGGACAAATACCTAATGCATGCGGGGCTTAAAACCTAGATGGCAGGTTGATAGGTGCCGCAAACCACCATGGCACATGTATACCTATGTAACAACCCTGCACGTCCAGCACATGTATCCCAGAACTTAAATTAAAAAAAAAAAAAAACATGAAATTGCTATACAAATAAAAAGGTAAGCCACAGACTAGGGGAAAATATTTTAAAGACTTATGTCTGACTAAGAACTTACATCTGCAACATACAAAGAACTCTTAACCACTCAATGATAGGAAGACTAAAAACCTGACTTTTAAAAATGGGCAATATAATTGAAGTGACACCACCAATGAAGATATATGGATGGCAAAAAATATACATTTAAAGATGCTCAACAACATTAATGATCAGGGAAATGCAAATTAAAACCATAATCAGAAACTACTATATACCTAATACAGTGACTAAAATTAAAGAGATAACCCATATCAAGTTTTGGCCAGGATGTGGAGCAACTGGATCTTTCATATATTGCTAATGAGGATATAAAATGGTATAGACACTTTGGGAAACAGTTTTGCAGTTAAAAGCTAAATCTATATCTACTATATAATCCAGCCATTCCACTCCTAGGTATTAACCCAAGGGAAATGAAAGCATATGTCCACACAAAGACTTACACATGAAAATACACAGTAGTTACATGTGTAATGGCCCAAAAATTGGAAACAACCCAAATGTTCATCAACAAGTGAGTGGAAAAACTCTGGTATAGACATATAATAAAACTCAGCAAACACAATAAATAAATTATAATGTATGTAATAGTGTAGTTGAATAACAAAATAATTATGCTGAGTGAAAGAAGTTAGAGTTTTAAAAGAATATATACTACACGATTTCATTTATATAAAATTCTAGAAAATGCAAACTAATCTACTGTGACCAAACAATAGGTCATTGTTTACCTGGGGTCAAAGAAATGGAAGGATGAATGACAGATGGGCATAGAGACATTCATTTATGGGGGTGATGGATTTGTTCATTATCTTGATTGTGATGATGTTTCACAGGTATATACCTGTGTCAAAATTTACTGTAGTAATCTGGGTCCAATCAGGAGATAGAAACCACACAGTAGATAAAGCAGAAGTTTAACAGAAAGAAAGAAATATTAACTATGATATAAAGAATAATCATACAATATAAAGCAACTATCTATGGTACCCTAAGGGAGATTCCTTAAAGAATTACACACTTGGAAAGGGTTCAGACCTCATTGGAGAAGGCATGGTCAACCACTGGACAGTAAGGGAGTTTGCCGATATCGCCAGAGTAAGGCAAATGATAGGTCACCCTCAGGAGAAATGCAAAGGGAATTTCCTAAATTTCTAGCTGGGGAGCAGCAACTAATGGCATGGGCATGCAGTGAAAGTCTGGTGTGGGCAGGAGGCCTTCAAAACATGTGGGCAATGTGGAGCTTGCAAAGAAGCAGCAGCTTCTGTGTGTACTCTTCCCACCCTGTGGCTGCAGGTGGGCTCTAGGGACTTACAGAAGAAGCAGCTTCTCAGTGTGTGACCCCCTCAACCACTGATGACTGCATGCAAGCCACACTCAGGCTCTGGTTTTCTTTCTTTCTTTTTATTTTTTTCTGTGAGACAGGGTCTCTCTCTGTTGCCCAGGCTGGAGTGCGATGGCGCGATATAGGCTTACTGCAACCTCTGCCTCCTGGGTTCAAGTGATTCTCTTGCCTCAGCCTCCCAAGTAGCTGGGATTACAGGCACACAATTAGCCACCACACCTGGCTAATTTTTTGTATTTTTAGTCGAGATGAGGTTTCACCATGTTGGCCAGGCTGGTTTCCAGCTCCTGACCTCAGGTGATCTGCCCGCCTGGGCCTCCCAAAGTGCTGGGATTGCAGGCGTGAGCCACTGTGCCTGGCGAGGCTCTGGTTTTCATGTCAAGAAGGCTGTGAGAAATATTATCACCAGGCCAAGGCTAGAAGATTGCAGAGAAAGTGGGTTCTGGGCCTGAGGCTGAGGCAGCCTCCATCAAATGTTCTCACACCCACACCACTTGGCCCATGCTGGAAACTGCAAGAAGGCTTTTCCTCTTGCAATATCCCTCCAGAGCCCTCTATTTTAAAAGCTCACTTTAAAGGAGAAATGCTTAAAGAAATTCCATTGTTTATCATAAAGCATATATTAAAGGGTGAACTTGGAGCTGAGAATAATATCTATCTTCAAAACGAGCAGTGTAGCATCTTCAACTCTCTCTGCTTCCATCTTCACAATGCCTTCTCTCTTACAAGGACTCTTCAAATTACATAGGACCCACTTGGATAATCCAGGATAATATCACCATCACAAGATTTTTACCTTAATCACATCTGCAAAGTCTCTTTTGCTGTATAAGACAGCATACTAACAAGTTTCAAGGATTCAGATATGGAGATCTCAGCCTACCATACACCCTTTCTAAAGACACTAACAGAGGATAAACTAGCTACTCAAGAAAGCAACACTTTCCCCCACCAAAAAAAAAAAAAACAAAAAAAAAAAACATGAAATCTAGGAAAAAGATAAGTGAAGGAAATTCCCAAAGTGATAAGAAGGAAGGGAGGTTCCAGGAAGAAACCAAAATAACAAATTAGAGAAAATTAGCCAAGATTGGAACAGGTCTAAGGCTCTGGGAGAGAAGTCACCATTGAATAGACTACTAGATGGATTTAGGCCTGAAAGAGACTTTCACTTTTGAGGAAGAGTTTTGGAATGAAGTAGTAATGAGCATATAGATATCACTAAACAAACACAAATATAAGACAATTATTAGTTCCATGGAATACAAGAAGTTATACAAAAAAGACAAATGTAAACATAGTATATTACATGGCTTAGCTGTCGATAGAGATTGCATAGACATACTATTATAAACACTGAATCTAACCAAAATTATGATCTAATTATAATGGGAGCACAGAAGGATGGGAAGTGTATGGTGGTGGTGGTGGTGGTGGTGGTTGTAAAAGAGAGGTCATATTTTATAGTGGAAAGTCAATAGGTAATACCTGCCACTGAAATATTAAGATGTAGCTATATGTTATTTAAGGTCATGAAGCTAAATATTGAAAGCATTGAAATCACGAAATAGATGTGGAAAAGCGGACTGGATTATGGGAGACACTGGCATCACTGAGAAGCTCAGTAGTGGCTCTCCTCTGTAGGCCAGGCCAGAGCTTAAGGTAGGAAATGCTGTTATGAAACTGGGATTGCTAATAGTAATAAGGATGATAATATCCCAAAATAAAGGCCAGGTGAAAGCAGCATGGACACAATCAATGTGATGAGCAGTGAGATTGGAGAGGCCACCAGGGTAGCCTGGAGATATTAATAGAACACAGCATTCCTAGGGGCAAGATATATGGATGTGTAGGCAGCCAACAAGGGCATTGTTCAAACCATTTGGCTAAAAGAAATCAAGGAGGTGGAAGACAGCTTCCCTAGTAAAATATCACGGTAGTTTATCGGTTCTAGGCCAGGACCAGTTTTCTGACCCAGAATACACTGAGTAAATGAAAGGTCAGACGCTCAGAAGAAGTTCCCTATGACACAGCGAGTGCATTAAAGAAAAAGCTCTTCCACAGAACCAAGCCATGGTATGAGTTGTTGTCCAACTTGTTGCTGCTTTGGCCCATTTAAGCCAGGAACCCCTTTGTTATTGGAGGGTGTCTGCAGTGGGGAAAGATGTTATATGAAATTAATGGCAACCATCAATCAGAGAATCACAGGATAGATCTCTAAAGGTTCTGTGTGGTCATGCCATGTGTAGCAAAGAATTACTGTCCAAAAAACAGCATCCCCTTGCTGATGATTGGGGTAATTACTCTTGCAAGGATGGTAATTCCTTTATTCAGTGATGGGTCTCTTGGCATGAGGAATCTAAGTAACTGGATGGACTGCAGGTATAGCTTTCAAATTTGATGGGGTCTTGTTGTGAGCTTCGTGGAAGGGTTCTTTCAATGGGAGCAGAGTCCAAGGTTATTGGGAGGGGAAGTACAGGTTCTATGTGCAGCATTCAAGAGATCATACAGATGAAATATAAAGACATAGGCTGAAAGCAAAAGCATAAAAAAAGATGTACCATACAAACAGTAATCATTTAAAAAACTATCATAGCTCTAATATCATCAGAGAGAACAGTACATTACATGTATCACATCATCACTATGTACTCCATAAATTGTACAACTATTATGTGTCAACTTAGAATTTTTAAAATAAAATTAAAAAGAGACACTGTTAAAAACACAAAAAGAAAGAAGACAAAGAGTTAAAAATCAATTCATTAAGATCACATAAAAATCCTAAATTTTCGTGTGTTTATATGTATGTTCCTAAAAATAGAGCTTAAAAAGCAAAAATTGACAAAAGGGAGAATAGAAAATGAACAATCACAGTTGGAGACTTGAGTACTTTTCTCTCAGTAAATGATAGAGCAAGAATATAGAAAATCAGTAAGTATGTAAGCGATGGGAACACTATCAATTAACTTGATTTAGTAGATGTTTATGAAACGCTACATCCAACAGCTAAAGAACACACATTCTTTTCAAGCACTCACATAACATTCATCAAGATAGACCATCTGCTAAGCCATACAATGTCTCAGTAAATTTCAAAAGATTGAAATCATAGACTATATTCTCTGGCCACAAGTCAAGTAAATTAGAAATCAATAGCAAAAAGATATGTAGAAAATCCATCTACATTTAAAAATTAATCGACATTTTTAATAACTCTGGAACCAGAGAATAATTCACAAGAAAAATTAGAAAATATGTAAACTAAATGATAAGGAAATCATAGCCTATTGAAATTTGAGAGATGCAGCTAAAGCGGTATGAAGGGGAAAATTCATGATTTTAAATATTTATATTAGAAAACAAGAAAGAGCTAAAATCATGATTTAAGTATCCATATTAGCAAGTTTAAAAAGGAAGGGCAAAGCAAATCCAAAATAAGCAGAAGAAAGTAATGAGGATAAGAAGAAAATTTAATGAAATAGAAAACAAGTAAATAATAAACAAAAATCAACAAAGATGAAAGTTTGTTCTTTGAAAATATTAATACAATCGGGAAACTCCTAGTGATATCAAAGAAAATAAGAGGAGAAAAAAACCTACAAATTACCAACATAGGGCATGAGAGAGAGAGACTATAACCACAGGGTCTACAGACAATAGAGGACAACAAGGGACTATTATGAATAACTTTATGCCAACACATAAAGTTGTAGATGAAATGGACAAATTCCTTGAAAAACACAACTCACCACAATGGATAGATAGAAGAATAAATAAAAGACATAAATAGCTATGTACCTATAAAAGACAATTGAAATCTTAATTTAAAACATTTTCACAAGGAAAATCCCTAGCCCAGATGACTTTACAAGTGAATTCTATCAAGTATTTTAGGAAGAAATAATTCCAACATTGGGCAAACTCTTTCACAAAAGAGAGGAGGGAACAATTCCTAATTCATTGTATAAGCTTCTATGTCCCAAACACCAAAACATTATGATAAAAGACGTTTCAAGAAAAGAAAATCACCCAATGATGACTGCAAAATAGCACTTGAAAAAGAATCCAGCACCCATTTATATATTTTAAAATAGTTCCCATAAAACTAGAAATACAAGAGAACCTCTGAAAAATCTGATAAAAGGGGTCAAGCACAGTGGCTCATGCCTGTAATCCCAGCACTGTGGGAGGCTGAGGCAGGCAGATCACTTCAGGCCAGGAGTTTGAGACTAGCCTGGTCAACATGGTGAAACCCTGTCTCTACTAAAAATACAAAAATTAGCCAGGCGTGGTGGTGCACACCTGTAATCCCAACTACTTGGGAGGCTGAGGCACAAGAATTGCTTGAACCCAGGAGGTGGAGATCGCAGTGAGCCGAGATCACGCACTGCCCTCCAGCCTGTGTGACAGAGAGAGGCTGCCTTAAAAAAAAAAAATGGCTTCTAAGGAAAACCTAGAGTTAACATCATAATTGATGGTGAAATATTAAAAATGGTCCACATAATGTAAGGGACAAGGCAAAGGATGTAAACTTTCACCATTTATATTTAATATCACACTGGAGGTATTCGCCATGTCATGCATGTGTTGCATAAGGCAAGAAAGAGAAATAAAAGGCAAAAATATTGAGAAAGTAGTAAAATTCTATTTTTTTTTTTGTAGGTAATGATAGTGGACGCAGAAAATTCAAAAGAATCAACACAACAACATTTTGGGGTTTTGGTGTTGTGTGTGTGTGTGTGTGTGTGTGTGTGTGTGTGTGTGTGTTCTTTTTGAGACAGGGTTTCGCTGTGTCACACAGGGTGGAGTACAGTGGTGTGACCACAGCTCACTGCAGCTCAAACTCCTGGGCTCAAGGGATTCTCCCACCTCAGCCTCCCAAGTAGCTGAGACTCCAGGCACGGGCCACACTGCACCTGGCTAATTTTTTTTTTAATTTTTAATAGAGAAGGGGTATTGCTTTGCTGCCCAAGCTGGTCTTGAACTCTTGGCAACAAGTGATCCTCCTGCCTTGGCCTCCCAAAATGCCAGAATTAGGTGTGACCTACCTCACATGGCCTAACACAACAACATTTTTAAAACCCTACTACTAAATTGATAAGTGAATTTAGCAGGGCCTCAGGATACATGTTCAATATACAAAAATCCATCATATGTCTATATATTAGCAATAAACAATTGGAAATAAAATTTTAAAATAAATTTTATTTACAATAGCACCAAAAACCATAAAGAACCTACAAATAAAGTTTATGAAAGAATTAAAAAGACCCCTACACTGAAAATCTACAAAATATTATTGACAGACATGAAAGAAGACCTAAATAAGGGGAGAGCTATATACACCTTAAAAGATTCAATACTATAAATATGCCATAAAGGCAGAAAAGCGTATCCATAGAACAGAATACAGAGTACAGAAATAGGATCACACATATATAGACAATGATTTTTCTGCAAAGGCACCAATATAATTCAATGAAAAAATAAAAGTCTAACAAATTATGCTGAACCAACTGGGAAAAAAATGAACCTTAATCTGTACTCCATAGCATAAAGAAAAATTAACTTGAGATAAATTAAAGCATAAATGTAAAAGCTAAAACTGTGAAACTCAAGGAATAATTAAAAAACAAACAACACAATAAAAATAAGCAAAAGACTCAGATACATCTCCAAAGAAGATATACAGATGGCAAATAAACACATGAAAAGATGCTCAACATCATTAATTATTAAGGAACTTCAAATTAAAATTATAATAAGGTACACTGCTTACATATTAGAATGGAAAAAAAGACTGCATCCAAGTGTTGACAAGAATTGGGAGAAACTGGAACTCTTCTTACACTGCTGGTGGGAAACTAAGATGGTAGAACTTTGAAAAATATTTTGGCAGTTTCTTACAAGGTTAAATACACACCTACAATAGGACCCAGCCAAATCACTCCTAGGCTTTTTCTCCAGAGTAATGAAAGGATATGTTCATACAAAGACGTATACTCAAAAGGTCATAGCAGCTATATTTTTAATAGCCCCAACCTGGTACAACCCAAATGTTCATCAACAAGTGAGTGAATAACAAACTATGGTACATTCATATAGTGGAATACTACTCAGCAATCAAAAGAAATGAACCAATAATGATATACACCATAGCATGGATAGCAAAATATTTAAGCTTATTGAAAGAAGCCAGACATAAAGAAAAGTACATTCTATATGATCCCATTTGTGTAAAACAAATAAATGTATAGCGAAAGAAAACAGATCCATGGTGACCTGGGGACAAGGTGTGGAGAGACACAGATGGATCACAGAAGGTCATAAGGAAGCTTTTGGGGGTGATAGATATGTTCATTATCCTGATTGTGGCGATGGTTTTATGGGTGTGTTCATGTGATGAAATTTATCAAAGTGTACACTTAAAATATGTTGCTTTATATTATGTCAGCTATATATAAATAACCTGCTTTTTAAAAAAATGCATGGCCAGGCATGGTGGCTCATGCCTGTAATCCCAACACTTTGGGAGGCCGAGGCGGGCAGATCACGAGGTCAGGAGATGGAGACTATCCTGGCTAACACGATGAAACCCCATCTCTACTAAAAATACAAAAAATTAGCAGGGCTTGGTGGCGGACGCCTGTAGTCCCAGCTGCTTGGGAGGCTGAGGCAGGAGAATGGCGTGAACCCGGGAGGCAAAGCTTGCAGTGAGCCGAGATCGCACCACTGCACTCCAGCCTGGGCAACACAGTGAGACTCTGTCTCAAAAAAAAAAAAAAAAATGCGTTTAGGCCCAACCAAACACTACTAAGCTAAATACAGCCCTCAAAATGCAAATTTGCCTCTGCTCAAGTTTTGCTCCTGCCATTTAAGAGTTAAGAACATTGAGACCTATAGAGATATAGTAGCTTGACCTGGTCAGGTTCTGTTTATAAAGTCAGTATTTAGAGGCTGGATAAGAAAAGGGCAAAATAATGTTGCTGTTGTTGTTGTTGTTGATGATGATGATGATGATGATGATGATGATGATGATGATTTAAATGGATTTTAGCTTTTTATCTATTTTAAGAATTGCTTTTGCAATGGAAAGCAGAACTAAAAATCAGAAGGTCTGGTCTGAATTTCCACTCCATCACCAATTAGCTCTATGACCTTGAGCAATTTCCTTAGTTTGCAGAATCTGTTTCTTTATCTCTACACATATGTTAGAAATATCTACCTCATAAAGACTTCTTGAGGGTTAAATAAAATAGGATATGCTCAAGTACATTTTCAATAAATATCAGTTGGGTGAATTTAATCTGTGAGATAGTAGTGAAATATATATTATGAATTGATAGATTTATAAAGCCAAGGATGTAAGAAATTAAGGGCTTGCCCTGGGTCATGAAGTTAGGAAATGGAGAGTTGGCATATCCAGCCTCCCAACTCCTAGTCTAGTGTTCTGTTATAAAAAAAAAAACACCCACTGAGGTTTCTGGGGGGAAAAAAAAAGCTAAAAAGCCTGTAAGTGGGAAGTCAGGAGGTTCTTTTCTTCTCAAAGAATCGCCTAATTCAGGGGTCTCAAAATGGCAGCCAGTGGCCATATATGGCCTTCTGAAGTCTTTAGACTCTGAGTGCATTGTGTTTTAAGAAATTCAAGCCAACATTTAGAGTTTGAGAGATTTCAAATAAAAGTCTGAATTTCCTGCTTGTTTTGCAAAAAATTAACAGATCAGGCAACACGGAGCCCTCATGGAGGAAGGGCAAGGGAGAGCCAGAGCTGAGGAGCAGGTGCCCCTTCAGATGAGGCGGGTCCCCTCAGATCCTCACAGTCCCCATCATTTCCTCACGCCTTGACACCAGGCCCACCTCACTCATTATCACAGGAACCTAGCCTCTGCAGGCATTGATTTTTGCAACCCACGTTTTACACCATTCTGCCCCATGCAGTTAACCTTCATTTCTAGGGACCAACCGTGTTTATGATTTGTTATCTAGAAATGACAATTAGCTGTGTTGACATTCGGCCAACCACTCAACAGAAATCACTCCCTTTAGGCTGCATATGTAAGCAGTTTATACACACACCAATTGAAGTGGAGATCTGGCAACCTTCCGGCATGTTACAGAATGTAGATATGCAGTCAGGATTTTTTTTTTTTTAACACCAAAGTGGATATATTTTGGAGGTCCTGACTCTCAAATAATCCAACGTGACATTCTAACTTAATCAAATTTACCTGGCAACTGCCCTGTTTCCATGGACCTGTGCTCCAACAGTGGAATTTAAGAGCCACATTAAATTTCCTAAGGAAACTTATGGGTGTAAAAACCAGTGCAGCCTAGGACTTGAGATAGCTCCACATTCAACCTTAAATGAGCCCATGAAGTAAACACACAAAATACAGGAAGAGAGAGGGGAAACCCAACAGCAGTAACACATCAAACATTATTTTTATATGCAAAACCTACCAAACCACCTACAATTAGTGAATACAGATCACTTTTCGGCTCTGAGATAGTCCATCACTGCATACAAATTAAGTTAAAACGTGTGCTTGAGACCTTGGAGTACATCGGCTCTTGATTCTCTGTCAGTACAAAATATTTTTCCTCTTTCAATGTAAACATTGAATCAGGAAGCCTGCAATGAAACTATATAGTACTATCCAATCTAAAAACATGTTTGGAAACCAAATTCTGGAAACAGATACATATTCCCATTTGTCCGTCCTCATAACTACAAAACACAAAGAATAACCTAAAGTTTTAAGTATTCTGATTATACTGGATTTTGCCACTATTAAACAGGTTACTATGAGAATAATTGCCCTAGACAGTTATACACAACTACGGAAGAGCCACCCATGGGAGGAGAATCAGCTGATTCTTTGTGTTCTACAATTTTTGTTTTGTTAAACAGTGAAATGTTTGTGGTCAATATTATTCTGGATTTCATTCCCCCAGAGAAAATGTACTATATACAAAACCCATTTTCTATTATTACTTTTTAGTAATGGAGTTAAAGATCTATTGTCTGGTGTGATTTGTAAACACTATCAAGCCGGGAAGGGAGCTCCTCAAAATCCAATGATCATTTTAAGGATACCTGTTATAAATTTTAAATAGTAAACACAGGTACCACCAGACCCAAGGTAGAAGTTGGTATTGGGGTACAGAAATGTTTCTATTTTCCTTTTCTTGTTGTACTCAGAGTCCACTATTTACTCCAGACTTCCCTATCTCTCTAATAAGTGCCAGATTTTTATTGACACATTTCTTCTGCTTTCTGCCACAGACACCAAAAACTCTGGAATGTGGGGATATCTTTTCCAGCTACCATCATCTCCACACATTTTCAGAGAGATCACTATTATCATTCTCCAGGGCTCTTGACTTTGTTTTTAAAACATAGTCCCATTACACACACAGTACATCTGTTTTCCTCTCAGAAGAGAAGCATTCTTGATTACTCTGCCTTTTCCCCTCAGAGAACTGTACTACACACAGATGACAGAAATCTTTTGATCAACAAGCTTCCAAAGAGATACAGATTTGTTCTCCACAATGAGCAAGGAAGCTGTATTCATTTTTTTTTCTTTATTACAAAAAAAAAGGAGAGATGTGTGTAGGGAATCCTAAAAAAAAAAAAAAAAAAAAAAAAAAAAACCAAACTGAGAGGACTGCCTTTAAAGAAAAGAGGAGAAAAACATTTACAAGATCACCCTAGGAACTTGCACAGAAATTGATTCCCCATATTTACGCACAAACTACCACAGTTTGAGCAGAGAGAACATTGGGCTTTTCCTCTTGGATGCTGTATCTTTTTTTTTTTTTTAATTTTAATTTCATGGAACTCTGAGCTATAGATTCACAGCAACACTAGGCATGCATTGTCACTACAGGGTTTTTCATCTCTCTGTAACTTTACAGACCAGCTCAAAGAATCCCTGGGCTAGAGGGAATTATTTGGATTCCTGTTTACAGCTGAAGAAACTGAAGAAGAGAAGCAGAGAGTTTCCCACTGAGATACAGAGAGAGTCTGTTTGAGGGAATCAGTCTTCAGGGTTTCAGAGTTCAAACACCCCCTCAGAGCACTGCAACAGGGGAACAGGCAGCTTCTAAATCTAGCATGAAATGCCAGATTTTGTTCTTCTCTCTATATAATGCCATAGAGCATATTTGCATGGACAGGAGCAGCAACAACAGAAAAACATGGTCAGAGGGTAGCTAGATCCAAAATAGACTTTATTATACATAACTGAATATGATATAAGAAATACAGTCATTCCCTCCTGCCATAAACATTAGTTAAACCCTTGGTGCCAGAATCATCTAAATCCTTCCATTTTATAGTGTACTTGATAGCAGCTTGTTCTCACCATCTAAAAAAGAAATCTTTTGGGTATAGCTCAGCTATAGACTAAATTCCTCTTGGAAGGTGAGGTTTTTAGTATAGACAGCAAAAACTTTTCGTTCACTACACTTTTTTTGGGGGGGGCATATAAGTTTACAAAAATTTCCAATTATAATATGACATCTTTATTTCATGTACAGAAAATTCCCATAATGATGATTTATTAATCCTACCAGAGACCACCAAGGGTAATAGAGAGTTAGTTGGATGGCTAGGATAACCTGCTTCTAGTCCTGGTAAGTAATAATAATAGTCATGGTATCTATAATCTAGTGAGCACTTTATACGCATTTTCTGAATTAATCCATACAACATTTCTTTGAGTTCAGTATTATTCTCTGTATTTTACAGATGAGAAAATTTAAGATTGGAGGGGCAAAGAAGCTAACTCGTGATTACATTTAGTGCCAGTGTGGTTAACAAGTAGTATTCTGGAATCAGGGAGACTTGGGAATCTGAAAACATTTACCTACCCATTGTGAGTGACCAATCATCCTGACTTGCTCAGGACTCAGGAGTTTCCTGGGAGGGGAGAATTTCAGTGCAAATTAGGATGGGTAGTCACTCTAGGAGTAGTGCAACCTCAGAAAAGTACCTCCACTGTCTGGACCAAGAGGAATTTGGACCAGAATGACGGCTAAGATTCTGTGGAGAGCGCTGAAGTCTGGTTTTGCTCTATAGAAAATGACACAGGGTCATCTAATAATAACTTAAGGACTCTGTAGTATCATTTTTGCTCTTCCCTTTTTTTTTTTTTTTTTAAGATAGAGTTTTGCTCTGTCACCCAGGCTGGAGTGCAATGGCGCGGTCTCGGCTCACTGCAACCTCCGCCTCCTGGGTTCAAGCGATTCTCCTGCTTCAGCCTCCCGAGTAGCTGGGATTACAGGCACCTGCCACCATGCCCGGCTAATTTTTGTATTTTTAGTAGAGACGGGGTTTCACCATTTTGGCCAGGCTGGTCTCGAACTCCTGACCTCAGGTGATCTACCTGCCTTGGCCTCCCAAAGTGCTGAGATTACAGGCTACAGGTTACCGCGCCCAGCCTGCTCTTCCTTTTTTATGACAGCACAGTTGTAACAGAGTGAGCCTGTTTATTCTGGCAAGTACCTCTGACTGAATCTACACAGAATCAGAACTCGTACAGCACAGCTGTCTAGGAAACAAGCCTGAGCGTGACAACCCCCATGTCCATCTGCCTCAACATGCTAATGGGCGCTTCACACTGATCACATGCACTCAGTCCCCCTCGGCCTGTTCCCCCATCAAAATGGGGATAACAAATAACAGCATCCCCCAAGTTCATGGGACTCAAGTGAGACCAAAGATATGAAAGTGCTTCTGTAAACTGCAGAGAAATATTTTTTTTAAGTTTTTTTCTTATGATTATATTTTGTCTTCAAAACAACACTGGGACGCAAGCAGAGCCTGCATTTCTAGGCCCATTTTCTAGATGAGGAGGTGAAGGTTTAGGGAGCTGAAGAGATGGGCTTGAAGTCACACAGCTATTAAAGAAAAGTCCATTTGTCCTTTTATGTACTCATTTACTCCTTCATTCATTCAACATATAGGTTTTGAGCACGTACCATGTATCAAACGCTTGTGCCAACTACTGGGGATACAATGGGTGAGCAAAAGCGCAGTCCTTGCTTTGAGAAACTAGCAGTCTAAAGGTCAGAATGGGACCAGATGTGACAGAGATGGCTGGGTGCCCCCCAAAATCTGCTCTTTCTTTCTTCCATCCATGGTAATAGTTTCTGACTGGAATGTGGCTGCCCAGACCTCTTTGCATCTAGTGTGGCCTTGTGACCACGTTCTGTCCAAGTGAGGTTGGCCTCTTCCACTGCCTTCTAAAACTCCCCACTTCCTGGTAGCTGTCATAGCATGACCAGGGCTGCCTGCTCAATGCAGTTAGCAGTCTTGGAAGTCACTCATTGAAGTGGCCAAGCTACCATTAGCCTAGTTCTCTGAATAACTATGGAGTGGAACCACTTGCTGGCCTCAAACACTCACTGCAGAGTGTTACATGCGAAACAGCATCAATATTCTTTAAGTCATTCTTCATTGCAGTCTCTTTGCAAAAGCAGCTACTGTTAACTCAACTAACACAAATTATACTGTTGTGGAGACAGAACATTACTCATGCAACCAACCAAAAGTTAGTTAGAAAAACCTTTGCTGCTCAATGTGAAGAATGAAGGTACCATCTACACTGCCTGGATTAGTTTCCTATTGCTGCTGTAACAAATTTGGTGGCTTACAACAGCACCAATCTATTATTTCACAGTTCTGGAGGTCCAAAGTCTAAAATGGGTCATCAGAGCTGTGTTCCTTCTGGAGGAGCTGTCTCTTACTCTGATCTCTGCTTTCATTGTCACATCCTCTTCTCTGACTCTGACACTCCTGCCTCCCTCTTATAAAGATTCTTGTGATGACATTAGGGTCACCTACTGGATAATCTCCCATCCCAACATCCTTAATTTAATCACATCTGCAAAGTCCCTTTTGCCACATAAAGTAGCATACGTATAGATTTCAGGGATAAGAATGTAGACATCCTTGGGGGGTCATTATTATAACTACCTGATATGGTTTGGCTGTGTCCTCATCCAAATCTCATCTTGAATTGTAGTCCCCATAATTCCCACGTGTTGTGGGAGGGACCTGATGGGAGGTAATTGAATCATGGGGGCAGTTACCCCAATGCTGTTCTCATGATAGCGAATGAGTTCTCACGAGATCTGATGTTTTTATAAGGGATCTTTCCCCCTTTGCTTGGCACTTCTCTCTCCTGCTGCCCTGTGAAGAATGATGTGTTTACTTCCAGTTCCGCTATGATTGTACGTTTCCTGAGGCCTTCCCAGCCATGCAGAACTGTGAGTCAATTAAACATCTTTCCTTTATAAATTACCCAGTCTCGGGCAGTTCTTTCTAGCAGTGTGACAATGGACTAATACACTACCAGAGTGCCCATGAACCCCATGGTACTGACTTTCTTCAGTGCTTCTGGCCTGTACTAGTTACACACTTCATTTTTCATGGATCTAGAGAAATAGTGTGGGGACCAACAAAGTTCCAGTGGACAGACTGTATGATGCACTAATAATAACCATCTCTAAATGCTGGGTAATTAATGAGTAGCTGAGTCTTTCTTTCTTTAATAAAATAATAATTTTTTAAAACTTCTGTCATGTAGAGTGTATGTGACAGCATTTTGCTTTGTTCTTTATATACATTATTTCATTTCATTCTTACCAACATCTTATGACTCCCTTTTTGCAAATGAGACAACAGAGGATATATAATTCTAATATTGCACAGCAGGGAAAGAATTTGGCACCAGGCTGCTTTACCCCAAAGCTTGTGCTCCTAAAATCCATATTCTACTGAATTCTGGACCCATTCTTCCTTTTCTATTTTCACTTCCACTCCCTAATTCAGACACCCTCACATTCCTGCCAGAATTACTGTAATCTCCTCCTCACGATTTTGTTTCTCTCTCCCTTCCTCTGTCCATACTCTGCACTGACACCTGACTACACTTCCTCCCTAGCCGTCACCATGGCTCTCGCAATCAGAACCCTTAGCAGTTCACCACTGCATCCTGAACTCCTCCTGGCCTCAAAGGCCTCCACCAACCTGGCTCCACCCCGCCCCATGTTAACATAGTGCATCAGTCGCACAAGGCCTTTGGCCACCCTCTGGTACATACTTAGAGTATTTGTGTCTCTGCTTATATGCCCATGCCATATCCTCCACCTGGGATGCCCTCTCTGACAACAGAAATACTGACAGTCATTCAAGGCCCACCTCAAATTCCATCCATCCCCTCTGGAAAGTTGCCCTGACTACTCTAGTAGTAATACAGTATCTTCCCAGAACTCCCAGGGTGCTATTATTCATTTATGCAGGCATATATTAACACTTAAGAAATATTTACTTAATACCTACTATATCCAAGGTACAGTTTTAGAAACTGATGATACAGAGATCAAACACATTTACACTCACACACAGTCCATCTCTCAGAGAGCCCAAACTTTGTTTATGTCATTTCTGAAACGTGTCCTGTGCTGCCTCTTCTCAGAGTGCATATACACAGTTCCCCAGCCCACCAGCACAGAGCCCAGGGAGACTATGTCTCCCTCCACATGCTTGTCTCACACAGCACTTAACCTAGTATAGACTGTTGAAGGGAGAATTTTATATTCAAGGTTGTGAATCTCTTCTTATTTTGGCCACAATTCCAGATGTTTCCTAGCCATCAGGAAACAGGAAACTTGTTCTATGCATCAAAGTTGGAGATGGAAATTTAGAAGAATAAGGCATGAGAATCACTCAGACTGGTGGATAATATGAGCAAATTAGTTAAAATATTTAGATGAGAAAAAAGGACACTAATCCCTTATGGTGTTCAATTATCTAATCTTCTAGATAGGCAAAGTTGTTCATACCTTCTGTAATTCATAGAGGTATTTTGAAGATCAAATGAAGCATGGATGGGAAGGGCCTTGATGAGAAGGGCCTTTCAAAAGCAGACAAAGGAGCTGGGTATGGTGGCTCATGTTTGTGATGCCAGTTCTTTGGGAGGCTGAGGCACGAAGATCCCTAGAGATCAGGAGTTCAAGACCAGCCTGGGCAACATAGTGAGACCCCCATCCCCACACAAAAAATTTAAAAATTAGCTGGGCGTAGTGGCACACACCTGTAATCCCAGCTACTCAGGAGGCTGAGGTGGGGGAATCACTTGAGCCTGGGAGATCAAGACTGAAGAGAGCTGTGATTGTGCCACTACATTCCAGCCCAGGCAACAGAGTGAGACTGTGTCTCAAAATAAATAAAAACAAAAGCAGCCAAAGGACTCTACAAATTGAAGTGCTAGGTGTACTCATGATCATGAATATAAATGACAGAAGTATATTTCATCTAGTCCAAATGGGAAAATGAGGAGCCAGACAGAGTTAGTAACTTGCCCAAAAGCACATGGTCAGGAAGCAAAATGAAAACTTAAATCCCTTGACATTCAGTCCAGTGCTCATGAATCATAGGGATTGCCTTACTTTGGGGTTCCACAGAAGTGGACTCCAAGGCAAAGATTCAAATGCAAGTGGCTTATTTGAGAAGTTATTCCACGGAACACTGGTTGAGCAGCAGAAGTGAGACAGGCAAGAGAAGAAAACAATGAAACAAGTTTCCACCAACTGGAGCTTCATCCTGCTGAGAACTCTGAGAAACAGCATAGAGCATGCACCCCAGAGTTATCCCATGAGGGGCAAGAGGGCCAGGGCATTTATCCCATCAGGCATTCCATGTCAGTTGCCGGGGGAAGTGATTATTCCCTGGTCACTTCCAGTATGCAAGTAGGTGGGCTCCAATGACCAGAGAATCCCGTAGGCAAAGATTCACAGGATTTGGCAATTGAGGCTGGTTCAGCACACCCAGCAGAGGTGCAAGTAGGGGGACACTGCCGGATACTGACAGCATCTCCTCTGCCAAAGGATGCTCAGGATGAGTTAAGGAAGCTGGGTCCTTGGTTGAATCGCCTCTAATAGAAAGCTCTTCCCGACACCAACTTCCTGTTTTCCTACCATGGATCAAGTTTCTCTGGGATCAAAAATGAATAAATCTATTTTCCTGGACCTAACAGTCCTTCATATATTTTTTTGGATAGCTATTGTTATTCTTGGTTTCCATAGCTGCCCTCTCATGACATGGTTTTTAGATGTTTTTCTATCCTAGTAGTGGGAAGGACATGCATTTAGGAGTCAGCCCTTTCACTTTCAGTGGGAGCGATCTTAGGCAAGTTTCTTCCAAAAAAAAAAAGAAAAAACTCTTTTTTTTTAGAATAATAAAAAACATTTCAGCATTGATGTGAAGATTAACCGAGACCATATAGGTAAAACCCTAGCTCGGTGTCTACTACATGATGGAAAGCCTCACAAAGGTGAATTCTTTCCAGTGCTGAGTCCGAGGCCTCTGGTTATGCTCCAGCTTGTCCATACAATGTGAAAATAAGACGTTCAGAAAGAAGCCTTTCTATGCATCTGTCTTAAGTACAGAATACAGAGTGACTATACCATTCCTCATTTTGAGGGCTTTAAAACACTTGCTTGAGTTCCTCAGCCAGTTTGTGAAAGGGTCAGGACTAGAAAGTAATGCTTTATTTATTTATTTATTTATTTATTTATTTATTTATTTATTGAGACAGTCTTGCTGTGTCGCCCAGGCTGGAATGCAGTGGCACGATCTCGGCTCACTGCAACCTCCATCTCCCAGGTTCAAGCGATTCTCCAGCCTCAGCCTCCCAAGTAGCTGGTCTGTTGGTCAGGGGTTTCACCATGTTGGTCAAGCTGGTCTTGAAATCCTGACCTCAGGTCATCTGCCTGCCTTGGCCTCCCACAGTGCTGGGATTACAGGTGTAGCCACCACACCTGGCTGAGACTAAAAAGTAAGTCTTAACTCACTCTGTATTTGTCAGAGTTTTCCAAGGAAACAGAACCAATAGGATATATATAGATATATAAGAGGGGATTATGGGAATTGGCTCACACAATTATGGAAGCCAAGAAGTATCATCATATGCTGTCTGCAAGTTGGAGAAGCAGGAAAGCCAGTGGTATAATTCAGTCTAAGTCCAAAGGCATGGGAACCTGGAAGGAGAGGTGCCACTGGTATAAGTCCCAGTTTGAAGACCCGCAACCAGGATTTCTGATGTTCAAGGGCAGGGGAAGATGGCTGTCCCAGCTCAAGAAGAGAGAGAGTGAATTCATCCTTCCCCCACCTTTCTGTTCTATTTGGGCCTTCAATGGATGGGATGATGCCCACTCATATTGGTAAGGTGGATCGTCTGTGCTCAGACTACATATTCAAAGACTAATCTCTTCTGGAAACACCCTCACAGACACACCCAGAAATCATGTTTTGCAAACTATCTGGGCATTCCTAGTCCAGTCAAATTGACATAAAATATTAGCCACCACACATTTTCAGAATGCAATTGGTTTTTAGACAAATCCATAGCACTATTATTTCTTATTGAGCTTATACAACTAAAACCTCAAGGTCATTTTTGTGTGAACGATTCTACTTACCCTGCACTGGGTACAGTTGATGTTTTGAACCTAACTGTGGGACTTTCCATTGATCTTTATTGATTTCTTCCTTAGTAATTCCCTCTCCCCACAACACCACACCTGCCACTAGACCAGACAAGACCACCTGGGAGAGCTCTATGGTGCCTTCCTTGTTTTTCTGCTCACATCACCATTTGGTGGCAGATCCTTTAAAGATGAATAGGAGACAGGGAGATGGAGAGCTGTCTACCAATTTTATGACTTTTTAGCTGCTCTTTTCTGCAAATGGAAACCAGGAATCCACTAGATAGTTGTGGAGAGTGTGCATTCACCTTATCTAAACTCTTTTTGACCCTTAATTCCACAGATACAAGAGAAGCAGCAGTTTAATAAATGGAACCAAGCAATGAGAGGATAATCCTAAAACACAAACTCTAAGGAATATCAGAAAATCAGCCCAGTAAAGTAGCTAATGTGCTGGACTGTAAGGCTGAGGAATTGATTTCAAGTCCTGACTGTCATGAACTAGCTGTGGGACTCGAGAAAGTTTTTTTAACCTCTCTAGGATTCTGTTTTCTCATCTAAAAAAAATGAAAGGAGTTGGTCTAAAAAGAGAACTATTTCCATATGTTAAATAATAACAGCACCACATATGTCCTATCATTCATTTCCCACAGACAGGCATTCTCGTTTGCTCCATTTTACAAATGAGGAAACTGGGAAGCCAAGCGCCAGAGATGGGACTTGCACCTAGATCTTCTGACTGCAAGCTCAGGGTTCTTTGCGTTTCACCATACTGCCTACCGCCCAGATCTCAAATCCTATAAGCATTTTCTTGGAAATAAGTATGCACTTATTTAGTGTCCAGAATACATAGGACACTCTCTAAAGAAAAAAAAGAAAAAAAAACAACCTCTTATTTATTTTGAGCTAGTCACAGTTTATGCAGTTTATATAGAAGGCAGCAAAATAGAATGATTAAGAGTATCGGCTTTAGGGTCATTTACTAGGTATATAACTCCTGGCAAGTTAACATCTCTGAGCCTCAGTTTCCTCATTTGAAGCTGGGAGTAATTTAGAAAATGGAAGTGATGATAGTACTTCCTTTCCAGGAATCTTGTCAGAACTGTGAGAGATAGGGCGTGTCAAGCATTCAGCACATGGCTTGGCATAAAATAGGGCTAAAGAAAGTTCATTTACTGTTACTTGTGAGTGCATTGGGCAGGCAGTGAGAAGCAGTATAGCATGGTAGTTACAAGTAAGGAGGCCCTGGGTTCAAATCCCAGCTCTGCCACGTATTAGCTGTTTACCTTAGACAAGTTACTTACAGTCTCTGTGATTTCATGTTCTTATCTGTGTAAACGGGACAGGTCACACTAGTACCTACCTTGTAAGACTGTTGTGAGGTGTAAATAAACAAATGCACTTAAGATGCTAAGGCCAGTGTCTGGCACACATAAGAAACCATTGTACATGTTAGCTGTTGAGATTGTCCTCTTGGATGACTCTCTTTCCTTCAGCAAATCCCTAGTCTGTAATTGCAAACAATTGTAAGACCACTTTGGAATATATTCCCACTGCCTTCAAACCCATGTCAAAGGAGACGGCCCTCATGATTGTCACCTCACTCACCTTTGACTTGAGATTTTGATCCCATCTGTTCTGATAAGTGTGCTATAATTGTCTCAACTAACTTTGCAGATTGGTGGTGCCAGGATTCCTCTCTGAAGCAAAACGCCAGTAGCAAGTGCTGAGCCAGCTCTGGGATGGACAGCAGGAGTTGGCAAGGCTAGCCAGAGTCAGCTGAGGCTTGCACCGCAGGGCCCTGTGGAGTCCAAGTTACAATTTAAAGATCTTGGACCTCCTGAAAGGCACAGAGAGGAGAATGCTCCCTGGCTGACAGTGGGACTCCTCCCCAAGACTCTTCCAAGAGAGAGCTGCCTGGAGGGTGACGTAAGGTATGGCATAGAGTTACAACAATTCCGAGCCCCTAAATCTTGTGTTCCGACCCCTCGGCTGAGCTCCACACACAGCTGGTCTTCTGGCTGTGCCTGCTTCCATCACTGATTCCTGCTTAAAGCACATGTTTTCTGCTCTGCAAGTGCACTCAGTGCATCTGGGAATGCACGAAAGCTCCTGCCTCCAGCCTCTCAAGATACTAAACACACCTTACAAACATGTGTCTTTCCATTGTCAAAGAATGCAGCATGGAATGTTTGGGACATATGGTTTAAAAGAAGCCTCAGTCAACAATACCAACTAAAAAACCACCTTACTGAGGTGGGGGCTCAATAAAGCATTTCTCCAGGCAGTCGCATGTAGGCCACACACTCATCTTCCACACTGGTTGAAAGCATCTAGAACCTGGTGCCACGGGCTCCTGAAGTCACCCAAGGCTAAGCAAAGCCATCTTCCTGAAACATTTATTTTATCTAAGGGAAGCAAAAATAAAAAGCTTCACCTTTACCTTAAGAATATAAAATATATTTAATATAAATGTGGCAATTAATATAACAAACTTCATAGTTCAAATGAAATTTTTAGATAAGACGCAAGATTTGGTAGTAAGTTTGCATCGGAGGTAGTAAGTTTGCTGCCATAAGGGGTGTTTCTACAGGAAAGCTTTAAACATGTTGGGCCTTACTCATGGTCTGAAGTGCAAGAGAGAAGGCGGCACCACAGAGCCGGAGTGCTGGGTGTGGGGTCCAGAGGCCTGCAGGTGGGCCTAGTCTCTGCCACCTCCTTACTGTGTGACCTCAGCACTCTTCTGGAAGGTCTAGCGGGAATGTTGGTCTAACAGAGATGTTAATCCTGGTCCCCTGTGCCTCCCAGGGCTGCTGTGAGAGTCAAATGAAACAATGCGTGTGAAAAGAGCCTTAGAAACGGCAGAGTGTTCCATAAATGTAAGTTCTTATGATTCAGCCTTGTTGTTTTTGGAAAGCCTCTTTCATTTTATAGATCGCATGTATTCTCCCCGCCTCCCATAGTCAGATCAAAAGTGTTTGCCTTTCCCTTCAGAGCGAGGAACCTCTGATCTGACACGAAGCAATGAAGTCACCAAGCTTCCTCTCACTCAGCTTTATGCCCCAGCCTTGGGAGAAGCATGCTCCCTGCCAGCCCACGCCACCTTGTTCTGAGGGGAAGTTAGTCACCACTGTCTGAATTTCATTATGCAGGTCTCCAGACAAGCAGAGGGGAAAAGTGCAAAGGAGCAGGTCAGCGTCTGAAATGTGAGAGGGTAGCAGTCTCTGAAGTGTATGGGAATGGGAGGAAACCTAATACTGCTCCCAAGGGGAGGGGGAGCATTGCATCATGTGGAAATAATTGCAGGCGGTCAGCACAGCTTGGGGTTTGGGGAGGCAGGATAGCCCACTGACCCACTTGCAAAAGGGTTTTGACACTTTTCTGTTGTAAAGGGTACTTGCATGGGGACACTAATACATCAGCCTGGGTGCCTGCAGGGACTAGAGATTAGAGCAGGTCCTAAGAGACTAGATTCTATGGGATTCTGCTTGCAGGTGGTTTGAACCCAAACTAGAATTCTGAAAGGAGCCCCAGAGTTGAGAACTGGAGAGGATGGGGCCCACGAATTAGTCAAAACTACCATTTATTGATGTATTATTTAATACATCCTAAGTACATACTTCAGTTGATCCTCACAATAACCCTATAGGTAGGAATTATCATCCCCATTTTATGTACAAAGAAACAGACTCAATGAGTTGAGCGACTTTTCTGAGAGCACACAGCTAGTAGGAGGCTGAGCCAGAGTGTGAATCCAAACCTGTGCAAATGCAGATTTCTTGATTGGAAACCCTTTGATACAACCGTCTTTAAGTAGAAAGAGGAGCCATGATGGGAATTGGGTGGAAAGCGAACCAAAGTGCAAACACAAAAGGAACAAAGGAGGAAGGTCTGGATTTCTGACATGTTGCTGACTTGCTCTGGGCTGGAGAAAACATGAGTATGGTTTCTTCTGTGTGTTTGTAATGTAAGCATTGGCCACCTTTCCCCAGTAGGTAACCAGTGGCCTTACTGCAGAGTTTCTGTGGGGCTGGGTGAGAGTGGGGCAGCCACTATTAGAAGGAAATGCAAAAGCCACAAGCATAAGAAAGAGGGCATGATAGAGGGGAGCAGACTTCCTGTCACTGATGAGATTTTCCTCTGGTGCTTTTGTCAGCTCTCTATTGCTACGATAATGCTACATAACAAACCATCCCAATGTCTAGTGTCTTTAAACCACAGCCATTTACTATTTCTCATGCATCTAGGAGCTGGCTGAGCAACCATGCTGGTCCAGGATGGGCTCAAAGTATGCAGCTGAGCTTGTTATGTGACTGCCCACAGCTGGAAGGTCTGCCAGAGTTGGCTGATCTAGGATGGCCTCAGCTGGGAATATGCATCTCTGCTTCATGTCATGTCTCATCTTCCAGCAGGCTAGTTCAGGATTGTTCTCCTAATAAAGGCAGAGGGGCAAAAGAAAGTGGAAATGTTCAAGAACTCTTGATCTTAGAATTGACCAAGATGGCCAGGTGCGCTGACTCACGCCTGTAATCCCAGCACTTTGGGAGGCTGAGGCGGGTGGATCACGAGGCCAGCAGTTCAAGACCAGCCTGGCCAAGATGGTGAAACCCTGTCTCTACTAAAAGTACAAAAATTAGCTGGGCGCGGTGGCAGGCTATAATCCCAGCTACTTGGGAGGCTGAGGCAAGAGAATCACTTGAACCTGGGGGATGGAGATTGCAGTAAGCCGAGATCACGCCATTGCACTCCAGCCTGGGCAACAGAGTGAGACTAAACTCAAAAAAACGAACTGACCAAGAGGTCTTGGTTTAAGACCTTAGGCTTGGAACCGATATACCACTACCTCTGCCACATTCTACTGGCTAAAAGTAAGTCACAAGACAGCCCAGATTCAAGGGGTAGGAAATAGACTCCATTTCTTAATGGAGTTGCTGGCAAAGTCACAGTGCAAAGTACTTGAAGAATTGCAGCCATTTTTTGCAATCAATCTGACATGGAAACCCATCCCAGTCCCAAAAACAGATGAAAGGCAGTGGCATTTCCCAATATTCTGGACTATGCCCACTTCCTTACCAAAAACCCTTTGCCCACTAACTGCCATTTCCCTGCCCAGTCTGTCTGTTTTATTAACACTAGACTGGGGAGGGAGAGATATAATGACTCTAGAATTGGGCAGATAAAACAATGTGTCTGACTTCTTTTTTAAAGGTACTAAAATTCAGACTCTTTACCCACTGACTTCATCGCTGTAGTTTTTGTAACTACGAAAGTTTCATTAGAAAGTATACTTAAACTTTCTCAGTGAGCCATCCCAGCCTGGCCATACTTGTATGAGAATGCTGTCAAATTCCAGGAAACAGATGTTCATTTAATAAGATGAATTTTTACTAATACTTCCACCCCACTGTTAATACTGTGTTTGTGATTTGAATTTAAGACACTAAACTTCTGCAATTTATTTCCTACAGTGTGGCTGAGATCATAGGCTTCCCAGAGGTACACCTTTGAAATCCCCTACATATGAAACTATTGGCATGATATATGATATTTTTATGCCAAGAAGTGACTGTTACAATGTATTGGAAAGAGCAATGGGCTTGGAATCAGAAGACTTGGCTGGTGCTGAAGTCAATGGAGCATAGTGGTCAGGCATACTCTCTGATGTCCCATTGCCTGGATTTGAATTCTGGCTCTGTCATATGCATTATATAGCCTTGGGCAGGTTACTTAGCCCCTCTGTGTCTCAATTCCCCCATCTATTAAACGGGGATAATAAAACTACCAACCTCACAGGGATAACATAATTCAAATTAAATGCCGAGAACAATGTACGCAGGAGTACATACCACCAGAGCATTGTCTGTAGTTACTGGCTTAACTCTTGCTGCCTGGATATCATCTGTAAAGTGGGAGCAATATTCCCTGTCAAACCTACAGGACTAACTTTACTGGATCCTTCAACTTCAGACCTCAGATGGGCTTTCCTGTCCCTGAAACCGTCTTGGAAACAAACCTTGGTTCAGGCTGACCCATAGGATAGGGCATTTGGAAGGAGAGAGTGGGATCCAGTCATTCCTCTACTAGTTTTCTTCTATTTCTTTGTCTGTGTCATTAATTCCATGCTAGCATACTCTTCTGTGTTCCTGCTGGATGCTATGCTCAGCTAGTCTCCACTGCTCTCGGGAAGCCAGTAGAAATACATGAAGGGATTCCTTCTCACTTCCTGCCCCTCTCTGTTTCATCAGCCATCATCTGGAAAGGCAGGACACCTACTCTAAATGACCTGTGGCCACTCTATCCCTGAACATACAAGAAGAAGTCAGCTTGTTGTGTGTGGTTTCTCTGCCCTTGGAGTCACTCCCTTCCAAGTCTCCATCTTTGTTTAACCCTGAGCCTAGGGAGACTGAAGAGTGCACAACCTCCCCAAGAGCTGAGAAATAATTTCTGTGCTATCTGAAAGGCAAGACATGGAGGAGCAAATGAGCCTTCAAAACACAGCAATGTGTACTTTCATTTGGGGACTGCTTCTTAGGTACTTTTACCAAGTCCTGGCAACCCTCATTAATTGATATTTCCTCAAAGTGCATGTTCTTCTCCATTTCTACTACTCATAGCTTAGTTCTGGTCTCACCCTTAGGTCTGATTCACCTGGAACATGGCAACTGTTTCCTCCCTGCTTCATCTTCTCCTTTGATGTCAGAGAAAATTTGCTAATTAGCCATTTTTCAGTAGTTGTCCAGCACCTACAAGATAGTCAAAACCTTGCACATGTGACCTCTTACAGGTCACCTGTGGTTTTCCTCCATCCCCATGATATGCCACTTCCTCTTAAACACTGCAACCAAATTGAACCCCTCCCCATGCCCTTAACCCAAAATGCCCTTTCTCATGAAATGTCTCTTCCTTACTTCTATTCTCTCAAGCTTATGTCCTTTTTGCTTAGGATTGCTTTGGCTATTCAGCTGTTTTTTGGTTCTACATGAATTTTAGGATTGCTTTTTCTAATTTTGTGAAAAATAACATTGATATTTTGATAGGAATTGCATTGAATCTGTGGATTCCTTTAGGTAGTAGGCTCATTTTTAACAACATTGATTCTTCTGATCAATGAGCATGGGATATTTTTCCGTTTGTTTGTGTCATCTGCAATTTTTTTCATCAGTGTTTTGTAGTTTTCATTGTAGAGATCTTTCACCTCCTTGGTTAGACATATACCTAGGAATAAAATATCTTTTAGTCTCCTCTTCATCAGGGAAATTTTAGTGCCATTTAGTCCTTCATAATCCCCAACTGTACACCAGGTTACTCGTGCCTTTCTTCCCACCTGTCTCTACTCTACTCCTTTTCTCTTCCCTTCCCTCCCTCTCTCCCTCCTCCCCCTCCCCTGTCCCCTTCCTCCTCTTCCTTTTCTTCTTTTCCTTCTTTTTCTTCTCTTTCTCCTCTTCTTCCTGTTCTTTCTCCTCCTCTTCTTTCCTCTTCCTCTTCTTCCTAAAACCTCATAAACCAATTTCTGCCAGCTTCTGCAGCTTCCTCACTTTTTTCACTATTCATAGAATGACAGAGAGTTAGGACTTTACTCTGGATTAGGCTTTGGCTTAAGGGATGGTTGTGTCTGGTTCTTCTATCCAGACCATTCAAACTTCCTCCATATCAGTAATAAGGCTGTTTTGCTTTCTTATCATTTGTGTGTTCCTTGGAGTTGAACTTTTAATTTTCTTCAAGAACTTTTTCTTTGCATCCACAATGTCGCTACTGAGCACAAGAGGCCTAGTTTTTGGCCTATCTCAGCTTTCAACATGCCTTCCTCGTTAAACTTAATTATTTATAGTTTTTTAAAGTGAGAGACTTGTGATTCTTCCTATCACTTGAACTCTTGGAGACCATTGTAGGACTATTAATTGACCTAATTTTAATATTGTTGTTTCTCAGAGAATAGGGAGGCCCAAGGAGAGGGAGAGATATGGGAGAATGGTGGGTCTTTGGAGCAGTCAGAATACACACATTTGGCCAGGCACAGTGGCTCACACCCATAATCCCACTCTTCCATCAATCATCCTCCCCACAGGAACACCAAATTTAATATCTACACAAAAAAGCACCTTCAGAAGAACTGAAAATCAAGTGAGCAATCACAGTACCTAATTTTACCTATAGATTCCAGAAAAAGATAATGAAGAGGGCAGGAAAGACAGTCTTGAATTGCCAACATCACCGCTCCTCAATCCTCCAGCAGTGGCTGCAGGGCATGGAGAGAGAATCTGTGCACTTGAGGGAGGGAGAGCACAGTGATTGTGGAACTTTGCATTGGAACTCAGTGCTGCCAACACTGGGCAGAACAACATCCATGGAGGGAGCCTTTAGACAAGTTCTAGCCAGAGGGAAATCATCCATTCCAGCAGTTGGAACTTGAGTTTCAGCATGCCTCACCACCACAGGCTAAAATGCTCTGGGGTTCTAAATAAATTTGAAAAGCAGTCTAGGCCACAAGGACTGCAATTCCTGGGCAAGTCCTAATGCTGTGCTGGGGTCAGAGCCAGTGGAGTTGGGGTATGCAACCTAATGAGACACAAGCCAAAGCAGCTAAGAGAGTGCTTGCACCACCCCTCCCCAACCCCAGGCAGCATAGCTTGTAGCTCTGAAAAAGACCCCTCCTTCCACTTGAGAGGAGAAGGAAGATTAAAGAGGACTTTGTCTTGCAATTTGGATACCAGCTTGGCAACAGTAAGACAGGGCAGCAGGCAGAGTCCTGAGACTCCCATTCCAGAATCTATCTCCTGGGCAACCTAGACACACCCTGGACCAGAAGGGAACCCAGTGCCTTGAAGGGTAGGACTCAGTCCTGGCAGGATTCATCACCTGCTGACTAAAGAGCCCTAAGCCCTTAAACCCTTAATAAACAGCAGTGATACCAAGGTAGTGCAACACGGGCATTGGATGAGACTCTGAGACGTGGCTTCAGGTGTGACCCAGTACATTCACAGCTGTGGTGACTATGAGGAGGGACTCCTTCTGCTTGAGAAAAGCAGACAGAAGAGTAAAGGGGACTTTTTCTTACAGCTTAGGCACCAGCTCAGCCATAGTGGAGTAGAGCACTAAGCAGGCTCTTGGGGTCTCCAGCTCTGGGCCTTGGCTTTGGATGGCATTTCTGGACCTGCCGTTGGCAGAGGGGAGCCCACTTCTCTGAAGAGTGAGTCTCAGGCCTGGCAGCATTCACCACAAACTGACTGGAGAGACCTAGGGCCTTAAGTGAACATTGGCAGTAGCCTGATAGTACTTCCCACCAGCCTGTGATGATGATGGACAGAGGGAAAGATTCTTCTGCCTGGGAAAAGGGAAGGGAAGAGTGGAAGGACTTTGTCTTGTGGCTTGGGTGCCAGTTCAATAGAGTACAGGTAGTTTCTAGGGTTTTCAACTCCATGCTTTGGCTCCTGGATGGCATCTCTGGACCCATCTGGGGCCTAGGGGAATGAACTTGTTGCCCTGAAGGGAAGGACACAAGCCTGACTCGCTTTGCCACCTGCTGATTGTAGAGCCCTAGGTCCTTGAGAGAACATAGGCGGTAGCCAGGTAGTTTTACAGTGGGCCTTCAGTGAGACACAGTGCCATGCTAGCTTCAGGCCTGACCCAGTGCAGTCCCAGTGGTAGTGGCCACAGAGGTGCTTGTGTCATCCCTTCCCCAGCTCCAGACAGTTAGCACAGACAGAGAGACTTCGTTTGTTTGACAGAAAGTAAGGGAAGAGAACAAGAGTCTCTGCCTGGTAATCCAGAGATTTCTTTCAGACCTTATTCAAGACCTCCAAGGTGGTACCTCTACAAGTCTTCAAGAAACACAGTGTTACTGGGCTTGGGGTGCCCCCTAATGCAGGTAAAGATGCAGTGGCCAAAAACTCGAATCACAACACCCAAGTGCCCTTGTGTACCTGGAAAGCCTTCCCAAAAGGACAGGTATAAACAAGCCCAGACTGTGAAGACTACCATAAATACTTAACTCTTCCATGCTCAGACACTGATGAACATCCACAAGCACCAAGGCCATCCAGGAAAACATGACCTCAACAAACGAACAAATAAGGCACCAGGGGCCAATTCCAGAGAGAGAGAGAATTCACTGTTTTGAGGAAACTCAAAGAAATCCAAGATAACACAGAGAAGGAATTCAGATTCCTATCAGATACATTTAACAAAGAAATTAAAATAATTAAAAAGAATCAAACAAATTCTGGAGTTAAAAAAATGCAGTCAACATACTGAAGAATGCATCAGGTTCTCTTAATAGCAGAAATAATCAAGCAGACAAAAGAATTAGTGATCTTGACGACAGGCCATTTGAAAATACACAGTCATCTAATCAGCTACCAGTCTGGCTAGAATAAAGCAGGCAGAAGAAAGTGGAAGGGACTGACTTGCTGAGTCTTCTGGCCTTCACCTTTCTCCCATGCTGGATGCTTCCTGCCCTCGAACATCAGACTCCAGGTTCTTTGGCTTTTGTACTCTTGGACTTACACTAATATTTTTGGTAGAGAGAGGGTTTTGGCATGTTGCCCAAAGTGGTCTCAAACTCCTGAGCTCAAGCAATCCTCCTGCCTTAGCTTCCCAAAATGCTGGGATTATAGGCATGAGCCACCATGCCTGGCCTCTAGTTTTTTTATGTAGACTCTTTTAGCTGTAAACTTCCCTCTTCATACTGAGAACTGATAAGAACTCTGTCTCCCCCATTATAAAACTTTTTGCTGTTCCTGTTTATGTCTTATTGTATTTTTTATGTCTTGAAAAGTTGTTGTAGATATTATTTTTGATAGGTTCATCTTTTTGACTTTCTACTTGTGACGATTAATATTGAGTGTCAACTTGATTGGACTGAAGGATACAAAGTATTGGTCCTGGGTGTGTCTGTGAGGGTGTTGCCAAAGGAGATTAACATTTGAGTCAGTGGACTGGGAGAGGCAGACCTACCCTCAATCTGGGTGGGCAACATGTCAAAACCCTGTCTCTACCAAAAATACAAAAAAGAAAAAATTAATTGGGCATGGTGGCACGCATCTGTAGTCCCAACTCATCAGGAAGCTGAGGTGGGAGGATAGTTTGAGCCCGAGAGGTTGAGGCTGCAGTGAACCAAGATCAAGCCACTGCATTCCAGCCTGGGCGACAGACTGAGACTCTGGAAAAAAAAAAAGAAAGAAAAAAAGAAAGAAAGAAAAAGAAAGAAAGAAAGAAAGAAAGAAAGAAAGAAGGAAGGAAGGAAGGAAGGAAGGAAGGAAGGAAGGAAGGAAGGAAGGAAGGAAAGAAGGAAGGAAGGAAGGAAAGAAGGAAGGAAAGAAAGAAAAGAAAGAAAGAAAAACTTCAAATAAGCAATCTAATGATGCATCTTAAAGAAGTAGAAAAGCAAGAACAAACCAAACCTGACGTTTGTAGAAGAAAAGAAATAATAAAAATCAAAGCAGGGCCGGGCACGGCGGCTCATGCCTGTAATCCCAGCACTTTGGGAGGCCAAGGCAGGTGGATCACAAGGTCAACAGATCGAGACCATCCTGGCCAACGTGATGAAACCCCATCTCTACTAAAAATACAAAAATTAGCTGGGCATGGTGGTGCACGCCTGTAGTCCCAGCTACTCAGGAGGCTGAGGCAGGAGAATCACTTGAACCTGGCAGGCAGAGGTTGCAGTGAGCTGAGATCACGCCACTGCACTCCAGCCTGGTGACAGAGCGAGACTCCATCTCAAAAAAAAAAAAAAAAAAAATCAAAGCAAAATAAAATAAATAAAACTGAAATGAAGAAAACAATACAAAAATCAACAAAACAAAAAGTTGTTTTTTAAAAAAGATAAATGGAGTTGATAAACCTTTAGCCAGACTAAGAAAAAAAAGACAGAAGACCCAAATAAATAAAATCAGAGATGAAAATGGAGATATGACAACTGATACTATAGAATTTCAAAGGATCTTTAGAGGTCACTATGAGCAACTATATGGCAATAAATGGGAAAACCTAAAATAAATGGATAAATCCCTAGACACATACAACCTACTAAGATTGAATCATGAAGAAATCCAAAACCTGAACAGACTACTAACAAGTAACAAGATCGAAGCCCTAATAAAAAGTCTCCCAGCAAAGAAAAGCCTGGGACCTGATGGCTTCACTGCTCAATTCTACCAAATATTTAAAGAAGAACTAATACCAATTCTACTCAAACTATTCTGAAAAACAGAGGAGGAGGGAATGCTTCCAAACACATGCTACAAGGTCTTCATATCAAAACCAGAAAAGACAAATTTAAAAAGAAAACTACAAACCAATATCCTGTAGTTTTGATGAGCATTGACACAAAAATCCTCAACAAAGCACTAGCAAACTGAATTCAACAGGACATTAAAAAGATCATTCATAATGACCACATGGGATTTATTCCAGGGATGCAAGGATGGTTCAACATAGGCAAATCAATCAAAGTGACACATCATATCAACAGAATAAGGGACAAAAACTATATGATCATTTCAATTGATACTGAAAAAAACATTTGATAAAACTGAACATCCCTTCACAATAAAAATCTTCAAAAAACTGAATATAAAACCTCAACATAATAAAAGCCATATACAACAGACCCATAGCTAGTATCATACTGAATAGGAGAAAACTGAAAGCCTTTCCTCTAAAATCTGGAACAGGACAAGGATGCTCACTTTCATCATTTTTATTCAGCATAGTCCTGGAATTCCTAGCCAGAGCAATCAGTCAAGATAAATAAATAAAGGGCATCCAAACTGGAAAGGAAGAAGTCAAATTATCCTTGTTTGTAGACGATATGATCTTATATTTGGAAAAACCTAATGACTCCAAAAGAAACTATTAGAACTGATCAACAAATTCAATAAAGTTGCAGTATACAAAATTGACATGCAAAAATCAGTAGCATTCCTATATGTCAACAGTGAACAATCTGAAAAGAAATTAAGAAAGTAATTTCATTTGCAATAGCTACAAATAAAACTAAATACCTAGGAATTAACTTAAAGAAGTGAAAGATCTCTACAATGAAATCTATAAAACATTGATGAAAGAAATTGAAGAGCAAACAAAAAATGGAAAAATATTCCATGTTTATGGATTGGAAGAATTGATATTGTTAAAATGTCCATACTACTCAAATCCATGCAACCCCTGTCAAAATACCAATAAAATTCTTCACAGAAATAAGAAAAGTCCTTTAATTTATATGGAACCATGAAAGACCCAGAATAGCCAAAGCTATCATGAGCAAAAAGAACGAAACTGGAGGAATTACATTACCTGACTTCAAATTATACTACAGAGCTACAGTAACCAAAACTGCATGACACTGACATAAAAACAAAAACATAGACCAATGGAACTGAATAGAGAACCCAGAAACAAATCCATACATCTACAGTGAACTGATTTTCTACAAAGATTCCAAGAACATACACTGCGGAAAGGACCGTCTCTTTAATGAATGGTGTTGGGGCCAGGCGCAGTGGCTCATGCCTGTAATCCTAGCACTTTGGGAGGCTGACGCAGGTGGATTGTCTGAGCTCAGGAGTTCAAGACCTGCCTGGGCAACACGGTGAAACCCCATCTCTACTAAAAATACAAAAAAATTAGCCGAGCATGGCGGCTTGCGCCTGTAGTCACAGTTACTTGGGAGGCTGAGGCAGGAGAATTGCTTGAACCCGGGAGGTGGAGGTTGCAGTGAGCCGAGATCGTGCCACTGCACTCCAGCCTGGGTGACAGAGTGAGACTCTGTCTCCAAAAAAATAAATAAATAAATAGTGTTGGGGAAATTGGATATCCATATGCAGAAGAACAAAACTAGACCCTTATTTCTTGCCATATACAAAAATCAAATCTAAGTGGATTAAAGACTTAAATCTAAGACCTCAAACTATCAAACTACTACAAGAAAACACTGGGGAGACTGTCCAAGACATTGACCTGGGCAAAGATTTTTTGAGTAATACTCCGCAAGCACAGGCAACCAAAGCAAAAATGGACAAATGGGATCACATCAAGTTAAAAATCTTCTGTGTGCCAAAGAAAACAATCAACAAAATAAAGAGACAACCCACAGAATAGGGGAAAATATTTGCAACTATTCATCTGACAAGGGATTAATAACCAGAACATATAAGGAGTTCAAACAACTCTGTAGGAAAATATCTAATAATCTGATTTATAAAAGGGCAAAAGAGGCCAGGGGCAGTGGCTCACTCCTATAAACCCAACACTTTGGGAGGATGAGGCAGGTGGACAGCCTAGCCCAGGAGTTCGAGACCAGCCTGAGCAACACGATGAAACCCTGTCTCCACAAAAAAAATACAAAATTTAGTAGGGCATGGTGGTGCATGCCTGTAGACCCAGCTAATCAGGAGGCTAAGGTGGAAGGATAGCTTGAACCTGGGAGGTCGGGGTTGCAGTGAGCCATGATTGCACCACTGTACTCCAGCCTGGGTGACAGAGTAAGAACCTGTCTCCAAAAGAAAAAAAAAAAAGGCAAAAGATCTGAATAGACGTTTCTCAAATGAAGACATATAAATGGCAAACAGCTATATGAAAAGGGTCTCAAAATCATTGATCATCAGAGAAATGCAAATCAAAACTACAATGAGATCATCTCACTCCAGTTAAAATGGCTTTTATTTAAAAGACAGGCAATAACAAGTGCTGGCAAGGATGTGGAGAAAAGGGGACACTTGTATCCAGTTTTGGGAATGTAACAACTACCATGGAGAACAGTTTGGAGGTTCCTCAAAAAATTAAAAATAGAGCTACCAAATGACCCAGCAATCCTATTGCTAGGTGTATACCCCCAAAGAAAGAAAATCAGTATATCGAAGTGATATCTGCAGCCTCGTGTTTAATGCAGCATTATTCACAATAGCTAAGATTTGTAAACAACCTAAGTGTCCACTGACAGAAGAATGTGTAAAGAAAATGTGATATGTCTACACAATGGAGTACTATTCAGCCATAAAAAAGAATGAGATCTCGTCATTTGCAACAACATTGCTGAACTGGAGATCATTATTTTAAGTGAAATAAGCCAGGCACAGAAAGACAAACTTTGCATGTTCTCACTTATTTGTAGGAGCTAAAAATTAAAACATTGAACTCATGAAGATAGAGAGTAGAATGATAGGCTGGGAGGGGTAGTGAGGTTGGCAGAGGGTAGGGGGAGAATGGGGATTAATGGGTACAAAAATATAGAATGAATAATATCTGGTATTTGATAGCACAACAGGATGACTATAGTCAAAAATAATTTAATTGTACATTTTGAGATAATGAAAAGAGTTTAACTGGATTGTTTGTAACACAAAGGATAAATGCTTGAGGTAATGGATATCCCATTTACCCTGATGTGATAATTACACATTGTATCCCTGTATCAAAACATTTCACGTAACTCATAAGTATATACACCTACGGTGTACCAATAAAAAATGTTTAAAATAAAATAAAAATAAAGTGAAGCTTAATAAAATGAGGTGTGCCTATACCCATCTCCTGGAATTGCTGTAGGGATTATTTGAAATCAAGCATGTAGTGTACTAAGGACAGCATCTAGCATATTTCTAATTGAGTATTAGTGAGTGTTTTAACTCCATAAAAATAGCCATTGTTATAATTTCAAGCAATCATTGCTCAGAAGAATCATCAAGTTTAATAGAAACTACTTGAAAATTAATGTTCAGAGATATAATAATTCAAAGAGACCTCTAATAATTTTCAGCTCAGTAAATAAAAAAAAAGTGTCTGTATACACACTTTAGTTGTTGGGATACGTATAAACACATCTTCACGTCTCACCCTGAAGAGTCCGAGGAGTTGCCATGTGAGAAACAGCTTCATTGTTATATTGTGGAGTATCTGCCAGGAGGAATTTTGGGTTAAGCCTCATATTTGAAACCACTGTTGGTTTTGTATGTCCCTGACAGCTTAATCCAATGAGCTGTATCTCCCAACTGGCATCATAAGGGCCTCTCTTTGTGCCTAAGTTTCATTGCCTGGAGGATGAACACCCATCGACTTGGGTGTTTCAAAATGCCCGAGTCAGACATCTTCCCCAGGTGCCTTGGAAAAGTGTGTCTCTCTTGGTGAACTGCCCTAAGAAATCTCATTGCATGTCGCTTCTTTGGGCCTCAAGCATCTTTCCCATTCTGACTAACATTTTAGACTCTTTAAAAAAGTTTTCTTCTGAAAAAATCCTTCCCGACATTGAATTAATGCCTTTAAAGGGGTTCCAGTAAGGTATAATTTCTTATGTGCACCCATTGGGGGAAAATGATGATTTCTGGAAATATAATGAACCCAGAAGGTTCCCCATCCATAAAATTAGAGCAAACCTTAAATAAGGTAAATGTCCGAACTCAGGGAAATCTTCAGAATGAAGTGTCACAGTCCCCCTCTGGGTGGAAATAAAAAACCGAGGCTCCCCTCCACCCTGAGCTTCCCATGGTGAAATTGTTGCCATATACCCCATATTTGAAGTGAAACCACCTTCAAATACCCTTCAAACTGGATGAAATTCATCCAGCTGTTTTCACATGTTGTGGTGCCAAGGAAACAGAGGGAAACTGAATCATGGTTATGTAGCTGCTGCTGCTGGTGGATAATGAGCCAGTGGACATGTGAGACTGTCAGCCTGGCTTAAAGGCCCTGAGCAGTGGTAGACAGTACCTGCACCCAGAGAGCCTTCAGCAAATGCTGCTGTTATGTGAAAGACCCAGAGTGCAAATGCACATACACCCCATCATTATCTCCATCAAAAACAAGTGAGGAGACACAGGTAAAGTAAAAAGACTGCTGGAAAATACACCCAATGTCAGTCACAGTTGCAGCTGGGCACAGGGGTTCTTTCCCTTTGTGCTTTTCAATATTTTCTCATTTTTCTTGAATAAACAAGTATTATGTTTATCATGAAAACAGCACAGGGTGTTATTCAATTTTGAAAGATATTTTTAAAAAGCTCTACTTGGTCTACTCTCAGTCTTTACAAATCAAATATTTTCCAGACCTCTGAAATGTTCTGTGAGAAGAGACATGAGGAAGATTTTTGAAAACTGACAGGGAACGATCTTCTGGCAAAAAGGCTAACTCTCTTTCTTTCCTTCTTTTTCTTTTTTCTCTGTCTTTCTCCCTCTCCCTCTTTTCTTTCTTTCTTCTTTCTTTTTTTGGGGGGTAAGGGGTGGGACAAATGGGACTAAATCAATGATTTACAGCTGTGAGAGTTGCCACATTTATTTCTTTAATTACTTTTTCTACCAACATTTTCTATTGCCAAAGCTTCCTGTGCAAAACGAAAACATATAAACATTCAGAAGTTGTTATTATTTTTGTAAGCAAAACAAAAATTAATTTATCCTAAAAGCAACCAGACCGTGTGAGTCAATTTTTTTAAGTTCCTCTTTTACACTAGGATATTTCGTAGCACAAACTGCTAGAATTCTCTTTATAGAATCCAAGCAATGTTAAAGGCATTGACCTCCGTTAAACTCCTGACCAGCCCAACTAGTGAATAAAGTAAACAAAAATCCCACAACTAAAGCTTGATTTTATGCTCCAGCTGTGGGACAGGATGTGGATGTTTTAAAACAAACAAGCCAACAACAAAATGCAACCACCGCCACCAATTCCCAAGCACCAGGGTGTGGTCCCAGTTCCTCAGAGCAGCACGCGTCCTTCTTTCCCAAAGTACTCCTGCAATAAATCCTTGATGAAACATGACTCAGAACTCCTTGACTGGGGGAGCTGAGATGGAATTCCCCTGGCATTAATGAAAAGTTCTGACTCAGGTGGTATGCGTGAACAGACTTAGCACAAGTTGGTACAGCGGTTGACAATCTGCACTGAGGAGAATACTACTGTTCTCCCGTGATAGGCACAGTCCTGACATTTTGTAGAGAAAGGAGGGAAGGGAGTCTTCTCACATATTTCATCTCATTTCATCTGCACAACAACCCTATGAGGTGAGGATTATTGTTCCCATTTTACAGATGAGGAAACTGAGGCCTCAAGACGCAAAGTGAGTTGAATGAGAGTTACCCAAAAAGTTAGTGACAGAGCCAGAAATAAATCCAGATCCCCATAACAATTGCCCAGTAAGAAAGGAATGGAAATTCCCTGGTGTGAAGGATGCATTCCAGGAATCTCTATTAGGAATTCAGGATGCATTCCAGAAATTCTCAGACATGTTATTTTTCTTTTCTTTTCCCTTCCTTTTCTTCCTCCTCCTCCTCCTCCTCTTCTTCTTCTTTCTCTTCTTCTTCCTCTTCTTCTTCTTCTTTTTCTTCTTTTTTCTTTTTTTTTTTTTTACAGTATCTGGCTCTATCACCCAGGCTGGAATGCAGTGGCGCCATCATGGCTCACTGCAGCCTCAACCTCCCAGGTTTAAGCAATCCTCCCCACTCAGCCTCCTGAGTAGCTGGGACTACAGGCATACACCATCACACCTGGCTAATTTGTTTTTGTATTTTTTGTAGAGACTGTGTCTCGCCATGTTGCCTAGGCTGGTCTCGAACTCTTGGAGTCAAACGATCCACCCACCTCGGCCTCCCAAAGTGCTAGGATTACAGAAATGAGCCACCGCACCCAGCCTTGTTCTTTACCCAAAAGTTCAAGCATCTTAACCTGACCCTGTGTCAAAGAGGGTTTCTAAATAGTTTAAGGAAAGGTGGAGGGCCGGGTGCAGTGGCTTATGCCTATAATCCCGGCATTTAGGGAGGCTGAGGTAGGAGAATCCCTTGAGACCAGGCGTTCGAGACCAGACTGGGCAGCATAATGAGGCTCCATCTCTACAAAAAAAATAAATAAATAAATTAGCTGGGCATGGTAGTGCATGCCTGTAGTCCCAGCTACTTGGGAGGCTGAGTGAGGAGAACCGCTTGAGCCCAGGATGTAAAGCCTGCAGTGAGCTGTGATGGTGCCACTGTACTCCAGCCTGGGTGGTAGAGCTAGATCCTGTCTCAAAACAAAAAGGAAAGAAAAGGAGAAAGAAAAGGTGGAGTTATTTTTAAATGGCACTTCTGCTGAGTGTGCCTTATGTAGCCTGTCACCATAGCAACTGTAACTTTCCGGTGGAGTTGGCAACTAGGTCTCAGGAGATGAGGAAGGTGCTTCTATCTTGTCTCTGAATCTTGTCACCCGATAGCACAGGAGCCAGCTCTTCTGGCCTAATCCCCAAACGGCCACAGCTCCCTTAGCAGGCTTCATTTTAGCCTGGGGGGTTATGGGGTTGGAAGATAATGGGTAAATATTTTAGGACCAATTCCTCATAAAAGAACAGGGAGGCCTGGGAGTAGGTTTCCCCCAATCTAATCTGTTCTTGGTTAGACAACAATCTTTAGGACTGTGCTAGTTCACAGTAAAGGGACCAACTGCTTACTGCCGACTTTATCTAGGTTGCAATGCAGTGTTAAAATCAGGAGAAAATGCTTTTTTAAGAATATATATATATCATGAAGAAATTTTTTTCAGAATTAACAGTACATTATAAGGAACCCAGATGATGTGTCTATCCTAAAGCCCCTTAACTACTATAAAACCTTGTCTCTCTAGAATCTCAGCAGGATTTTAGACGAGGCACTAATTAGCTCAGGGAGGAAGAAGGTCAGCATGTGTTCACTTGGAGTAGAGATAGATTTCCTTCTTTTCGAAGAGGAAGAGCAGAGGTGGAAATAGATGACCTAAAATAGATGTAAAAATGTGTCCCCTCAACAGGCCTTGGTTCCCACAGCTGAACTGCTGATGCTGCAAGCAGGGGTGTGCTTCATATGAAAATGACCACTTAATTTTGGCTCTAATTTTCTTTTGGTCATAATTACCTGTTATTATAATAACCTTATTACCACAATACAAAACTCCAGAGGCTAGAGAAAATATAAAAAATCACCACTAATCCTACCACCAGCCTATAACAACGTTTTAGAGGGACTTTTTTCCTTCAAGTCTTTTTCCCTATATGAGCTTTATTCAGCCATTCAATAAATATTTATTGAGCAACAACTACAAGTCAGACACCGTGCTCTTTTCCACTGTGGTAGTCATTGTGGTCGACATAATCTTTTCCCTCATTTTTACCACATAGTATGAACAGATTATATTTCCAGCATTAGAAAAGATAAAGACAACGGAAAAACATTCAAAATTCAACTCCATTATTGAGGCCAGAGGTGATGCCCCAGGAGCCTCTTGGGATATCCTGGAGACAGGAGGTAGTGCAGGGTCTGATGTCTGGCTGTTTCGTGTTCATTTCTGCTGGGGAGAGCAGGCTGCTTTAACTGCTTGAAGAGCAGTGCTGGTCACTCATCTCTGGGCAGGTCCATGGCCCCAGTTACACACAAGCCCTCTCGACAGGAGAAGCATCCTCATCTGATAGGAGCAGGCCTTTCCACACCGCACACCCCACACCCTCTCTTACCTTTGCTGACCTGAGGCTTGGGCAGCCTGGAGGCCTTAGACACTTTGTCACAAGAAAGAGCACAAAACCTCTGGATAGTCCATGGTGCCCTTGAGCCCTTGGAAAAACCAGCTACCAGCCCCCTCTTGCCAGTGTTGCACCTGTGACAGTCAGCCTGAGGCTTCACTGCCTGAGTCCCTGGCCCCCTGGCCACCTGCCCACACAGGGATGTAAATACAAAACCACCACATCTTGGGAATCTGACACCCAGCCTGGGGTTCCCAGTGTCTCCGCCCCACCTCCCAGGAACGCCAGCACTCTCCTCTCCTGCTTGCCTTCATGCCTCACTCTCTGCCGTCCCCTACCGCAGGCCGTAAGCTGCTCTCCTCACAAGTTCACCAGTGCCCCCTATCCAAGCCACTCAAGGGAGCTCGAGCTGATAGAAGATGGAGAAATGGGTCCAGCAGACCCTTGGAGGGCTTCTCATCATGCTAGGGAGCTTGCTGAAGAGGAGGCCCCAAGGAAATGTGGGGTGTTCACTTCTGTGTTCGTCCATTTTGCATTGCTATGAAGTAATTCCTGAGACTGGGTAACATAAAGACAAGAGATTTATTTGGCACAGTTCTGCAGGCTGTACAAGCATGGCACCAGCATCTGCTCAGCTTCTGGTGAGGCCTCAGGAAGCTTTTACTCATGGCAGAAAGCAAGGGGGGAGCAGGCATGGCACATGGCAGGAGAGGAAGCAAGAGAGAGAGTGGGGAGGCCCCAGACTCTTTACTTTTTATACATTTATTTTTTGAGACAAGGTCTTGTTCTGTCACCCAGGCTGGAGTGCAGTAGTACAACCATGGCTCACCGCAGCTTCAACCTCCTGGTCTCAAGTGAGCCTCCTACCTCAGCCTCTCAAGTAGCTGGGACTGCAGGCACACACATCATGCCTGGCAAATTTTTTTTATTCTTTGTAGAGATGGGGTTTCACCATGTTGCTCAGACTGGTCTCAAATTCCTGGGCTCAAGCAATCCTCCGTTCTTGGCCTCTCAAAGTGCTGGGATTATAGGTGTGAGCCACTGCACCTGGTCACAGACTCTTTTTAATAATTAGATCTCACAGTAACTAACAGAGTAAGAACTCACTCCTTACCCAAGGACCTCACCAAGATGTTCATGAGGGACCTGCCCCATGACCCAAACACCTCCAATCAGGCCCCACCTCCAACACTGGGGATCACACTTCAACATGAGATTTACAGGGGACACACATCCAAACCATATCCACCTCCCTCCCCATTCACTACTCACCACAACTCCTGCCACCATCCTTGTTCGTGGAGTGAGCAGCACAGGTGGAGACTGAAAAAAATAATCATATTAATAACAATAATAGTCAAAATTTCCTGATGACAACAATGAACCAGGAACAGTACTAGGTTCTTTATGCATATCAGTTCATTCATTTAATCCTTGGAATACATTGGTTATCATCCCCATTTTATATGTGAGAAAAGTTAGGCTTAGAGGGGTTATATCACTTTCCCAAGGTCACACAGCTACTAAGTGGAAGAAGTGATTTGTACTTAGGAAGTCTCACTCCAGAGCGGGGTTCCCAGTCGCCATCCTATACCATCTCCTGTTCCATTTACTCAGTACCAACTATGTGTCAGGCCTTATGCTAGGTCCTTTATATGGGTGTATTAGTCCATTCTCATGCTGCTATAAGGACATATCCAAGACTGGTAATTGATAAAGGAAAGAGGTTTAATGGACTCACAGTTCCACATGGCTGGGGAGGCCTCACAATCATGGCAGAAGGTGAAGGAGGAGCAAAGGCACATCTTACATGGCATCAGGCAAGAGAGCATGTGTAGGGGACCAGCCCTTCATAAAACTATCAGATCTCCTGAAATTATTCACTATCATGAGAAGAGCATGAGAAAGCCTGCCCCTATGATTAAATTACCTCCCACTGGGTTCCTCCCATGACACATGGGGATTATGGGAGCTATAATTCAAGATGAGACTTCTGTGGGGACACAGCCAAACCATATCAATGGGTTTCCCTAATCTCAAAACAATCCTGCAAAGAAGCAGTATCTCATAGTAGTAAGCAACCTTCAGGATTCAAATGGACTTTACCTAAAATCTTTTAAATTCAATTAAAGCAATCACCTCTAGTTTTGTGCCCTCCCTGAAACTCGTGACTAACATCAATTTTAGAGTGGGAGAGACCCATGTTAAAATCCCAGCCCTAGTTGGCATGGTCATGCAGGCCTGTGGTCCCAGCTACTTGGGAGGCTGAGACAGGAAGATTGTTTCAACCCAGGAGTTCGAGGCTGCAGTGACCTATGATTATGCCACTACACTCCAGCCTGGATGACAAAATGACACCATGTCTCTAAAAAGAAAATAAGAAAAAAAAAAATCCCAGCTTTTACACATAGCAGCTTTGTGATCTTAAGCCTCCATTTCTTCATATATAAAATGGAGGTGATAACATCTCCCTAACAGAATTGCTGTGGGGTGGGATGAGTTAAGTAAGATAATGCAGGGAAAACACAAAATACTGGTATCAGTGCCCAAAATAATAGTAATAGTATTAGTAATAAACAATAAGTATGAGAACCATGACACATACACTCAGGGTTTCTTAGCTCCAAATTCCAGAATCTTTTCCACTTTGCCAAGAACATTGCAATTCTGGTCTGCGACAAATGTCCCAGTGATATAATCAAGGTTCTTACTTGAGTGACAGAAAATCCCATTTTTTTTTGAAACACTTGTTTGCTTTTATAGGGCAGGCCTGTAGTGCTGAGAAATATGACCTTTACTAACTTTTTTAAAGGATACACTTCTCTGCAGTCCCCTCATCACAACTTTGCTGCAAAAGTTCAGTAAGTTGGGCTCATGGGATGTTAGAAACAAATTTAGCAATATTTAATCCAATACCCTTCATTCTACAAGGGAAACAACACGATATGATTTTGCCCTTCGACAACTTGTTTTGAGCACTTTGAATCATATTGCCTAATCAAAAGGTGAGGATAATATGCCTACTCAACTTACCCGAATGATATACTTCCTATGCCAAAAGAAAAAGTATTCAATAATACTTGCTAAAGCACAGTAAGGAAGACTTTATTCATGATCATTGCAATAGGTATAGGGAGCACTGCAATGGGATTTTGCAGAGTGAGAGAGAGATTGGGTTTAACCCTGAATATAACATGGGTAAGTAGGAATTTATAGCCAAGGAGCATGGTGGGAGTGGGTGGATGGAAAATTACTAAGAAATTAGTAAGGAGAATTCTGGCTAAACTGACTGTTATGGTTTAGATCTATGTCCCCACCAAATTATCATGTCGAATTGTAATCCCCAGTATTGGAGGTGGGGCCTGGGGGGAGATGATTGGCTCATGGGGTGGTCCTTCATGAATAGTTTAGCACCATCCCGTTGGTGCTGTTCTTGGGATAGTGAGTGAGTGATCGCAAGACCCGGTTGTTTAAAAATGTGTGGCACCTCTTCCCCTTGCTCCTTTTCCTTCTGCTCTAGCCATGTGATATGCTGGCTCCCTCTTTACCTTCTGCCATGATTGTAAGTTTCCTGAGGCCTTCTCAGAAACCAAGCAGATGCCAGTATCATGCTCCCTGTGCAGCCTGCGGAACTGTGTGCCAATTAAACCTCTTTTCTTTATAAATACCCCCGTCTCGGGTACTTCTGTATAGCAGTGCAAGAACTGACTAATACACAGACCTAACAGGATTCTTGCTGAAGGCAGGCCAGGGTGGTCTGAAGTCACCTGGGGGATGGTGGAGGGTGGAGGATGAGAAACCTGATCATATACAGAGGGTGGGGCATTCTTGCTAAAATGACTTAGCAGGGTTCTTGTTAAAACTGGATTTTTTAAGGAAGTGTACAGATGGGCCTAGGAGAAGGTTCAGGAGCATGATTAAAGTCTCATTAAGCCAATAATTTTTGTCACCTAACACTTCTCCTTTCTCTCTTCCTTAATTTCCCATAAAACAAAAAAGGCCATTTTTTTTTTTGAGACATAGTCTCACTCTGCTACCCAGGCTGGAGTGCAGTGGTGCAATCTTGGCTCATTGCAACCTCTGCCTTCCTGGGTTCAAGTGATTCTTCTACCTCAGCTTCCTGAGTAGCTGGGATTACAGGTGCACACCCCCACACCCAGCTAATTAATAAAAAAGGCCATTTCTGCTGTGGTGGTACCTCAGGAGGAAAGCAAACTGGTTGACTGCACACAAATCCCAGGGATATTTGCATTGAAAAGGAAGTGTAAAATTTTCAAAAGTTTCGGCATGCTGGGAGCATTTTGAATCATGGGCGGTGGCAATGGCAAGAATAACTCTTCGCATTGCATCTGACCCTACTTAGGAATAAGGTTCTCCTGGCAAGCTCCTAATTGTAGTACAAAAAGTACACAGCCTTGACTCAGCAAATCTGCCTGAAAGTTAATCTTGTCAACCACTATCTCTTTGACTCTGGAGTTGATTGATTCCTCTGAGCCTTAGTTTTCCTATCTGTAAAACAGGGGAAAATAATACCCAACTGTTAGTGCTGTTGTGAGGACCAAAGTAAATAACAGACATGAAAGCATTTTGAAAACCCTGGATAGCTACAGAGATGCAAGATGTTGTTGTGGGTAGTAATAATTAAAATCTAAATTGTCATTGTTAACCATAAGACTAACAGCAACCTCACTTCACATTTAATTCTTGGTAAAAAGCGTTTTCCAGAATGGCATCCAGCTTGGTCTGTGGTCGTATAGTTTACTGGTAAATACTTGGGTACGGGTGGCAAGCGAAGTTCCCAGATGTGTCTAAGCCAACAGTCACACTAGAGACACATCATTTCAGGGTATGATTCCTTCTCTCTGAAAAACAGGAGAAAGGGTTTTAGGAAATGGCACACACTTGGCATGTTTAAGGGCAGCAAGGAAGCCAGTATGGTGAGCTGAGTGAGCGAGGGAAAAGGTGGTAGGAAATGAGATGAGAGATGCAGGAAGAGCCAAGCGCCTGTCAGGTCATCGAGAGGAATTTGGATTTTCCTCCAAGAGGGAAGAAACTGACTGGCTTTGAGCAGAGAATGAGATAATCTAACTCGAGTTTTTACCAGATCATTTTGGGGCAAGAGTAGAAGCAAGGCGCCAGGGAGAAGACTGTTGCCATAATCCTGACAAGAGGCATGGTGGCTTGCACCAGGGTGTTAGCAGTGTAGACAATGAGATGTGACTAAGCTCTGAATATGTGCAAGGGTGTGTAGGAGAGAACGGTGTCAAAGGTCATCTAGGAACTGTGGCTTGAGCAACTGGAGAGAAAATAGTGGAGCAGGGCTTAGGGAGACCAGGAGTTCTGCTTGCAGTTTTGTTTTGCTTTTAAAATATCTGAAAGAATTATACTTTTGAGTTTCATTAATACATTTTTCTATATGTGATTTTTTTAAAAGGCACACCTAAAGCACATTATACTTTTCAAAGCAGTTTCTCATCCATTATCTCATTTGATCCTTCAAGTAACCTTGTGAGGTTGCTGCTACTAGCCCCACTGTATCTGTTAGAGTTTGAGCAGAGACGTAGATTCACTAAGACTGACATAGAATAAGGAATGTATTCTAGAAATTAGACCTTACACAATTGCATTGGCTGCTGAAGTGTCTGTGTTGTGTGTTGTGCCTAAAGTTCATACAGGTCAGCCAGGCTGGAAGTCAGGAAGGACAGCTGGACATGACGTGATGGAGACCAAGAATGAACTGGAACTTAGTGGAAAATGAGGAACCCATGAAGGTAAACTGGAAGCTGCATCTGTCTACCATGTCCTCCACCCTCAGTGTTGTGTAGGACCTGCAGAAGAAGCTGTGCTCTTTGCACGTGTGATGGTTAATACTGAGTGTCAACTTGATTGGACTGAAGGATGCAAAGTATTGATCCTTGGTGTGTCTGTGAGGGTGTTGCCAAAGGAGATTAACATTTGAGTCAGTGGGCTAGGAAAGGCAGACCCACCGTTAATCTGGATGGGAACCATCTAATCGACTGCCAGCACGGCTAGAATATAAGGCAGGCGGAAAAATGTGAAGATGAGACTGGCCTAGCCTCCCAGCCTACATCTTTCTCCCATGCTGGATGCTTCCTGCCCTCGAACATCAGACTCCAAGTTCTTCAGTTTTAGGACTCAGACTGGCTCTCCTTGCTCCTCAGATTGCAGACGGCCTATTGTGCGACCTTATGATCATGTGAATTAACACTTAGTAAACTCCTATATATATATATATATATATATATATATCCCCTTAGTTCTGTCCCTCTAGAGAACCCTGACTAATGCAGCATGCAACTGCACACAGCCTGGCATGGGACTTGAAAAAGCTAAAGGATCTTGCAGGAGCTGAAGGAGCTGTAGGACCTGGGCAGCCACACATCAAGCTGAGCAAGCAGATTAGCAACAGGGTGTATGCTGCCACAGCATAAAAATGGCTACTGCTTCACTTCCGTCTTCCAGATCTAGCACAGATTTGTGTTGTGGCCAACTCTAAAATCAGATCTGCACAGGAAAAGGAATTCTGGGAAACATGATTCCAGCTTAGCTAAACTGACATGGTATAAAGATGAAGACAATGAAGACCCAGAGATGTTAAGTGACTTGCCCAGTGCTTTGCAGAACATTTGTAGCTGATTTATTAGGACCCGGTTTCGCTGACTCGTGGCCTACTGGCTTTAGTTGAACACTTGCTACATGCCAGCTACTGAATCATCTGATCCACAACACCACTATAGAGTAGGTATTATTATGCCCAGTTTCTGGATTAAGAAATTGAGGCTCAGAAGGGTGAAGTCAATGAGCCAACATAACTCAACTACGGAAAGGTGAAACAGATTCAAATGCAGATTTGTCAGATCCCAAGCCCCACCCTCTTAACCTCCAGGTGGGTGGTCTTTCCCTCCACTAACCCCATGTCCCACAGTTTCCCAGAGTAGGGTATCAGAAGATGGTTCACACTAAAAGAGACCCTGGCATCGCAGTTTCCCCTCTGTAGTCTGTGGTGCTGGCCTGGGGCCAATTCCCTCTCACTCCAGGGATAGTACAAACATGCAGATATGCTTCAGTGAGTGCGATTAGGAGTTGCACTGAAGGGAACATGTATTCTAAGCACTGTAGGGTAGAATACACCAGAGCACAGGCCCAGACATGGAAGAAGCCCACCAGCTCTCAGCCACAGCAAAGAGAAGCATAAAAGTCAAGCAAGTGCCCCCACTGGTGCTGAGAAATTTCCCACAATTGCAAAGAGACCAGAAAATAGGGCTGCAGCAGCAGCATGACTCAGTGGGGATCAGGGAAGGCCTATTGCTTTAGTAATAAAATCTAAGGGTTGTGACTTCAGAGTTATCAAACAATGCTACATTCATTGAATTCTCCTAATAGTAATCATAGTTCTGATAAGAGCAATTAAGAGACATCTGCACCCCCATGTTTATTGCAGTACTATTCACAATAGCCAAGATATGGAATCAACCTAGATGCCCAATAAGAGACGAATGAATAAAGAAAATGTGGTACATATACACAATGGAATACCATTCAGCCATAAAAAAGAATGAAATCCTGCGTTCCAGGCAACATGGATGAAACTAGAGGACATTATGTTATGTGAAATAAGCCAGGAGAAAACACGACATGTTCTTATTCATATGTGGAAACTGAAAAAAAAAAGTTGATCGCATAGAAGTAAAAAGTTGAACAGAAGATACTAAGGCTGAGAAGGGTAGAGGAGAGGGAGGGAGGGGATTTATTTTTATTTTTGCTTTTGTTTAGAGACAGGGTCTCGCTCTGTCTTCCAGGCTGGAGTGCAGTGGCACAGTCATGGCTCACTGCAGCCTTGACCCTGCAGGCTCCAGCAGTCCTCCCACCTCAGCTTCCCAAGTAGCTGGGACTACAGGCATGTGCTACCACACTCCACTAATTTAAAAAAATTTATTTGCAGATACAGGATCTTCTTATGTTGTCCAGGCTGGTCTTGAACTTCTGGGCTCAAGCAATCCTCCCACTTCGGCCTCCCAAAGTGCTGGGATTACAGGCATGAGCCACCACACCCAGCCAAGATTTTTTAAAGGATACAAAATTATAGCTAGATAGGAGGAATAAATTCTAGTGTTCTACAGCACTGTAGGAAGACTATAGGTAACAAAAATATATTTAGTTTCAAATAGCTAGAAGGAGGATATCGAATATTTGAAACATTGAGATGATAAATGTTTGAGATGATGTCTATGCTAATTACTCCGATCTAATCACAACACATCATATGTATCAAAATATCACTATGTACCTCATGAATATGTACAATAATTACTTGTCAATTAAAAAGTAAAATAAATGATTTAAAAATAATAGTAGCTATTAATTACTTATTATAGTTGATTGTTTATTATTGATTGCCAGGCACTATTCTAGGCATTTCACATAAATTAACTCACAAGCATATATAGTAGGAAGTATTATTGTCCCATTTTACATACAGGGAAATTGAGGCAAAGAAAGGTTAGGTAACTTGCCACAATCACATGAACCAGGAGTCTGCCTCCAGAGCCTAACCTCTCAACCTTAATATGCATCTGCTTCTCAGCAACCCTGTACGAGAAGGGGAAAGGAAGAGAGGGTGGCAGGATGGTGGTGCTCATTTTGCAGATGAAGAAACTGAGTCTTGGGATGGCTGAAGAAGTTTCCTAAAGCCTCCCTGCCAAGCCTAGAGTTGAAGCCAGCGCTGTGGAACTGCAAAGCCCCTGGTCTTTTCACTTGACCACTCAGCCCTGTTAAGTTAGTGGCCCATTCAGGACTTGAGTTTGAATATCAAACTCAAGCCTAACTGCAGTTGCCTATGGTTTGCTAGAAGGACTTATTGCTTTGACTACCCAAGTGGGCAATTTGACTACTGAGGTCAGCTCAGAGGCCAGAAGCCATCTGCCTGGTGAACAGAAGGGTCCTCTCACATTTTCAGTCAGGAAAGGACCAGGACTGACCTTCCCACCTTGGAAACATTGCCTTTCACCCTGGAACCAGAAGAACAAACATAGTCTGATTCTTGGAGATGAGGCAGCTCCAGCTCTAGGGTACAGCCATAACTGTGGTTGCCTCAGTATTCAGCCCCTTGGAGGCAATGGTGTAAACGCTCATCCATGATTCAACAAAATGCATTCACCAGTTTACTAGGCATCTGCTCTGTGTGCCTGAAGGGGGACCTATAAAAGGGAGCTCACACATAGTTCCTGCCTTCAGTGACTTTATTGAGTAGCTGAGAAAACTCCAGTTCCCCTCCCATCACCTCCCCATGCCCCCATATACCTAAATAATGCCAATACACACAGCCACAGGGACCAGTAGAAGGTGGTAGGAAAATGACTGATAAAAGTTCCTTTCATCATTCAATTCATAACTAAATATATGTTGAGTTTCTCTTATTTGTCAGGCACTATACTACGTACTTTGGATGTGAATCATATTTAATCTTCCTAACGCCCCTGTATAGTAGCTATTAATACCTTTATTTTGCAGATAAGGAAACAGACACATGAGGGAAAATGACTTGCTCAAGATCATCCTGTGAGGAAGTGTGAATAATTCCAGAACCCGGGTCTTCTGATTCTAGCTCAGTGTTCTTTTAATCACATTATACTAGAAAGAGAATTAGAAGATCCTTGAGTAAGATACATGACCAGAGATACAAAAAGGAGGCAGACAAGCAAATCAGTGGGGAAGTAATCAAAGTTTTTTACCTACCAATGGGGGGCAGATGTGATCAAGACAGATAGCTGTCCAACAGAGGTTCATGTTCCCCTTTCATAGTGGAGAGATGTCACCAGAAAGGGACTGCCAGGCCAGGGTCTCTCTTTCCCCTTGCATCTTGGTGTGCCCATGTAACTTGTTCTCACCAGTGGAAGGTGAGCAGAAGTGATGCCTGTTGCTTCTGGGCTGGAGTGTTTCAGAAGTGAGGCACCTTCTTTAACCACTTTCCCCAGCAACTGGGAAAAACAAGGGCTCCTTCAGTCGCTGGGTCCCTGCATCTCTGCTTGGAGAAGAGCAGCTTGGCAATTGGAAACATGCATTTGGGCTCAATGTAAGCAAGAAATAAACTTCTACTCTGTTGATTCATTCTACATTTAGAAGGTATATTGCGACATCTAGCATTATCTTAACTAAATATGGCAGATAAGGCCAAAGTGCCAAAGTTCTAGGTTGTTGTGGAATAATTCATTCCACCTCAAAGATGGTCAGTTAAACCAGTAAGGTACACTACACATAGGCTACCCACCCTTTCTGAGAACAGGCTCTTGGTCGGATTGTGAACACCCCAGGGCTGAGCCTGTCTCATGGCTTTCCGCACCCCACTGTCTAGCACAGTGCCTGGCTTGCATTAGACTCTCAGTACCTGCTTGAATGCGATAACCCCCCAGCTTCTCTCTGCCACCAGAACACATGAGCAGCTGCAAGACTGAAACTTAGTGGCAAATACCCTGAAACCAGAAACACAGTGAGCATTTCTAGAATGTTTAGGAGGGAATCTGAACTAAGCCTTGAGCCTTGCCCAGATCGGAATCAGACAAACACTGTAGCACATGGCAATAGAGAAATATTTTGGAGTTAAGAGACATTACATTGATAATAAAACAAAAGAAGGAATCTCTCCATAAAATATCCTTGTGACAGCCCCCGCAGAGAAGGTTTGCTATGTGATGAATTGAAGTGTTTTGATCCCTCTCCTAATCCATGACCATCTCTTGTATTCCAAAGGGGTTTTTCTGGTTAGGAAGTTTTATCGGGAGGTCCTTGAAATATTCTGAGGGAGAGTTTATGGTAAATGTTTTAACAGGGTACAGTAGCCAAAATATGATACTTGATGTAGACAGAAACCCAGATGGTGGCTGAGATGTCAGGAAATGCGATTTTCTATTTTATCTGGGGAAAAGCTTTTCCCTGAATTCCAGAACCTACAGTGACCTGGCCTCACAGATAGTCTGATTTGAAGCCTCTACACAAAAGCATCTTCCTCTGCTTGTTAGGGAGAGGATCTGGACTACTACTTCTGGGATCATTTGGCAACTGGATTAGCTCCCTCTAAGTTGCAGCCGAATTCAAATGCTTTAGCTAAGAAAGAAAGTCATTCATCTGAAGGCCTGTGGGCTGATAAGCACTAATAAAATGATGAGAGATGGTACCAGACGACAAGAGCTCTGCAAATACTATTCCTTTATCACTAGTACTTTGAAGATGCTTATCTTCACAAAAACTCTGAAAAGTAGGTATCATTATCTACTTTGTAAAGTGATGACTTTACAAACTTGCTAACTAAGGCATGCCAGCTATCCAGCTGGGAAATGGCAGAGTCTGGCTTCAAGTCCAGGTCTAGATGACACCGAAACCCACTATGCACTACAGTTGCTGTTTAGGTAATCCCCCTCCTGAGTCCAAATCCAACATACTTCCCACCACATCACCCCCGGCTGGGGGAAAGGGAAAGACATTTTGCCTTAAATCACACACAGTCCCTCTACATGAGGATTTTGCTTTGCTGAAGAGGTAGGGCTAAAATAATCTACAATTTTAAGGATCAGGAGATGCCATATGTCCAATCTCTCGGAAGATGGCTTGTCCATTGCTTTGGAGCTTAGTTAATTCAGCTGCCACCACCACCAAAAGCAATAATATAGATTTCTTCTATGTTACCTCTGTCCTTACAGGTGCAGCCCTAACTTCTGTAACCTTCTTTTATGATGAGGTACCTGAAATACAACACTCTCAGCAGTTTAAAGCACAAAACTGATTTTAACACATTATGACACATCTGGGGATTCCAACCCCTTGGAAACAGGTCAAATGCAGGCACTGAACCTTGCTGTAGAATTCAGCTAGCACAGCTGGACACATAAAGCTGCCATTACATTCCAACCTGTTATATTGCTAATCCCAACTAGACTAGTTACCCAAACCTCAGAGCTTGGGAGCGCCAAGCTCATTCTGGCTGGAAACCAAGTACAGTTTCCCATTCAGACCAAAGTTGTTCACTCCAGAACCCCTTGACAAGCCTGTGTCACCTGCTCCCCTTCCTGGGTCCCTCCAAATTCCCTTCTCTCTGGGCCAGCCATGCTTGTTTCACTCAATCCCCTTGTTGAGAGCTTTTTTCTCTTTTTTCCATCTTTGCCCTATAATACAATATTTTTAATGTTTACATCCCCTGGGCATCTAAAACTGCCTACTTATTACAAAAATATGACAAAAAGCATGACTCACAATCTTATTGCTTGTCCCCATCCTTCTTCATTTGCAGACCCAAGAGCTATAGTCAGTATACTCACACCAGAGATACAATTTTGGCGGTTTCTATATTCCTTTCTGGTTGGGATGGCAAATGAGTTTCATCTCTTGCCCCAACTCTGGCCAATCTACCTGAGGTACTGACTTGAGAAAGAGCCTAGGCTCAGCAGGTAAGTGTGCTGAAATCAATTAGTGATTTCTGCACAGGCACATATGGTGGGGAGAAGGTGGCATGGAAGCATACAGACACACCTGCTTTACTGTACTGTTAATGTTCAGGGCATTAATAGATCATCTGAAAACATGGTCTCCAAAAATTCCTCCCAGCCAGGACAGGCTTGCAGGTTCAGTCTGTTTCCCCTCCTCTTGAATCTCACTGCAACCTCAAACTCCTGGGCTCAAGGGATCCTCCTGCCTCAGCCTCCCAAGTAGCTAGGACTACAGATGCACACCACTATGCTCAGTTTTTGTGTTTTGTTTTGTTTTGTTTTGTTTTTTGTAGAGACAGGGTCTTGTCAGCTTGCCCAGGCTGGTCTCAGATTCCTGGGCTCAAGCAATCCTCCCACCTCAGCCTCCCAAAGTGCTAGGATTACAGGCATGAGCCACTGCTGCCAGCCTTGGGCTGCCTTTTTGATTAGCTTTGACCAATCAAATGCAGTGGAAATAATCCTGTGACTTCCAGTTCTTTTTTTTTTTTTTTTTTTTTAATGGAGTTTCACTCTTGTTGCCCAGGCTGGAGTGCAATGGCACGATCTCAGTTCACCACAACCTCCGCCTCCGGGTTCAAGCGATTCTCCTGTCTCAGCCTCCTGAGTAGCTGGGATTGCAGGTATGTGCCACCATGCCCGGCTAATTTTGTATTTTTAGTAGAGATGGGGTTTCTCCATGTTGGTCAGGCTGGCCTTGAACTCCCGACCTCAGGTGATCCATCCGCCTCAGCATCCCTAAGTGCTGGGATTACAGGTGTGAGCCACCACGCCCGGCCAACTTCCAGTTCTTAAGAGACCTTGCAGCCTTTGTTCATTCTCTTGGGATTCATCTACCATGTAAAGAAGTTCAAGTTAGACTACAAAAGAGACCTCACATAGGGAGAGAGAGAGGCCCAGTCATCCCCAGATGTTCCAGCCACCCCCAGTGAGGCACCAGACATGGGAATAAAGCCATCTTGGATATTCAGCCCTTCCAGATTCCTAGCTGAATGTATTCACACAAGTGACCTGGTTAATACCAGATGTGCCAGGAGAATGGTCTTGCAGAGCCCAGCCAATCCACAGAATCATGAGAAATAAAAAAATATGGTTTAAGCCATAGTTTGGGGGTATTGTGTTATAAAGAAATAAATAATGCATACAACATTTCTATCTTAATCGCTGACTTTCTTAATTTCTACTTTAGACTATTAAGTCACCTCTTGTATAACATCTTCATTGACCCTCTCCAACCAAACGGAAACTTCACTTTCTTTTGTGTCCTATCTGACTCCTTACTTCTTAGTATATATATTTGCTTGCACATCTATGTCCCCTACTGAACTGTGGACTTCTGGAGGCTGCCATCTGGGTTTTATTCACATTTATATCACCAACTCTATTAGAGAATGTCTGGCACAGTGGTAAGAGCTCAATAAATGTTTGATGAATTAATGAACTAAATGATTGAACTAATCATTGCACTGAGTCTTCCCTTTGACTGTAACAAAGTCTCCTCTCCTCCACCTCATGTACTGGCATGTCATCTCTTACTTCATCAAGTCTCTTCTCAGAAAGGACTTCCTCTACTACCACATCCAAAATAGTAACTTCCTCTCTCCTTTTCTATCCTTTTACCCTATTTTATTATTTTCCTTCATAGCACATATAACCATCTGAGAGTTTATATACCTATTTATTGTTTGTCACTCCCCAACAGAATATAAGCTCATGATGTCAGGGACCTTTTTTATTCACCACTATGCCCCAGTACTTAGAGCAATGCTTGGTACCTTATAGGTTTTCAACAAATATTCATTGGATAAATAAGTAAATGTATGTTTCATAAAAGGAACAACAAATGTGGGTGATTTTTCCACTTTTGCTTTTGGTTGTTTTGCATTTTAGCTTGAGCCCTTACACTGGGCATGATTAGGACACCTTAAGATCCAGTTCAGCTCTCCATCCTGGGCACACTGAAAACTACTCTTCCCAGCTATCTTGCAGTTAGATGTGGCCACGTGACTACGTCTGGCCAAGGGGCTCTGCAGGGAAGTGACAGGTAGCACTTCTGGGCTGAAGCACAGCCTGGAGGGTGCAGCTCTCCAGGGGCTCTCGCTTTGCCTTGTGCTGAGATGATGGAGCCACCGGATCAAAGGCGCCTGGGGTTTCTGAGCCACTGTATGGAGAACAGCTGCCCTGGAGAGTCGCCCATAACCACAGGGGACTTTGCATGAGTCAGAAATAAACTTTTGTTAAGTTAAGCCACTGAGATTTCAGAGTGGGCTGTTACTGAAACACAGCCTAGCCCAATCTGATCACAAAAAGCCTATTTGGTTTAAATTCCTTTACATTTAAGAAACAAAAGAGGCAAATGCAGAGGAAAGAGAGAAAGAATGAGGGGTTTTCATCATCTAAATACTAATTTACAATTTCAAAGTACAAAAATATCCACTCTGAGCCTGACATGGTGCCAGGTACCAGCCACACCCTGAGGACACAGAGATGAATCTTAGTCTCTCCTCACAGTTTACACACCAGTGAGAAAGACCGCATGCCATTAAAATATGGTGGGATAGTGCATGGTTGTAGTTATACTATCTGTGTGTTCAGGGCACATGGAGGGTGGGACCCTTCATTCTGACCAGATGCTATTTCCATATTAAGGTCACTCTGGGCACTAATAGCCAGGTATGTTGGACACATTTTCTCTAATATTTATAACAACTCTGCATCATGGGAAGGATTAGCCCATTCTACAGATAAGGAACCTCAAGGTCAGAGAGGTTAAGCACCTGGCTCAAAGTCACAGTGCAAGTAAGCACTGTATTTGCTGGTAGCTCCTAGAGGTCTGTACAGCACAAGCTCCCTCTTCTAATTCCTGCCCAGTGACCCAGTTCTGACTTTAATATCTTGAATTATTCTGCCCGCTCCTCACCCCTGGGGTTATTGTTTCCTTTCTGTGTATTTGCAATGGCAAAGTCAAAATCCCAACTATCTGCCATAAAATATGAAGAAAAGTATTACTTTTAACTAGAAGGCTGTGGTCACGGCAGCCGGAACCTAGCAGGGCGGGTGGGTCAGCTGACAGTAAGGGTCTTACAAACCCATGCCGCTTGTCTCTCCCCACCAACCTCATCTTGCCACTTCTGCAAAGTCATTGAGGGAACAACTGCTGACTCTGAAGAACAGCCAAGAAGCACAACTCTGAAGCTGGTGCACTCATGCCGAGCTGTCCTCTGGGCCTACTGCCTTCGAGCCTGGAGTCCTCCCATTGCTGTGTCTTGGTTGGTTTTATAGTTTCTTTAAGACTAAAAATACCTTGAAGTGGCCCCTTGCCCTTTATTCATTGGTCAGTCCAAACCTGTGGTCCAATTGCTTCTCTAATGAGAGGTAATGAAGGAGGAAGTGGGGAAGTCAGCCATCTGGACTGCAGGCAGGTGCAGGTGGCCCTAGGAGAAGCCAGAAGGGCTCCTGCCATTGCAACTTTGCTTGGTGAATGTACTAGGGAAGGACAAGGAACAGAAACGCAGGCATCAGCTAAAGAACAGAAGATCTTTAGAAACAAAGTATTTCTAATCCTTATCTTTCGTTGAGACATCATTAGCCCAAGAACCAGGACATTTTGTCAGTGGCAAAATTCAACGATATCAAGGTAAAGGGCAAGGTAGACATGTTGTTCTAACAGTTTCTAAGGGCAAATGCCAGGGGTGTGTGGGTGTGTTTAAAATAGATCTTGGCCAGACACGGTGGCTCACGCCTGTAATCCCAGCACTTTGGGAGACTGAGGCGGGTGGATCAACTGAGGTCAGGAGTTCGAGACCAGCCTGACTAACACAGAGAAACCCCATCTTTACTAAAAATACAAAATTAGCCAGGCGTGGTGGTGCATGCCTGTAATCCCAGTTACTGGGGAGTCTGAGGCAGGAGAATCACTTGAACCCAGGAGGCAGAGGTTGCGGTGAGCCAAGATCGTGCCATTGTACTTCAGCCTGGGCAACAAGAGTGAAACTCCATCTCTAAATAAATAAATAAATAAATAAATAAATAAATAAAAATTTTAAAAAATAAAATAAAATAGATCTTACCCACAATTACAATTGGGCCAAGACTTGAACCTAAATCACTCTTACTCCAAAATTCACACAAAACCCAAGCATCTTCCATTTTACCCAGTGTGCCTATATCAAGTCATATGTTGAAAATTGGAAAACATTCATTCTTCTCATTTGTGTCACAAGCTCCTGGGTTTTCACATGGACCTTTTGAGGACAATATTTTAACCAGTGATTTTCAATCTTTCTTTCTGGCTCCAAACAAACCAAAAATAAATATCCATATTTCTACCACAAGCAGTAGCTCACTGTGTCACAGACATAAAGTTTGAATGCAGAGCAGGGGTTCAGGGAAGAAAGCATGTGCGCACTGAACAAGCCTCTCAGGGTATTTGGGTATATAATGGAGACAGATAGGTAATGTGGGTGTCTACCTGGCACAGACCCTTGGATCGAGCTATGGTCGGGCCTGGTCTTCATGAGACAGATCTGTTTCATTCCTCTTTTTAAAAAAATTTTAAACATTTACCATTATTAAGACAATTAAAAATAAACTCTAGTCAGGGTGAAGTGGTTCACACCTGTAATCCCAGCACTTTGGGAGGCCAAGGTGGGCAGATCACGAGGTCAAGAGCTCGAGACCATCCTGGCCAACATGGTGAAACCCCATCTCTACTAAAAATACAAAAATTAGCTGGGCGTGGTGGCGGCTGCCTGTAGTCCCAGCTACTCGGGAGGCTGAGGCAGGAGAGTCTCTTGAACTCGGGAGGCGGAGGTTGCAGTGAGCCAAGATCGCGCCATTGCACTCCAGCCTGGCGACAGAGCAAGACTCCGTCTCAAAAAAAATCAAAAAACAGAACTCTAATCTGCTTGGATCACTCTCTGTTCCCTTTCCATTTCGCTGGAAAATTAGACACAGCTGGAAGCTACATGTATAGGAGGACATGGACGTTGGCATCAGAGAGATCCAGTCTTGAATTCCAATTTCTCTCCAGGCAGGGCAATAAACGCCTCGAGCCTCAGTTTCATCATCCTTAGAACCAGGTTTGGAGTGTCTTACAAGCAATAGACAATAAATGGTGAGTTTTCGGGTACGCTGCTCTCTCAGAATGTAACTTCACAAGTACACTTCCAAGAATTGGCCTAGTGCATATAACTGCCCTTTGTAATAGCTATAGTGTATTCCATTGTGATACTGTGTCACAATCTGCCTGCCATTTCCCCAATACTGGGAATTTGGATTGTTTCCAGTTTTCCTTTCTTATGAATTGATCTGCTGTGAACATCTTTAGACAGATGGATTTTTTTCCCCCTTAAGTTATTTCCTTAGAGAAAATTCCCAGAAGTGGAATTACTGGGTCAAAGAGTAGGAACAGCTCTGTAGCCCTTGTTATTTATTGCCAGATGAATTCTCATTTTCTAAGAAGGCTGTCAGCTGGGAGAGCGCTGCATATGAGGTAGTTTCCATATACCACTGCTGTCTCTGCCATGAGCTCTACTGGAAGAACCATCCCCAGCCTCTGTCATTCTGTGGTTGGCACTAAGTTGTAGGAGGTAGGGACTAGAGAAGAAAGATAAAGACCTGGAATGTGTAGGGATGCAGGGCTGGGAGAAGGAAAATGGACAAAGCTCTGTGCATTTAGGGATTAGGGTCTGATATGACTAAGCACTTTGATCTAGAAGTAAATGATGCTGGGAGAAAAATCCTTCAAATAAGTTAATATTTATTGCTTTTGTTCTACATACATTTATGAGCACTTACCTAACATGTGCCAAGCACTAACATTTATATGATGTCTGAACCTGTCCCCCAACTCCTTTTGTAATTTGAGGAAGACAAGGGGGTTAAAGTCTAGCCCTGCTTAGGCTTCTCTTTGGCTAAGATACTGGAAGAGAGAAATCTTGCTTAAGAAACTATGAAGGCAAAATTGAGAATATGAGTAAAGCCGCAAACCAGAGGCAGATAATAAAACTGGTGGCGCAGACACAAATCAAGGACTACCCTGAGATGTGTGAACGAAAAAGTCAGGACAAGAGCGATGGGAATGTTTATGAGGTGAAGTGGAGACCTGGGGGAGATGATAAATCAAAGCAGTGTCCTGAAAGCTTTTACATGATGCTGTTCAAATCTCAAATATCTTTGCCAACATTGTTTTCTACTTGATCTAGCAATAACCAAGAAAGCTGTATTAAAATAGTGAAGGATTTGTTAATGCCTCTTCATAGATCAAACCGTTTTTGTTTCTATATTTTGAAGGTGTATTATTAGGTAAATATAAGTTTTCAACTGTTATGTTCCTAACAAATCGAAACTCTTACCATTATGTAGTGATTTTATCTTTTTAAATGCTTTTTTCCTCAAAGTCTGTTTTGTTTTGTTGGCCTGCTTTCTTTTGGTTAATATTTTCCTGACATATTTTTTCTAGGCTTTGACATTCAAACTTTTTTTGTCCTTGTATTTTATTTAGTTAGTCTCTTATAGAAAGGACATAGCTGGAGTTTGTTTCTATGCGGTATGAGGGTCTTGGTGCTTTAACAAGACAGCTTAATCCATTTTCCTTCTGTTTCTTTCTTGCTTGCTTTCTTTTCTTTCTTTCTCTTTATCTTTTTTTTTTTTTTTTTTTTTTTTGAGACAGAGTCTCGCTCTGTCCCCAGGCTGGAATGCAGTGGTGCAATCTTGGCCCACTGCAACCTCCACCTCCCGGGTTCAAGCAATCCTCCTGCCTCAGCTTCCCAAGTAGCTGGGACTACAGGCACGCACGGCCACACCCAGCTTATTATTATTATTATTGTATTTTCAGTAGAGACGAGGTTTCACCATGTTGGGCAGGATGGTCTCAATCTCTGGACCTCGTGATCCACCCGCCTCAGTCTTCAAAGTGCTAGGATTACAGGCGTGAGCCACCACGTTCCTTTCTTATTTCCTTTCTTTCTTTTTCTTCTTTCCTTCTTTCCTTCCTTCCTTCTTTTTCTTTCTTTCTTTCTTTCTTTTTCTTTCTTTCTTTCTTCTCTCTCTCCCTCCCCTCTTTCTTTCTTCCTTTCTTCTCCTTCCTTCCTTCTTTCCTCCCTCCCTTCCTTCCTTCCTTCTTGCTTTCTTTTTCTTTCAAGATGGGGTCTTGCTATATTGGCCAGGCTGATCTTGAATTCCTGAGCTATGGCAATTCTCCCACGTCAGCCTCCCAAGTAGTCAGAATTACAAGGGTACACCACTATGCCCAGAATTTTTTCCCCTTATTTTGATTACTGACTTATTTGGATTTATGTCTACTCTCTTATTTCTATTTATCCTTCTATTCATTCTGCCTTTCCTGTTTTACACCCACCCTTCCTACCTCCTTTGGATTGACTGCATTTTTTCTCTTCCCCATCCTAGTTCTTCCCCTACAAGTTTGGAATTAATTAATTAAAGTGCTATGTCATTCTTTTGGACAAAGTTTAAATAGTATTTTTTTCCCCAAACATACTATGACTTCAGGGTGCCTTAAATCTGATCTCCCACTCCTCTAAATTCACATGCTACTTTTGTCTATTCTAGGCTCTTTGCCCCCAACAGACACTAGACATTATTATCATTTCATAAATTAAACGTTTTCTTAAGTTTTATCTGTAAATTTGCCAAAATACACATTCACCATCTGTCCTTGCACCCTCCATCTATTCTGTCTGAGATATATTCCTTAACAAACATTTATTCAGTGTCTGTTGTTTGTAAACTTTGTATTTTTGTTTTTTTCTGAAACGTTCGTATTTTGCCCTTATTTTTGACTGGTTATTTTCCTGGGTATGAGATTCTAGGTTATTTTATGTCACTGCATTGACCATTTCATTTCACCCTTTTCTGGCTTCAATATTTTCTCTAGAGAAGTCAGCCCTCAGAAAAATTGCTGCTCTATTGAGAAAAGTTTTGCCTTTCTGACATTATCTTTTCCTTCTTCCCATCTCTAAATATCTTTTTTGATTTTCTGAAGTTTTGCCATGATTTGCCTATACATATATCTCCACATATATATTAATATATACATATTTTTTGATTATCCAGCTTGGAATTTATTGTTGTTTGGAACTGCAGGTTGCTTTGTATTGCCTCCCTGTTCTCCGGAACACAGACTCTGAGTAAAAGATTAGCATGCTGAAAACTCACTTGGGAGGGTTCTCAGAACTGCGATCTGCGGAAGAAGCAAAGGAATAGGACTGGGCACAGAGTGAAGCTGGGTGGTGACGCAGTCACACAAAAGCCCTCATCCCATTCCATAGAGAGCTCTGGTGTTTGAAGAGCCCTGAAGCATTGTTCCTAATTGGGGCAATGGGGCTGAGCTTTTATGACCACGCAGCAATGACCCATTATGCTCAGGGCTGCCCTTAAGGAAGGTGTGTGGCATTGAGCGAGGCAACTCTCTTCAGCTGAGGGCAGCCTCTGGGACTGGACTCAGCCATATGCTGTCAATGGTCAACACTCTTAGTAGCTGGGGGAATGAGTGCTTTGATCCTGGGGGTGGGGAGACAGAATTTGGCTGGGGCGCCACAACATCCATGCCAGTCCATGCCTCATGTTGCTCAGATCCACTCCTTTGGTGTGTGTCCTGAAAGCAGATCTTTTAGGATTCTAGTGGACCTCTTTTTCTAGAGAAACTTAAAAGAGGAAGGTTAATGCTGTAAACTAATGTGTTGCCTGCTGCACCTGATCCCAAGGACAAAACAGATACTCAGCATCTTCTTCGTCTCCTATCACTCCCCTCAGTCTCAGCTACTGCCTCTGCAGGTTTAGATAGCTTACCTGGTGAGGGTGCCCAGACCTTCATATCCGAGGGATTTGAAATCTTGTTCCTCTGCCCTTCTCAGGCAATGACTCCTACACTTACCTATTTATCATCAAAACTGGGCAAAAAGTATCAAGAAACACTCAAATGGATCACCTGGGTGCCAAACATATTCTTCCCTGCCCCCATTGTGTAACACCAGTGCTACCTCTTCCTGATGGTCAGGATCAATTACTCCTGCCAGGATCCTGAAGGGACTAGAGAGAAAGATGTGGCTTAACATTTAATGGGATTCTTGCTGTGTCCCTTGGTGGAAGCATTTTCCCCTCTGTGAGCCAACACTGCTAAGCCTCTAGAAACCAGGGCTGTGAAAATGAAGCACAAATTCCCCAAGTGAATAACTGAAAGTGATGATAAGGGGGCTATTCCTACACAAACCCCTTGGTTCCTAGACCTGCGTATTTGACCTACTGGGGACATTACACCATCTCCATAGCAGATTGGGCTTTTCTATCTTGCCACTTACTATGATAATTGTGCCAACCTTGCTTTTCACAGTTAAATCCTGAAATCTGGCCTCTATTTTTGAGATTTTATCATCCCTATTGTTATCGAGATCTTATCATTCCTATTGTTACTATGATAATTGCACCTCCCTTGCTTCTCATAGTTAAATGCTGAAACCTGGCCTCTATTTTTAATATCTAATCATCCCTACTGTTATTAGGAGCCCAAATCTCCCAGCATTAACTCTAGTCTATAGAGAGTGGCCATCACTGAGCTTCTCCGTGATGATGGTCTTTTTGTCAGTGTGTTGCTTATTGCATTGGCAAACGAAGTGTTTCCGGAGCCCACCTGCGCAAGAGTCTTCTGGTGGATTTACCAGCCTTACATACTTTATTCATTCTGGTATGCACAGTTCTCTGAGCCATTCAATCTCTCCTTTCAATGTCTTCCATAGTGACTCTGGTATTTCCACTTCACTTTTGTGGGTTATAGCCCTCTCCAGCCTTCTAAGAGTCACCAGGAGGTGCGCTAACACTGCCTCCCAGGGTCCTAGGCAGGGAGATTGCTGCCATACCTATAAACTCTCCCTCATCCACTTGTATGGTCGGTCTCCCCTTGATCCAGCACTCTCAGAGTCCAGGCCCACACATACTCTCCCAGCTTCTGTACTTGTGGGTTAGGTCCTACAGCTTCCCTGAAATCTAGTTTCTTTCTTCCCTGAATAGGCTCAGTACTTTCCTGGCAAGGATGTGTTTTGATTTAATTCTATCTTTTTTTGTCTGGTGGCCAAAAGGTGAGTAAAGAGGGAGGTCATGTGTTCACTTGAAGGGTAATGGTCTCTACATTGTCTACAAGCACAGGGGAAGCACTGGCCTCTAAGAGGGAGTGGGGGGCTACTTCTGCCAGCCCAAAGAATTCAGGGGAATCTGGACACTCAAGATTTTGAAGTGCATCAACTCAGATGTCCTCCTGCCATAACACAGGGTTCCATTTCTTCCCGGTTGGGACTCAACCTTGGTGGAATAGCCCCATCAGGGTCTAGAAGCTCTACTTCTCTTATAATTAAATCCTGGGCCTGATCCTCAGCTCTTTCTATTCCAGATCTCAGGAGATGAGAATTTCTTTCTATGCTGCTAAATATATACTCTCAGCCTTTCATTATCTTTCTCAAAAGCATCAATAACTCTCAGATACATCCATCCAACTTCATTCTCTTTATGACTCCATATTACCCAAACACCTGACCAACCACAATATTCCTTGCATGTATATACCTTTCCAGTTCACCATGATGGCAATTTTCACAACTGTACTGCTTTGTGCCAGGAGCCATCTCTATTCCATCTACCACCAATGACGGCGTTCTTACTGCCAGCTCAAAATGCAGCTTAAAATTTTCCCATTAATATTTACATTCTTGGCTACTCCAAGAACCAACTGCTGCAGGTCGGGTCTCCTGGGAAGCAGACTTGGAGATGGACATCAGCATATAGGAACTGGGGAGCATTCTTGGAATAAATACCTTGACAGACGTGAAGGAACAGAATTGGCTAGAGGAAGTTGGCGTGTTGAAGCAAAGGTCTCAGCTAATCCCAGGTGGAGCTTTGGAGCTTGGATGGACCTGCAGAGTAATCCTGACTTGGGGCAAAGAGGCTGGCTTGACTCCTCTGCATTCACTACTCATTGGAGGCAGACTGCCCTCAGGAAGGCATTGTGACTTCAGATGTGCTCAACTCCTCAAGAAAGTTTGAAGTCAAAGAGCAGAAGTAAAAGGGAGCCACAGGCTGAGGAAGCAGTATGAACAAGGAAATATTTCTTTAAATGAAAGAGACTTTAGTACTTTTTAGGCAAAAGGGAAGGGAGTTTTTCAGGCACTGGGAGGTCTATGGCCTGGCTATGCGTGGAGGCAGAGAAGGTGATAAAGAAGAGAAACATACACACTCGTGGCTTTGCTGAGAACTGGTGACACCGTGAGAGAAGCAGCCCTGCAAACGATGGGCCGCTCAGGACAAGAGTTCCGTGTACAAGTGCAGATGTGTGTGTTTAAAAGTTACTCATTAAACAACTGTGAGAAAGGAGAAGTATGCCTCCAACTCATACAGATGGGGAGATCTTGAAGGGAACCAGACCTGGAGAAGGATCTATGCTTTGAGAACAACTGCAATTAAAAAAGCCTGTTGATTTTATTTAATCAGTATTCCCCAAACTTCTATGACCACGAAAATTTTAATTTTAGGGGAATGCCTATTGACATATCTCAGAACATTCCTCAAAACACAGTTTAGAAAATGATAAGCCCAGTAATAACTTCAAGACCTTAATCAATCTCTTAATGGCCAATTTATAATCAGGACCAAAATGGAATGAAATAGAATGATTAAAAAAAAAAACAACCTTTCTTATTCAATGATGCTTCCATCTGGAGGACATTAACCAAATATCTACTATGTACTAAACCCTCTTCTGGGTCCTAAGGACACAGGGTTGACAAAGTCAAATGCCCTGTCCTCAAGGAGCTGGCCACCTGCAAGGGGACCCAGAGGATCTGTAAGTAAATAGTCTTATACCGAGCAGTAGGTTTCTTGGCAGGAAGGAAGTTGCCTGGTGACTAAGCCAGAGCCTATGTTTGTCCAGACATGGTCTGGACACCTGAGGAAGGAGGAAGGCAGGAACCAGGCATGGAGAGACGTAAGATTGTAAGGGGAGGCCAGGATTTGGGGTGAGGATTTACCTGGACTGACTCTGCCATTCCCGGTCATGCCATCTTGGCCCAGGCCAGTCTTTTCATCTCTCTGAGCTTCTGTCTCATTTGCAGAATGAGGATAGTAATCATTCACACCTCACAGGGTCTCCCTTAGGATTACACAGGAGAAAGCGATGTAAAAAAATTACACCAACAGTAAAGCACTCCACCAAGAGAGATCTCATGACTGACATTTCTTCACAAAGTATATTTCAAAGAAAGCTAAACAAACTCCCCCAAACTTTCCACTCTCAGGGCTATTTTTATTTTGTGATTTTCCAAGCCTCAAAATGAAATTGAAATGTAAAAAAACCATCAGCGGCTGCTTTTTATATGGTAGTTTATAAGAGTCAGGATGAAATAGAAATCATGATAGCACAAGGCCCCTATTTTATATTCTCAGAGGGAGGCTGAGAGCTGGGAGCGCTGATGACTTTGGGGAGGGCAGCTGAAATCACTAACGCCAGCCTGGCTCTAACCAGCCTGTGCAGTTTTAAGTGGTCTAATCAGCCCTGCTTTTCACAAACACAAATAAATAAAAATTGACATTACATCGGGCAACAATATGGCATGCCCTGTGCAATTAGAACCAGCTGAGTTTATGCACCCCACGGTTTACAGAGAAGGCAGCCATGCACTGCACTCTGGGGACAGATGTCTATGTGGCTTCTTAACACACATGTTCCAGCGCAACGGTTCCCAACCCCTTGGGGGTGGGGGGTGCAGAGTTCTTTCAGATGGCTCCACAGATGCATACGTTACAACAGCCATGTCAACAGACTGGTTAAATCCTGGCTCCCATATAGACGTGGGTAATTCTCAAGTGTGCCTCCATCTCCTGGAGGCTTTTGTTCCTTAGTTATTTTCTCAATTAACAGATACTAAAAGCACCAGAACCGTGACGTGGGGGTGAAGTCTTTTACGTTAAGAAACAGTTCTCATGCTCAAAGGGGTTGTATCCCATTGTTCTAATGTGACAAAACCCCAGAATGTATTAAAATCAAGTTTGAGAATGCTGTGGCCACATGGAGAAAAGGAACCACAGGGGTCTGAGAAAGAACAGCAGACGAAACCTGCTCTGGAAGCTCCACAGCTGGACCTGCTCTTGGAATCAAAAGATTCCTCTGCTCTATGATTTCTCTCACCCGGTCACCCATTCCCTGGTTCTCCAGCCTTGCCTCCCTCCAGAGAGGGGCTGTACACTCTGCAGAGGTGAGGAGTGACCTTGCTAAAGTACAAATCTGAATGTGACATTCCCAAGCTCCAGGAACTGCCCACTGCCCTGGGCACAAAGCCCAAACTATTTTTTTTTTTTTTTTTTTTTTTGAGACGGAGTCTGGCTCTGTAGCCCAGGCTGGAGTGCAATGGCACAGTCTCGGCTCACTGCAACCTCTGCCTCCCAGGTTCAAACGATTCTCTTGCCTCAGCGTCCCGAGTAGCTGGGACTACAGGCACGTGTCACCACACCCAGCTAATTTTTGTTTTTTTTGTTTTTTGTTTTTTTAGTAGAGACGGGGTTTCACCATGTGGGCCAGGCTGGTCTCGAACTCCTGACCTCAGGTGATCCACCTGCCTCAGCCTCCCAAAGTGCTGGGATTACAGGCATGAGCCATCGTGCCTGGCCAGCCCAAACTCTTTCAAGTGCTCACAAGGCTCTAGGCAACACCCAGCCCACCCCCTCTCCTCTCTAATTTCATCTCCTGCCTCCCTCTCCCACTCCAGCCCCCCTGCTCTCTGCCTTCTTTGAATCCATCCACCCCCAGCCTGGCCTCTGCATTTACACACACGTATACCTTCAGCCCGGAACACTTTCTCCCTCCTCACCTTTGCCTGAATAACTTCAGCTCTCTGAAGTTATTATCTGAAATTATCTGAATAATTTCAGATCTTGTTTTAGAAGCCACATATTATACCTTGGAAAGGTTTGCCAGAGTTTTCGCCAAGACTGAGATTGGAAGGAGGTGCCCCTCCTGTGGCTACAGCTTCCTGTAATAGTTTCACGGGAGCATGAACTAGGGCTGATTCCCTAACCATTTCTCCATCGCCAGACCTTAAGCTTCACGAGGGCCAGGCTGAGCTCTGTTGGCTGACATATCCCTCTGGAAGGAGCTCAATATGCAGCTGCTGAGTGAATGTGTTCAGTGAGCATCTTTCCCACTGTGTGATCTGATGAGTGATGTTTTAGACAGAGGAACCTCTAGGCACTGCCCACCGCATCACCCCACATAGCCAAACACTTATCCTGAAAGCACAGATTGTTTTCGGCACAGGTACTAGTTGTTGTTGAAGAACACAGCAAAGGCCCTCAGGAAGTTCTGGCATTGGTTACAAGTGCTTAGAGAAAGACATGCTTGAATTGAGAGTAAAAACAAGAGAGAAAAGAGTTAACTCAATGGAAAAGATAGAAGAAGAAAGAGACAGGAAAGCACTCACAACTTCTTCCCCGCCCTCTCACGTCTGAACCATTTCCTGACCAGAAAACTATTTCTTAATTTTTACTTTTAATTATTTTATTATTTCTTATTTCTGTGGGTACATAGTAGGTGCATATATTTATGAGGTACATGAGATACTTCAATACAGGCATGCAATGTTTAATAATCACGTCATGGAAAAGGGGGTATCCATCCCCCCAAGTATTTATGTCTTGTGTTAAGATGCCTGGGTTCTGGTTATGACCTCCTCTCTAACTAGTTGGGGACCCTGGGCAAGTCACTTAACCTCTCTGAACTTCAGTTTCCTCATCTGTGTACTCTTTTTGTTATTTCTTTTTGTTATTTCTAAATGTTCTCTTTTTTGTTATTTATACTCTTTTTGTTATTTCTAAATGTTCAATGAAATTATTATTGACTATAGTCACCCTGTCGTACTATCAAATACTAGGTCTTATTATTCTTTCTAACTATTTTTATTTTGATACAAGTCTTTCAGGTCTGTCTTAAAGTCATAGGATGTTAAGGGCTAAAAAGGCCCAGAGAGAGCAGTAAGTTGCCCAAATTTGCCCAACTAGAGAGGGGCAGAATTCAAATGAGAACCCGGGTTTCTGATGCCAAGCTGCCTCCTCTCTGCAGAACGCCGTGGTGCTTAGGCCCACGTGCACACTTCTCTGGAGAGATCGTGCCAAGCCCCAGAAGTAGCATGTGTGCCCTTCAGCCTGAGACTGCCTTGGTAAATACATATTGCTTCCTGGCTTGCAAAGCAAATATTTACTCAAAACCCACATAGCACGGTGCATAAGTTCCTGACATCCCCAGGCAGTTTCTAACTCACTTATCATTTATTTTAAATTTGTTTTTTAGTGCATGTATTTTCTGCATTAGACTTGGAATAAACAGAGTTCAGAGTAGACGCTGGACAAACCGAAAAGTGGTTTGTACTAAAAAGCACTAGTCTCTGCCTATCACCTCTAAATTCCAATTTCTGAGAAGTCTGTGAGCAGAATCAATCAAGCTTAAATGGAGTCAGTGCTCCATTTAAAGGCAGTCTTTAAGGCAACACAACATGGTGTCCTTTGGGAAATGGGCTGAAGAATTAAGGAGTCACAAATGGCTCACATCATTTGCATAATATTGAGATTCAGGATATCTGGGTTCTGGTTATGACCTTCTCTCTAACTAGTTAGTGACCCTGGGCAAGTCACTTAACCTCTCTGAATTTCAGTTTCCTCATCTGTGTAAAGTGATTAATGATAGCTTTCTACCTAATTCACTATATATATGGACAACAGGCCAAATTGAAGGTCAAGTCCCACATCTATTGACCAAGTATTAAAGGCCTACTAGGGGCCTGGCTGTTTTATGAACTGAGCAGACGGCAGTGAAAAAAATGAAAATGAAAACCTGTCTTCATGGAGCTTGATTTTGTAGGAGACAGACAGATGGTAAATAAAAAATAAGTAGTAATGGGTCTGAAGCTAAGTTGTAAGAAGAAAAATCACCATGATAAGGGAATAGTAGTTTGTGGGGGGTGCCGTTTTATGAAGGATGGCCAGTGAGATGCTCTCTGATGAGTCCTGAAGGAGATGGAGGAAGAAAGAGTTCCCAGGCAAGAGGAGGAGTGGAAGCAGAGGCTCCAGGGGTAATGCTTAGGGTGTTCAAGTTGGGAAGACCACGGTGGCTGGTGCAGAGTGAGTGGAGAAGGATGGAGATGGAGTCAAGAAGGATGGATGGGCTGGGAGTGGTGGCTCACGCCTGTAATCCCAGCACTTGGGAGGCCGAAGCAGGCAGATCATTTGAGGTCAGGAGTTCAAGAGCAGCCTGGCCAACATGGTGGAACCCCATCTCTACTAAAACTACAAAAATCAGCCAGGTGTGCCGGCACATGCCTATAATCCCTGCTACTTGGGAGATGAAGGCAGGAGAATCTCTTGAGCTCAGGAGGTGGAGGATGCAGTGAGCCGAGATCATACCACTGTACTCCAGCCTGGGCAACAGAGCGAGACTCTGTCTCAAAAAACAGAAACAAAAAAAAAGAAGGAAGGATAGAGTTCCTAAAATGTAGTGTGCAGATGTGCACAAGCATCCCTGGATGTCCTGGGAAAGGTGATCTAGAGATCCCCCATTGTCATAAACACTGGCCTGGAGTCTTGCCTGTCCAAAGAGTTCCCTAGACCACAATAAACACCACTCCAACTTGACTCGAGAATGTGGAAGGCTCCCTGGTTGACCACGAACATATACCCATCCACATCAGCTCAGCACATATAAATTACATGGTAGAAGTTTTGTCAGACTTTTAGTCCTTCTTTAGTTTAAACTACTATGCTTTAGAATATTTCCTCTGCAGAGCTGGAGAACATTAATTTGGACATTGTTAGAAAGAGACATGAAGGAGAGGGCAGGCCAGCCACAGCTGCCTTCATTCATGAGCAGCCTTTAGTTCTTTACGTGAAGTCTGACAGAGGTTCCCAGCCTTGATCCATACCTGCCAGTACCTTGCCTGCCTGCACGGTGCTATTTCCAAGAATAAGTATGCTGGGCATGAGTCTTGATCATAACCTGAGAATGAAGCCTCACCCCCTGTGTCTCTACAAGCCTGAATGATCTCAGAATGATCATAGCCTGAGAACTCCTGCCAGGCAGGTTGGAGCCATCAGCAGGCCCACATGGGCCAGGGAAGCAAGGCAGGATCCCACGTCTGGTGGGCAGGCAGTTAAGGTGGGCACTGCAGAAGTGATGGCACATGCCTATCCAAGGCTCCACTGTGACAAGGGGAGGCCTAAGCCTGGTCCGGAGAGCGCTAAGCCAGGCTTGAGGCGAAGGGAATCAAACTTGTATATTACGTACCTACTGCTTTCTGGGCATTTGGTTAGGCTTTTTTCATGCACAATCTCATTAAATAAATCTTCACTAACCTGCAAAATAGTATCACTGTTCTATAGAAGAGGATACCGAAGCCCAGAGAGGTTGAATGAATTGCCCATGGCCACATAGCTACTAGGTGGTAACTGGGGACTTAGAACCTACTGACTCCAAAGCCTGGACTTTAAATTGCTTTGAAATGAGTTGCCTTATCATGAGATGGGACACAGTCCTGCCTGGAGCTGGGTAGTTGAGGAAATTCATCCTTCTTGTCATATCAGGAGGCTGGAGAGATGGCCACATTTTCCAGATGACTTGGGGTTTAGGCGGGGGGGTCCATGTTCCTTGAGGGCTCCATGGATCTGCCCTTTGAATGGGATGCCTGTTTCCTTTGCCATCAGAACTCTTATCCTTAAGGGCCCAGCTGCCTTCTGCAGTCTGGGCAGGACTCCTGGCACTAGGAGACCCTACTCGCTTCCCATCCACCCAACGCCTTGCTATCCAGCACTGCCTCTACTGCCCCACACCAGGCTGAGTGAGTCAGAGATGTCGGCCTCAGCCCCTGTGTCTCCACGGGCCTGAAACACTGACTTGTGTTAGAACTGCCTGCTTCTGCTTCCCTCTCCTTCTTCAGCTTGTTGGCACTCACTCTCATTCAGAGGCACCCTGGCTCATGAAATATCATCTACAAATATGGGAATCTCTGCACCAGCCGCACATTGTTGATGGCTCTGGAGTTGTTTATAAAAATATCCTTGGCATTCCCTGCCCGACGCGGTTTCGCATCATGCTGCACTTGCAGGCGAGCTTCGCCAGCCTGATAAAGAGCCCTTTATTTGACCTTTAGGAAAGTTATGACTCACATCACCAGCTTTCCTTCCCCTTCTAGAGTGTATGTTATCCATAAAAAGGGTCATTATAAAGGTGTTGGAGAAGATTAACCCTAGTCCTGGGTTTTAAACTTTATCTGTAGGACACAGTCGAATCAGTGGTACCTTGTGACCCTAGGAACTAGTTAGCTTAAATGGGGACTTGTTAGCTCAGTCAGTAACATGTCCATTCATCTTCGGACTTGCTAGTTTAGCAAGGGGCTGTATGGTTCAGGGAGGATCTGGTTAGCCAAATCATGGGCTGGTTATCTCATATTTGGATTGGAAATTGTAGTTGGTTAATGTACTTGTAGAATCATTAACTCAAACTGGTTATAGTGCTGGGCTTTTAAAGAAAAACTCTGATATTTCTTTCCCTGAGAGGAAGGCAGTATAATTCTGCCAGAGGCACTAACTACAGACTTCAGGACTAACCCCAGCTAGCAAACATACAAGTGCAAAGAGTATGAATGGATCACTGCAGTATATCAGCATCATAGGAAGACCAGCTCTAAGCATAAGCCCAACCTTTAGCTCATATCTAGGACATTAGGTCTATGTTGTCTTTGAACCTCAAGCAGGGTACCAGTAGAGAGAATAGTGAGGACCAAATGAGATCATGTTCACCTACGTACTTATTCAGTGATGTTTCTGAGTATCCACTATTGCCCAGACGTTGTGCAAGGCACTGGGCACTGAGGACACAGACAAGATGGAATTGTGCACACTGTTTGAGGATGCCTCCTAGCCTCCCTTGCAGTTAAGATTCGTCATGTGACTGAAGTTTGGCCAATAAAACATAAGCAAAAGTGATGTGCAACACCTCCAGGAGTGGCCTATAAAATCTCCTACACAATCCTCCATGTTTTCTTTCTTCCTGCTTTTGCCAACAGATGAAGAAGGTTCAGAAAAGGACTTTGAGGCCCCACAAAATGAGGGAGCCATAAAATGGATGGATCCTGGATCCTTATCACTGCATGGAGCAGAGGCTCCTGCCAACCCTACGTTGTCTGGACTTGATATGAAAAGAAATAAATTTTCATTATGGGAAGCCACTAAAACTTAGGGATTTTTTGTTGCAGCATTTAACCTGTCCTGACCAATGCACGGCCCTTCACCTTTTGGTCCCTGCACTCTCCGCAGACCTTACATTTTTCTGTTCCAAGAAAGACCATCAGAGAGTCCTTCATCTTCCTTCTGCTGCATCCTTGACTTGTCTATTTGTCTTCTCCCTTGCATTCTCCATCCCCACCATCCACCAGGATGAATCCATCCACCTGGGTCCTTGACCTCATCCTTCTATCGCTTTGTATTCTGTTGACTGTACTCTGCCTAAAAAAAATACATTCAACTTTCTTCTCTCCTTAAATACAAGATAGTCCCATTCAGTGTTTGAGTAGCTGAGATAAATCATCCTCCTTATCATCCCAGGAGTCTGGAGAGATGGAGAGATACCCAGATTCCACAGATAGATATGGGGTTCAGGCAGGGGTCCATGTCTCCCTGGAGCTCCCTTGATCTGGCCCTTTGAAGGGGATACCTATTACCTAAAATAAAGCATGTGGATAAAATTTTAAAAAAAGAAATAAAGTATGTGGAAGGTGTTTATCAATTTGAATCCTCCTAAAGCAACTGACCTATTTGCCTCTGACCCTTCGTGTCTTAGTCTGGTTGGGATTCTATAAAAAATATCATAACCAAGTAGCTTATAAACAACAAGAATTTATTTCTTACAGTTCTGGAGGCTGAAAAAGTCCAAGATCAAGGCAGATTCAGTATCTGGTAGGGGCCCAATTTTCGGCTCATAGACAGCACCTTCCACATGGCAGAAGGGGCAAAAGGTCTGTCTCAGGCTTCTTTTTTTTTTTTTTTTTTTTTTTTAAGATGGAGTTTTGCTCTTTCACCCATGCTGGAGTGAAGTGGTGCTATCTCAGCTCACTGCAACCTCTGCTTCCCCAGGTTCAAGTGATTCGCCTGCCTCAGCCTCCCGAGTAGCTGGGATTACAGGCATAAGCTACTACGCCCAGCCTCAGGCTTCTTTTATGAGGGCACTAATTTCATCCATGAGGGTTCCAACCTCATGACCCAATCACTCCCAAATGCCCCACCTCCTAATACCATCACCTTAGGGTTGGGGATGTCAACATATGAATTTGGGGGCACAGAAACAAGCACTTCACAAGTTAATTTCTGATGAATAGGTCAGAGTTACTCTTTCTGCCTTACCACTCATTGACACCTTAGCCCACAGCAATCTGGCTTCCTCTCCCACTGCTGTCATGATACTTCTCATTCAAAGATCATTAGTGATCTCTAACTGTCAGCTCCAAGGGACTGTTCGCAGGCTTTTTCCAGCTTAATCTTTCAGAAGTTCCTGACACCTGACCAGCCTCTCCTCTAACTCACCCTTGCACAATGTTTTCAGCCCTTCTCTCTCCTGGTTCTTTCTGCTGCCTCTAAATGGAGGAGTGCCCCCATATTCTGCTCTCAGCCAACTCTTTTCTCTCTAAATTTGCTTATTTGGCAAATAGGGCTATTATTGCTACAGATAATAAAAACTAGCGTCTATGGAATATGTATCTGAGACAAGTGCCAAGCATACCACATGCATTATCCTGCCTAACCCTAACAAAAACTCTGTGAGGTTAGTGGTGTCATAATCTCATTATAAAGATGAGAAAGGCTAGGCAAAAAGCAAGGTTAAGTAAGTTGTGCAATGCCACATGGCTGGCATGGGTTGGAGCTAGACAAGGCCAGTGCCTGCCCATAGCATGCCCTTTTTCAAATATGAAATCACCATTCTCGTCCACTTCCAAAAAGGGCACCCTATGGGCAGGCACCGGCTTTCCTCTGGGCAGGTGCAGCCCCATTTCAGAGTACTTGGTTTGGTAAGCACAGGGAGCATTTAGCCCCACTCATCTCCTTAACCAAGCTCCCTACTGCAAGGCACAAAGTACAAGAGTGTACAAGGCACTCATGGAGCCAGAATTCAAACCCTGGCCTCTCTAACTCCAGAGACACCGTGTCTCACCAATCCCCTATGCCCCTACCTCACAGCATGTTGTGAGGATTAAAACTAAACAGATCATGAATGTAGAGCACTTGGCTCAGAATTTGATGTGTAAGAAGTACGTGATATAAAATAGTCACTATTATTGTCATATTATTCATATCACCATTCCCATCCACTTCTAAAGCTTCAACAAACTCATTCATCAAATGTTTAATTATTGCTCATGTGCCAAGCAGTACGCCAGGTGCTGAGGTTTCAAAGATGAATAAAACACTGTCACTGCCTCATTGTATTGAAAATCTAGCAGGAAAGAAAGCCACACAAACAATGAACTGAAAAAGTGCCAAGCACAGTAACCAGAGGTGATACAAAGTGCTGTGTGAGCACAGAGAAAGCATTACACCAGTCTGGGTTAGGGACAAGGACCAAGCAGATTTTATGACGGCTTCAGAAGGGAAGGAAAATTTTAAAGGAGTCTGGATCGTTAGATGCTGGCTAGTCTAGATGACTTGGAGGGACAATCTAGAGAGAGGAAACTGCAGGAACAAAAGCAAGGCATGGCAATAGGGAAGGACATGGTTATGTGGCCTGGAGTTTGCACTTGTCAACCAGAAGTCATTGAAAGTATCTAAGCAGGGCTGGGATGCAGTCAGATCTTGGTTTTAGAAAGCCCTGGCATCTATAACAGTGTTTGCACATAGTAGGAGCTTAGTAAATGTTTAGAAAAATGGATGAATGAATGAATGGCTTGAAGGAAACCTAGCCTCCATGGTATAAGCACTGAAGACATTCACACATCAATTTTAAAGTCCTCTGGGGTTGCATAAACATGTGTGCTCACACTGTACTGTGGGAACAAACTTGTATTTACAGAATGTTAGCACTGAAAGAGTCCCTGATGAGGAACCACTCCTGTCTAACTCTACCAACCCAGAAGCTGAGGCCCAGAGAGGGAAGTGGCTTGTTGAAGTGATTCATCTCATGACCCAGTCTCAATTTTGGCTGCTGCAAGTGTGACCATCCATAAGTCTAATGGCCTTTCTAAGTTTCTGATTTGATGAGGTGCTTGCTTTAGGGATTCTGTTTTTTCTCGAACACACATCTTTCATATTTCTATCTCCATAACTTGCTTATATGCCTGGGCCCCTGCTAGAATGCCTGCATCTGTATTCTTTCCAAAGATGATTCATCCTTCAAGCCTCTTTTCCTCCAAGAAGCCTCCCCTGACTACCCTGGCATAAGCGGTCTTTACTTTCACTAGCAGCAGTTCTTGAATACTTATTGTATGCTAAGAACTGTGCTTGGCAATTTACATTCATGCATTATTTATATGTAATAAATGTAAAATGTGTTTACATTTATTACTTAATCTTTACAAGAGGCCTATTAAATGTGGGCTATTGTTATCCCCAGTTTACAGAAAAGGGAATGAAATCCCCATCAATATAAGAGCTAGTCGTGTACTACACAGTGGGTTAAATTCTTTCCATGGATTATCTAGATTATCCTCACAACAACCCCATTAAGTTGGTACTGTTACTATCATTTTCACTGAACTGACAAGAAACCTGAGTCTCAGAATGGTGAACTTATTCAGATTCTCACAGAGATTAGGTCATGCATCCAGGATCAAACCCAGCCCCACTGGCTTCCCAGTGAGGATGATGACTTGCCCAGGGTCATCCCCAAGCACAGGTGGTACCCCCTGATCTGAAAGCCCATGCTTCACCCCCTGCTCTAGACAGCCTTCCATCACCCAACTGTCCATCCAAACCACCACTCACTTGGTTCTTTTTCTTGGTGGTTTTTTGTTTTTTGTTTTTGAGGCAGAGTCTCGCTGTGTCACTCAGGCTGGAGTGCAGTAGCAGGATCTCTGCTCACTGCAACCTCTGCCTCCCAGGTTCAAGCAATTCTCCTGCCTCAGCCTCCCGAGTAGCTGGGATTGACAGGCACCCACCACCATGCCTGGCTAATTTTTGTATTTTTAGTAGAGATGGGGCTTTGCCATGTTGGCGAGGCTGGTCTCGAACTTCAGACCTCAAGCGATCCACCTGCCTCGGCCTCCCAAAGTGCTGGGACTACAGGTGTAAGTCACCATGCCTGGCCCTCATATTATTTCATTAATGAATTATTCTTTACCCTTTAGATGGTATTTATTCATTTGTGTGTTGATTCATTGACTCTGTAAATATGCTTAGAACTTATGCTAAATGCCAGCTCTTTGAAAAGGTGTTTGATGAACAAGTCAACATGGTCTCTGGTCTCACAGAGTTTGCAATATGTTGGAGTGCCTTTTAAGTGGCAATCCTCATATTATTTATCTCTTTTTTTTTTTTTTTTTTTTGAGTCAGTCTCAGTCCATCACCATATTGGCCAGGCTGGTCTTGAACTCCTGACCTCAAGTGATCCACCAACCTTGGCTTCCCAAAGTGCTGGGATTACAGGTGTGAGCCACCGCGCCAGGCCCTTTACTTGTTATTAAATAGCATGTTTGTTCCTATGTTTTTCTTCTCTAGCTGGATCACAATTTCCTTCTGAACAGAAAACGTGCCTTTGAAACCTCGGTATCCCAACACATGAGTGCTTATGCAGTATTGATTAATTGGTTGATTAATAAGATGACTCAACTACAGAATTAATTTTGCATTTTTTTTTTTAGTATGGAGGTGTTTGTATAAACCAGCAGCCCAAAGGTACATTGCAGAAATGGTGATTGCAAATCCCATTTACTTTTCATACCTTATAAAGTACAGCCCAAAATAAAAATGTCATGTGCTTAAAAGAAAAAAAAAATTGAAATTCATATCTCTCTTGAAGGATTACCTTTTTTAAACACCCCTGAGTCCCTAGAATGCCACCAAGTAGTTGCTCTATAAATACTGTTAATCAATTGGTGCATAGAGACACATTATATCTTAACAGTGAGGAATATTTTTGTTAGGTTTTTGGTCCCCTAGACTTTTATTGTAGCTTAAGTCCCATTGATTTTACACTGGACCTGATTTCTTTATGTGAATTTCCTTCCTCAATAACATAAGGGCCTACTCCCTGAGAACAGATTGTAAAGTTTTGAAATAGCTTTGTACAAGGAAAAAAAAAAAAAGCAAGCAAGCAAGAAAGAAAAGATTTTACTGCCAGACTATTTTTCCAGCTCTTACATCAGAAGTCAGATGTTGCCTGTTGGTTTCCTTCGCTAAGGACCAGCTTTAATCCATCGTGTTGTCGCCTTCTACTGGTGACAAATGGAAGGTGACTTGTTCTATAAGGCTAGGGCGTGGAAGCTTTTTGCCTTTAAAATATTCAGCTGCTTTTGTAGCTAAGAACATTTTGTTTTCAACAGTAAATCTACCAGCCGGTGGCAGGCTCGATTTACTCACCTAAATAAAAATCTTTCCCCAATTCTCAGGGCCCTCCAGGACTAATTTTACAGCAACTCTTACTTTCATTGTATCATATTCATATCCTACAATTTCACTCCATCAGAGCTTCTCCTAAGGAACTCTATTTTTCATCATTGTTTCCTCTGCACCTAGCACAGGTCTGGAGACAGAGTAGTTACACAATAAATGTTCATTGAATACATGTATGTGGAAATTAATTAAAGCATGAAAGGAAGGGAGCTCCAGAGGGAGATTTTCTTTTAATTTTTTTTTTTGTTTGAGACGAGGTCTCACTATGTTGCCCAAGCTGGTCTCAAACTCCTGAGCTCAAGCAATCCATCCGCCTTGGCCTCCCAGACAAACTGCTAGGATTACAGGCATGAACCACCGCGCCTGGCTAAGAGAGGGAGATTTTCTATATGTCTCTCAGCTGGTGGCAAGCTGCAGAAAGCCACATTTGGTTTCGTCATCAAGAAGTGCTTCAAAATTTTCATCAGCAGATTCTAAAATCAGGGTAAAAACTATTTTTTCCCTTTTCCTCTTTTTCCTGTAGCTGAGCAGAATTAAATGCCTGACATTGTTTAAATCAAGGTCATTAGGCTCTCAGACTCTCAGGCTGTGCTTTTCACTTTTTTCTTTGAGGTTCTTGGTAATTGCAGGGCAGCTGAGTTTTTTTTTTTTTTTTTCTAGAAGGCAGAATCAAAGAAACTAGTCAGCATAGCTGTGATGGACATTTGCAGGTTGTACTGTCTAGCATCAATCTTCCTTTCCATTAGGGGAACACCTGTTGTGGGTAGCTTGAAGGGACAGTGCCCTGCCTCCTTCTCCTGGTCTCCTGGCAGCCACGAACCTGGCATGTAAGCCAACATCAGCCAGTTGAATACTCTTTGACTCATGAGGGGATGGTGAAACTTGAAAGGTCATTACAGTTATTTTATAGTAGCAGTTGTGGGGGTGAAGGGCACAGACCCAGGGATAAGCTTGGCTGGAGAGTCCATGCTTCCATCAGGAGGCCATGCCCCAGACATAGCACCTTCCAGGCAGTGAAAGTTGGGGCTCCAGCATCTCCAAGCGTCTTGGCCCTCTGGAGTTGTCTTGTGTAATGGTTAATATTGTAATATTGTAATGGTTAATATTGAGTGTCAACTTGATTGGATTGAAGGATGCCGAGTACTGTTCCTAGGTGTGTCTGTGACGGTGTTGCCAAAGGAGATTAACATTTGAGTCAGTGGACTGGGAAGGTCAGACCCACCTTAATCTGGGTGGCAAAATCTAATCAGCTGCCAGCGCAGCCAGAATAAAAGCAGGCAAAAGAACATGGAAAGAGTAGACTGGTTTAGTCTTCTGGCCTACATCCTTCTCCTGCACTGAATGCTTCCTGCCCTCAAACATTGGACTCCAAGTTCTTCACCTTTGGGACTCAGACTGGTGTCCTTGCTCCTCTGCCTGCAGATGGTCTATTGTGAGACCTCACCTTGTGATTGTGTGAGTCAATACTCCTTAATAAACTCTCCTTTATATATACATCTATCCTATTAGTTCTGTCCCTCTACGGAACCCTGACTAATACACCTTGGCTCTAGCCTCTGTTCCAAACATGGTCTTCCAGACTTTCTGGAAATTTTGTGAGCCCACATTGGAAGATTTTCCAATTAATTACCCTTTTGACTCAACTAAACCAAAATCAGTTTCTGCTACTTGCATTACTTGCATCTGAAAAAAATTTAATGAATTTATAATGAGCAAAGGAAAAGAGAAGTCAAAAAAAAAGAGAAAGAGAAAAAGAATGAAAAAAGGAAGGAAGAAAGGAAGGAAGGGAGGGAGGGAGATGAAAGAGAAAGATCCTGGAGTCTTCTGGTTGGCAAATGTGTGCCTATCATATGCTCAATGTATAGTAGGCACTAAAGTTGGATCAAAGAAAAGTTCCTTTATGAAAAACATTAACATATTACAGGATGCTTGTTTGGTAGTCTCCTTACCTGATCCCCATCTCAGCTCTAGAGTTGAGTCAGATAAACTCAAATCACCTACTCAAAGCATGTGGTCCATCCAGCAGGAACCACCTGTGAACTTGGAGAAATGCTGAATCTCAAATGGTCCCCAGACTTACTGAATCGGAATCTGCACTTACACAAGGTCCCCAGTGCACATTACAGTTTGAGAAACACCGTCTGTGAGACCATAATTACGTTGCTTACTCTCTCATGTCTCAGAGTTTTCATCTGTACAATGTAAAAAATAATAAGACCTAATTCATGTATACGGTAGAAGCATATGAAATTGTAAGTATTAAACCAGTTTGACCTATTCTAACCTACTACTTGTTTTTAGGATTCAATCAAACTTTCCATAGAAAGTGCTTATCACAGTGCCTGGCACAAAGGTAAAATCGGAAAGCCTGGGATGTGGAGAAATGCCTGCACATGGGTGCCCTGCTATTGTGTGTTGGGTTACCTCTCCAGCCTTCACTGTGGCCATTCTAAAATGGGTGCTGTTGTGGATTCATTCATTTAGTGGAAAAATACAGGCTGCCTGTTGTGGCCAGGCACTGTGCTAGGGGCTGGTGATACCGCAGGGTGGCAGAGCTGCTATGCCCCCTCAGGTCTTCTCATTTTGCGGTTAACTGGCCCAACAGACTCTCAGCACCCATATGTCTTTGCTTTAAGGCCTTTCTTTTTTTAAATGGAGGAAACCTGCCATACCCATGTACAAGACAGAATAGACAAGTCTTAGAATTAACACCCCCAGGGCAGCTCTAGCTCCCCCACTCCTCAGGCAGGTAAACTCTAAGGCAGGTATTTGACATTAGCTCCCAGTGTGTCCCCAGTGGAGTTAAGCTCCAGCTTCCCAGATGGTAAGGTGATTTAAAAAATTCATTCTTCACTGGTCTCCTTCCCTACCCTGCCTCGCCTCCCTACTCCCCTACAAGAGTTGCCTGAGACCACTTCCTAAATAAACCATTTGCACTAGAATCTTAGTCTTGGAGCCTGTCTGTGAGGAAGCCCCCCTCAAGATGAGCTACATCCCTGCCCTCAGAGGCACACCCTGGCTCCAATCATTTGCTGTGCTATCAGATATTATTTTTGAATTATTTACTTAACAGCTATTAAGTGGGGCTGGGGATTTCCTATGAACAAATGTCATAAGTAAATGCTGATTTCCTATGAATAAATACTGTTTACAGAAATGACCCAATTACTACTTCTTGTTTACTGGCCAAAGCAGAATCTATGTTCAGGAAAATTTGACAATATTTCCACCCTTTCTAGAGTTCTGGTTCCCTCTTGGGTTTTCCTTGCTGACTTCCTAAAGTGGACTTCTTAAAAAGGCACTTTAAAAGGTTTTGAAAATTAGAAAGTTCCCGGCAAATAGCACGAACTATGCATTCATCCTGTGGTTTTTAGAACTTCAGCAGATTATGCATGAGTCCCACACATAAGAATTTTTGAGTTTCACAAAAACTCAGCAGAGATTAGCCTGGGCCAGCAAGTGTGTGCTTCATTCCATTCCCACTGACGGTCGCCATCTCCCTCGGTGGGAGCAGAACCAGTTTACATCTTGCCAATTTAATCCCATGATGTCTCGGTCCCCTGTGTAACTCAGCATCCTGGCTGGCCACTGCCTGGCTGTCCCTGTATTCACCTTCACCTGCCCTCTTGGTGCTATCTGGGCTGCCTTCCCTTCAGCATTAAGAGACCCTGATAGACAAGAGCTTTGGGGCTCCACAGCCAGATGCCAAGCTGAGCCTTGCACATGACTCAGACTTAGGACATGACTTCTGCAACCGCCTGCGTCCCCACCTGACCCTCAACCCTTCCCCAGACCCTGGGTGGGAGAATAAGAGTCTTGATAGAGAAATCCCCAAGACATGAGCAGCCTTGCTGGGGACTAGGAGCAAGCAGGCATGCGGGACCCCTGGACGGTTCGGGGCCTCCAGAACTTCCTGCAGAGCTTCCTCACTCCTTTTTCTCATGGCAGCTGAAGGAAGTGAGTGAAACGCTGAATCCAATTTGAACTGACAACTACTTAGAGGGCATCTCCTATATCCCTAGCGCCATATGGATCCCCATGCAGGGAGAAAGATGTTTCAGATTCATAACATGTAGTCTATGCATTTGAGGAATTCATAGGCTTCTTATTAGAGAAATGATTTAAACACATTAAATGATTAATTAACAACCTGAATCTGAGTCAGTTGCAGTACAGACCACTGGGTCAGTTTTTTGGAGATGGAAGGAGCGACACGGAGACAGAAAAAATAACTTTTATTAAACATCTACTTCCTGCCATGTATTTAACGTTCAACTGCTCATTGAATCTTCCAATCACCTTTAAGACAGATATTATCATAATTACTATTCTAATTATTATTATTATTTCCATTTAACAAATGAGGAAACTAGAGACAGAATAAAACAATTTGGTTACACAGCCATTGAAGGGGCAGAGCTGGGATTTTAAGCCAAATCTGTCAAATTCTAATTCTTGTGGATTTTTTTTTTCTCACTGCAGCCTTGACCTCCTGGGCTCAAGCGATCCTCCCACCTTAGCCTCCCCAGTAGCTAGGACCACAGGCACATGCCACCACACCCAGCTGATTTTTTTTTTTTTTTTTTTGTAAAGACAGGGTCTCACTATATTGCTCAGGTGAGTCTCAAATTCCTGAGCTCAAGGATTCCTCCCTCCCACCTCAGCCTCCCAAAGTGCCTCACACAGATGTGAGCCACCACAGCCAGCCTTGTGGTCCTAATATTACATCAAATCCAGATTTGGACTGAAATTATTTGATTTAATGTAGGGAGAGAAAATTTCAGTGCGGATGAGGAATCTGAATGGCACGTGAGAGCTGGTAATATTTGGACAGACAGAGGAGGAGGGATGCTGTTCTGAGTGTGAGAAATAATATGAAAGGCAATGTGTCATGGAAATGGATGTGTGATGTCTGGCACCTAGAATAGGACCTGGTGCAGGGAAGATTGTAGGATGGATGGATGGACAGATGGGTGGATGGGTGGATAGATGGATGAAGAAGTGGATGGAAGAAGGGATGGATGGATGGATGAATGGATGGAAGGATGGATGGTGAATGGATGAATGGATGGGGGATGGATGGATGGAGGGTGGGTGGGTAAGCGGATAGATAGATGTGTGTATAATATGATGAGTGGACCAGTGCATGGGTGAGTGGGTGGATGGTTGGATGGATGGATGGTTGGATGGACAGATGGACAAATAGATGAATGGATGGATGGATGGATGGATGAAGGAGTAGGTGAATGGATGGAGGGATGGATGTATAAATGAAGGAATGAATGATACATATATATGGCATAATGGTCACTTATAAAACATAAGTACAAAAATAGTAGTGATTTTTGGCTGGGCACGGTGGCTCACACCTGTATTCCCAGCACTTTGGGAGGCCGAGGTGGGTGGATCACCTGAGGTCAGGAGTTCAAGACCAGCCTGGGCAACATGGCGAAACCCCATCTCTACTAAAAATACAAAATTAACCGGGTGTGGTGGTGTGCACCTGCAGTCCCAGCTACTCGAGAGGCTGAGACAGGAGAATTGCTTGAACCCAGGAGGCAGAGGTTTCAGTGAGCCAAGATCATGCCACTGCACTCCAGTCTGGGTGACAGAGCAAGACTCTGTCTCAAAAAATAAAGAAAGAAAGAAGGAAAGAAAGAAAGAAAGAAAGAAAGAAAGAAAGAAAGAAAGAAAGAAAGAAAGAAAGAAAGAAAGAAAGAAAGAAAGAAAAAGTAGTGATTTTTAAAAAGTATATCAAAATCTTAACTTGAAAACCAATGTTGTCCCTCAAATGTGTCATCTCCAAGAGTCTATGGATATTTTGCCAGGAGGATTTTGAAACTTTGTTTTAAATTTGTACTTTGGGCCTGGCTGAGGCAGGAGAATCGCTTGAACCTGGGAGGCAGAGGTTGCAGTGAGCCGAGATCGCACCACTGCACTCCAGTTGGGGCGACAGAGCGAGATCTGTCTAAAATTTAAAAAAAAATTTTTTTTTTTACTTTCCCATTTTGGAGCTGTGAGATTTTGGGGAATTTTCTTAACCTCTCTGGGCCTAGGTTTCTTCATCGATATATTGGGGATAATGCTTCACAACATTCTTCGGAGGAGAACCAATGCTTGTAAAGCTCTTAACACAGTGCCTAACACTCAATAATGATAGGTAAACTTTACATATAAATAAATACTGTGGAGCAGATTAATTCGAGGCCTTTTTGTGGCCAAGAGCCTACCTAACAAGCATGACCTATCATTTGTTAAAACCATTTTCAGGGAGACAGAAGTAGTCTAGACTAAAGTGTGCTAATTAAGACTCGGAACCACCCCGATTCTAAAATCCAAAAGATAGTTCAGCAGTGCAAGGACTTCAATTCAGGGACTTTGAAGATAGAGTCATGTTGAAATCTAAATGCACCCATTGTTTACTTACACAGCAAATAAGAGTGGATTGCATCTCTCCATGTGGACCCCTCAGGCTGCAGTCATTGCAGCTAGACTGTGGCCACAGCAAGAAGAAGTCATGACAGACTTTAACCAGGGCACAGGAAGAGGCCATAGGGCAGATCCAGGCTTGCAGAGCTTATAAGAGATGGGAGATCTGGCCAGGCGTGGTGGCTGACACCTGTAATCCCAGCACTTTGGGAGGCTGAGGTGGGTGGATCACAAGGTCAGGAGTTCAAGACCAGCCTGGCCAATATGGTGAAACCCTGTCTCTACTAAAAATACAAAAATTAGCCAGGCGTGGTGGCAGGCGTCTGTAGTCCCAGCTACTTGGGAGGCTGAGGCAGGAGAATTGCCTGGACCTGAGACGCAGAAGTTGCAGTGAGCCGAGATCATGCCACTGCACTCCAGCCTGGGCAACAGAGCAAGAGTCTGTCTCAAAAAAAAAAAAAAAAGAAGAAAAGAAAGAAGTGGGAGACGGAGACCTGGCTGGGCACAGTGGCTCACACCTGTAATCCCAACACTTTGGGAGGCCAAGGCGGGCAGATCACCTGAGGTCAGGAGTTCAAGACCACCCTGACCAACATGGAGAAATCCTGTCTCTACTAAAAATACAAAAATTAGCCAGGCGTGGTGGCGCATGCCTGTTATCCCAGCTACTTGGGAGACTGAGGCAGGAGAATCACTTGAACCCGGGAGGCAGAGGTTGCAGTGAGCTGAGATTGCGCCATTGCACTCCAGCCTGGGTAACAAGAGCGAATCTCCATTTCCAAAAATAAAAAAGGGAGACCTTCACTGAGGAAAACAAGAAACAATATTATGATTGCACATTTTACCAAAGCATATAACCACATGAGCACATTGCTAGGGTGCTTCCCAGTGGGGCCTTGCATGGGGTCAGAGCAAAGGCAGGATCCTGAAGCTTAGGCTTCACTAGCCTCATGATACATCCACCTCTGGTCCTAAGAAGCAGCCCCTGCCTCGAAATAGGACTGTTTTGCCTTCAATAAACACAATCTGATCTTGCATATAGACCTACGGAACCTCAGCACCTAAATATACTGCAGAAAGTATCTATCTAGCTCACTCATTTTATATGCAGGGAGAATGAGAAGTGAAGTGTTTCGGTCAAGGTCATACAGACTGGAATAATTAGAGCCTAACAGGCAAATGAATTCCATGGGAAAGAAGGTACCTTGGAAACTTTAAGCATGTAAACCTAAATTATCCTTTTGTAAATCGATATTATCCATACAAATAAAAATCTATTTTAAAAAAGGAACAGCATAACAAAAACATATTAATCTATAGACTATACAAGCAGTTGAGAATAGCTTTTAATAATATTTTCCAAGTATATGGCAAAGAACACTTCTTAAATTGCTTTGAAACTGTCTACCACAATTGAATCATTCACGCATCCAAAAACTATTAAGCATTATCTTATCCCCTGAAAGCAGAGCCCAGGACAAAGATTTGGATGCAGGTAGTTTACTTGGGAGGTGAGCCAGAAAACAGAAAGGAGGGGGCAGGGAGAGGAAGACAGAGAAGGAGGAACAGCCAACAGGAGAGTATGAGCTAGTTACTACTATGAGCAACTACGGTTCACTTCTGCGGGAGCCCCCATGAGAAATTGTGTAGCATACACCTTGGGTAGTTCCTCTGTAAGACTGGAGGCTTTTTATCCATAAACTCCCACCTCTCATTTGTTGAAGATTATCCTAGGGGCATGAACTCTCTAGCTCTTCTGGACTGTGCCTTTTTCTTTTTGCTTTTCCTTGCCTTGCCTCTTCAAAATCCCCAAGAAAGGTTTAGGAGCCAGGCGTGGTGGCTCACACCTGTAATTCCAACACTTTGGGAGGCCAAGGCGGGAGGATCACTTGAGGTCAGGAGTTCGAGACCAGCTTGGCCATGGCGAAACCCTATCTCTACTAAAATTATAAAAATTAGCCAGGCGTGGTGGCATGCACCTGTAATCCCAGCTACTTGGGAGGCTGAGGCAGGAGAATCGCTTGAACCCAGGAGAAGGAGGTTGCAGTGAGCCGAGATCACACCACTGCACTCCAGCCTGGGCAACAGAGTGAGACTCCAGAGTGAGACTCTGTCAAGAAAAGAAAGAAAAAGAAAAAAAAAAAAAGCTTAGGGAGCAGGAAGCATAGAACCGCCTACTACAGCTGTAGCTGAAATCAGAGGTGGGCTTCGGGGCTGTGGCATGGGCCCTCAGGAATGCTTGCTGCAAATATCAACCATGTACCAGGAGTCAATGTCTGTCTAATCCTCTATTTTTAAACCAGGCTGATCCACCTGCATAGTCCAAAGAGCCATGAATATACATCTCAAAGCCACACGGCAGTCATTCAACAAATGCCTGTCAGGCACTCACCATGGCTCCGGTATTGTTTTAGAAACTGAATAGAGAATGGTGAACAAGGCAGACCTTATATCTCTCTTGAACTGTATACTCTTGTGAGGCGGAGAAAATAAATAAAGAAATGAACACACAAAAACACAGACAACTTGTTTGCTAGTAGTAGATACCACTCATGCTGACAATTGCACTGTCGGCATGTAACTGAGGAAGCAGCTGCTTCAGGATGGCTGGTCAGGGAAAACTTCTTTGAGGAGGTGGCATTTGCAGCGATCTGAAGGACATGGGGCCATCATGAGAATATTGACAGGGGGCAGGGGACGAAGGGGATTCTGCAAAAAGGAAGCAGCTAGTGCAGAGTCCGTCAAAAAGCAGCTTGAGGTGGAAGCGGTGGCTCACGCCTATAATCCCAGCACTTTGAGAGGCCAATGTGAGCAGAGCACTTGAGCTCAGGAGTTCAAGACCAGCCTGGGCAACACGGTGAAACCCCATCTCTACTGAAAATACAACAGTAGCTGAATGTGGTGGCGCACGCCTGTAATTCCAGCCACTCAGGAGGCTGAGGCATGAGAATCATTTGAACTGGGGAGGTGGAGGTTGAAGTGAGCCGAGATGGTGCCACTGCACTCCATCCTGGGTGACAGAGTGAGACCTTGTCTCAATAAAAAGAAGCTCAAAGTGTGTGAGGAACCCATGACAGGCCAGGGTAGCCAGGGCGCCAGGCGAGGAGGTTGAAAAGGTCGTCAGGGTGAGATCATGCAATGTTTATGAGCTGGGGCTAGATGTTTGGTTTTTATTCTAAGTGTGTTGTGAAGTCATTAGAAGGTTTTAAAAGGAGGGTGGTATGCTGTGGTTTTGTTTGTAAGAGTTCATTTTGGCTGCTGTGTGGAGAATGGGGGTGAGGCAGGAGTGGAAGCTGTGGATTACCCATTGCTGTAATCTGGGTGCCTTGAATTGTGTGGCACCAGCAGAGAAAAGTGGAGAGTTTCAGAGCATATTTCTGAGGTCAAGTTGATGGCACTCTCAGGCACACTGAACTGAAAGAACTGAAGGATAGCTCCTAGATTTTTGGCCTGAGCATCTGGATGCCTGGGGATTATTTGTTGAGATAGGAAAAACTACATATATTGGTCTGGGTTCTCCAGAGAAACAGAACACATACACACATACACACACACACACACACACACACACATACACACACACACACACACACACACCAGAGAGAGAGAGAGAGAGAGAGAGAGTAAGGAATTGGCTCATGTGATTATGAAGGCTGAGAAGTCTGAGATCTGCAGGTGGCAACTAGAGACTAAGGCGAGCTGATGGTAGAGTTCCAGTCCAAGTCTGAAAGCCTGAGAACCAGAAGAGCCCATGGGGTAAGTTCCAGTCCAAGTCTGAAGGTAAGAGAGGATTGATGTTGCAGCTCAAAGACAGTCAGATATATAGAGAGAATTATTTCTACTCAGCCTCTTATTCTATTCAGGCCTCGACTGAATAAAGTCCATTCACCTTAGGGAAGACAATCAACTTTCCTCAATCCACAAACACAAATGTTCATCTCACCCAGAAACACCCTCCCAGACACACCCAGAGATAATGCTTCACCAAATATTGGGGCACCTTCTGGACCAGCTAAGTTGACACATAAAATTAACCATCACACCAGGGAAAGAATAAGATGACTATGATCATGCAGGGGATCAAGATTTCTGTTTGAGCCCCATGAATTTGAGGTGCCTAAAAGACATCCAAAAAAGTGACAAATGGACAGTGGGATATAGAAGCTTCAAGTTCTGGGATGAGCCCATGGCTGGAGATCTAAATTAGGAATTTACTGATTTAGAGATGGCTTTGAAGCCACAGAACTGGATGATGCCACCTAGTTAGAGGACAGCAAGTGTCCATGGCAGAATCCTGGCACACTCCAAGATACTCCATGTATATTCATTTGCTAGGGCTGCCATAACAAAGCATGAAAAACTGGATGGCTTAGGACAACAGAAGCTTATTGTCCCACAGTTCTGGAGGCCAGAAGTATGAGATTAAGGTGTCAGCAGGGTTGGTTCCTTCCGAGGCTGTGAGGGAGAATCTGTTGCATGCCCCTCTCCTAGCTCCTGGGGGTTGGCTGGCAACCTTCGGTATTCCTTGAATTATAGATGCAGCACCTCAATCTCCACTTTCATGTCCATGTATTGTTCTTGTGTGTATGTCTGTCCCTTGTGTCCAAATCTCCCCTTTTTAGAAGGACACCAGTCATATTGGATTGGGACCACTCTGATGACCTCATTTTAACTCTACTTCTCTGAAGATTCCATTTCCAAATTAGGTCACATTCTGAGGTACTGGAGGTTAGCACTTCAAAATCTTCTTTGTGGAGGATATAATTCATCCCACAATGCCATGCTAATTCTGCTGCCTCTTCTCTCTGCTCTGGACTTACAACCATTTCATTCCATTTCTGTCCAGATCCTGACCCCACATGCTCCTGTTCAGGGTGCCCGTAGAGATATTAGGTTGGTGCAAAAGTAATTGCAGCCTTTGCAATTACTTTTAATTGCAAAAACCACAATTATGAAAAATGCAATTACTTTTGCACTAATATAATAGTTCTGCAGTTTGATCTTTGGATAATTCCAAGAACTCTGGCTCAGCCCTTGTTCTAGTGGTTTGTACTACTGGTCATTGTGGTAAGAGTTCTGTGCCCAACTCTGACTTCTGGGACCCAAAACTTAACATCAACTCACCTGGGCTTCACAAGTTCCCATGAGAAGGGCATGACACCCAAGCACCAAACATACTTAATTTGTTAGAGAATTAGCAACCTACTCAAGGTGAGAAAACACAGTCATCCATAATGAATAAGACAAAGTTTGAGTGGATGGTTTAATTGTCTCCTGAGATAATGAAGAAATAAGAAACATTTAGACAAAATGGGTAAAGCTGTTGTCTTATTCTATTTGTGTTGCTATAAAGGTATATCTGAGACTGGGTAATTTATTTTTTTTAAAGAGGTATATTTGGCTCTCAGTTCTGCAGGCTGTACAGGAAGCATGGTGTCAGCATTTGCTTCTGGTGAGGACTTCAGGCTGCTTCCACTCATGGTGGAAGATCAAGGATAGCCAGTGTGTGCAGAGATCACATGGTGAGAGGAGAAGCAAAAAGAGAAGGGAGGTGGCAGCCTCTTTTTTAGCAACCAGATTTCTCAGGAACTAACAGACTGAGAACTCACTCATCACCGTGAGAACAGCATCAGCCTGTCATGAGGGATCTGCCCCCATGACCCAAATACCTTCCATTAGGTCCCACTTCCAACACTGGGGACCGAATTTCATTGTGAGGCTTGGAGGGGTCATAGCAGCAAGACTTTAGGAAGAGTGCTGAGGGGTACAGAAGAAGGAAACCTGGATGGCGTCACAGATGTGAGTTCTCATGCTTGCTCTGCCACTAACCTTGATCATATCAAGGGTGTCCTTGGTACAATCCACTTTCTCTTTTTGATCCACTCTTGCCTCATCTTTGAAATGCAAATGCCCTCCCAGTTCTAGCCATCTATGATGATAAGGTGGCCCTGGAAGCTTCAGCCTTATGTGACAGGATTGGATGCTGGTAGAGAGGTTGAAAGCAGAGAATCTGCTGGGAGATCTGAAATGGGATGGGCCTGAAGGCGGGCAAGGGCAGTGGAAGTTGGAAGGACTCCTTATGCCCACAGGTGTCCATGTAGATGCTATAGGAAGGCACAGACAAAAAAGCAAGATTTGAGCTCTCTTCTTGAGGGGCTATCAGATCCCTTTGTTCTAGGCTGGGAAATAGGAGCATCTCTTCCTGGACACTGAACATCTTGTGGTTTCCCTGACTCACTGTCTTCTTAATTCCCAGTATTTAATAAGCTCCTCCCTCTGCCTGGAACTCTTTTTCCACTTCTCTTAACAGTTCTGGCGGTGCCAGGTAAAATCCAGGACACTCAGTTAAATTTAAATAATGGAATTATTTTTAGCATTATTTGGGACTTCCTTATGTTAAAAAAATTATTTGTTGTTTATCTGAAATTCAAGTATAACTGGGCATTCTGTATCTTTATTTGAAAAATTTGGCAACCCTATTTTATTTTATTTTATTTACTTTTAAATTTTATTTATTTATTTAATTTGAGACAGAGACTCACTTGCTCTGTTGCCCAGGGTGGAGTGCTGTGGTGCAATCTCGGCTCACTGCAACCTCCCTCTCCCGAGTTCAAGCCATTCTGCCTCAGCCTCCCGAGTAGCAGGGATTACAGGTGTGCACCACCATGCCTGGCTAATTTTTGTATTTTTAGTAGTGATGGGTTTTCGCCATGTTGGCCAGGCTGGTCTTGAACTCCTGGCCTCAAGCGACCCGTCCACCTCTTGCCTCCCAAAGTGCTGGGATTACAGGAGCGAGCCACTGTGCCTGGCCTGCAACTTTATTTTAAACTTGTCAACTCCTGCTTTTACCCTAGACCCTGCCAGGTATCACTGCCTCCATATCTTCCCTGACAGCCCTATTTCCCCTTCCCCAAGGCTGGATTAGATGCCCCTTTTCTGTGCTTCCACAGCCATCTGTATGCACCTCTTTCATTTAACTATAATTGTATTTTCTTTCCCTCACCAGACTGAGGCTCCTTAAGGGCAGAGACTATGTCCCGTTCACCACTGCATTCCCCAGCTGGTATATAAATATTTGATGAAGGGAGGAGGGAAGAAAGGCAGGCAGGCAGGCAGGCAGGCAGGCAGGCAGGCAGGCAGGCAGGCAGGCAGGCAGGCAGTTAATTTCTTTGAGAAAGGATTACCTAGAAAAAAGGGTAATCTTTGTCCAGTGAAAAAAGGGTAATCCACTGGCATCCTTGTCCAGTGACCAGCATGCCCTCCACATGATCCCAAATACAGCAGTGAACATACAGTAGCCATTCAAGAATTGCTTGTTACTTTATCCTGCCAGTTAAGATAATTAGAATGCCTAGGTCTCCATGTGAGACCATGAGTTAAAATTCTTTGCAACCAGGTCCAGGAGCAGGCCAGGTTTTGCTCTGGGGGCAAAACCAAAGAGAAGTGTCCTAAATCTCCTTAACAAGAGAGGCCTGAAGTGGTGTGTCAGCAGAGGGGGCCTCTGGAACTAAGAGAGTCAGAAAGTCAGGAAGAGAACAATGGAGGGGGGCTGCATATGAGTGCAGGGGAGCTGATCTGAATGGATACTGGAGACTACTCGCAATGGGGCATACAGGAGTTACTGGCACTACAAGAGCTAGATGAGTTGGAAGCATTAAAGGTACTACTTTATGACCAGAGTCAAGCCTTGTTCCCAGCAACACTGAAGCACCACGACACAGGGAAGGTCCATTCTTCACCTATGGTTTCTCTCTACTCCATTAGTGTTCTTGTCCTCCTCCTATCAGATCCCCTTTGTTCCCTGCTACAGCCCTGTTGTCAAGGAAGGAAACTGTCTGCTGCCCTCCTTCACATAAAGGGTAGGGCCTCGTGCAATCATTTGCCTGCTAGCTCTTAGATCCACTCGCCACCCTTCTCCTGCCCTATGCTGAGTCTCATGGGCTGTCTGGGCAAACACTTCTCAGGCTCCTTATCCACAGGATGCTGGCTGAGTTCAGCTAATCAGAGACACTGGAGGGACATGGAGAGCAAGAGCTGGGAAGGCTGGGTGCGGTGGCTCACACCTGTAATCCCATCACTTTGGGAGGCCAAGGCAGGAGGATCACTTGAGGTCAGGAGTTCGAGACCAGCCTGGCCAACATGGTGAAACCCAGTCTCTACTAAAAAACACAAAAATTAGCTGGGCGTGGTGGCACACACCTGCAGTCCCAGCCACCTGGGAGGCTGAGGCAGGAGAATCATTTGAACCGGGGAGGCGGAGGTTGCAGTGAGCTGAGATCGTGCTGGGGAGAAGGGGTAGTAGGTGTGGCAGATGGTGGGGGTACTGGATCTGACCCAGAATGATAAGATAACCAGAAAGATAAGAACTCAGTTCTGAGGCAGCAGGTATAAAATAAAGGTGAAAACAATAGTTTACAGAGCTAACTCTTCTTAGTGAGGAATTACCAAAAACCTAGAAGTGGGCCAGTGCCCTAGTAAAATATGGCATTCTATTCTTTATGCCATGTTTTGTTTAGTTGTGATTCTGGGGCTGTTTGGGCAAAAGAGAAACTGGTCCTTCCTTTCTAATTTAGTTTTCCAAATGTACAGCACTTGTGTTGATGTCACTCAAAAATTGGGCGGCTTAATGATGCTTGTCTCCTGAGTGAGATAACCAGTCTACTGAGCTTAGTTTGGTTATACTCTAGTCTAGAGCCCAGTGTCTCTGACACGCAAATCACCTGGGAATTTAATGGGTCCGGGGTGCGACCTGAGATTCTGTATTCCTAGCAAGCTCCCAGGTGATGCTGCCGTGCTGATCTGAGCACAGTACTTGAAGTAGCAAGGCTATAGTGCAGACATGGGGCTTTCTAGGTGTGCCTTGAAAACATAAGTGGACGAAATAATATGGGGAAACAGTGGATAGGACTATGTTCATTGGGCGTCTTTACTTTGAGGACCTCTTAAGACTTGTTGCCTGCTCACATGTCTTGTGACTCCAGGAGGAACAATTACATGTAGTGGTTCCCAAATTTATTTAACCACAGGATCTTTGTTCCCATGTATCTGTATCTCAAAGACTAGGATTTTTTAAAAGTAACCTCCGGAAATGTTTTTCTGAGAACCCAACCCTTATGCCTTGCTCTCACCCCAAGACTGCAGGGAAAATGTTTAACAATGGGAAAAAGCAGGATACTGTGTTCTTGGCTTCAGAGCTGGACTCTTCCTCCAGGCGAAGACTTAAGTTAGAGAGATTAACAGCTCCGAAAACTACAGGGTGTGTATACCATAGCGGTTGGAGTAACACAAACCTAGGTTTGAATCCTTGCTTCACAACTTACTATGTGACCTTGAATCAATCATCTTCTCTGAACATTGATTTCCTAATCCATAAAATGGGGATACTAGTATATATCTTGTAGAATTATGGTGAGAAATAAATAAGCTGAATGCATGTAGAGGACTCAGTGTGTTGCCTAATACATAGGAAATGCCCGGTGGAGGCTCTAATTATTACGATGATGCAAAAATGTCACAACATCTCATATGCACCCCATTTTTTACTCCCGTTTTGTATTTCAGGAGAGAGGGAGAAGGGGATGGGGAGAGAAAGAGAGAAAGTGCATTCTGGCTTGGAAGGGAACTTATGCTTTGAAGCTGACAAGTATAATTTGTCTTGAGACTGCCAAGCTCTTGGGTTGAGCCTTCATATTGGAAAAAAGAGACAGGCGAGATTAATCTGGGGCCTTCATTACTTACTCCATCTGGCCTGGCTTGGCACAGCCCCTTCCCTCTACAAACTGATTACTCCTTCAAAAGCTTCAGCAGAGTGGTCCCTAATGGGTTCCGACGTGGCAGGAATGGGGCTCACACAGCACAGAGATAAGGGCCCAGCAGCAGGGCCAAAACGCTTCCAGTGCTACAGCCCAGATGCTCCACCACAAAAGAAAGCAACGAACTGAAAGGGAGCCAAGGCCCCTGGGCCAGGGTGAACCTCAGGATTCCCAGGAGCACCTGGCTCCCCACAGTGGGGAGCAGCAGGAGCCGGGCTGACATGGACCGGACTGGTAACGTGGATTATTTGACTGGGGCGAGTTCCAATGACCATGGGCGCTTTTTAATCTGGCTTTACAGTCACACTGGGGATAGGAAGGTGCTCCAGGGAAGAGAAGAAGGTTGTTGTTTTTAGACATTTGCTAGTGAAATCCTGCTGCGGAGGCTTTCTCACATTCCCTCCCCCAGCTCCTTCAGCAGCGCAGTGTGGGAGGGGGAGAGGGAAGGGAACCGATGTTTACTAAGCACCCACTATGCTCCAGGCACAGTGCCAGGTGCACAGTGCCAGGCACTGTTTGATTAATCATTCAGCACAAGCCTGAGAAATAGGTATTACTATTCTTTTTATTGAGAAAAGGTAAGGGCTTTGTCCTAAGTCACACGGTAAGTGACAGAGCCAGGATCTGAACAGGATGGTCTACCTGTGGGTCCGTGTTGGTGGTTGTGCTAGTCTGCACTCACAGCAAGTAGCAGCTGTGGGATTTGAGAGAAAGTATGAATAGGGAGAATCTTCCAAAGCACCAGGAGGTAGCAACTCTGTGGCCTGGGTCTTCTCTCCTAAGAGATTGTAAAATTTAAAAGCTGCAAAGGAGCCTTTGAGCCACTCTTGGAAAGAGAGTTCTTGAACAGAACACCAAACCAGATCCATCATTCGAGTTGGGGAGGAGGGTTGTTTATCTTGGATTGGGGGACTGCCAGTCTCTGGAACAAAGGCTCTGCTTCTCAGCTGCTTTGAACACACAGCTCCTTTAAAAACCTGGCCCTGGGACTTGGCGTCCACGGCTTGAGAGGTCAAGGTCCAGCTCGATAGCTTCCAGGGTCTCAGGGAAGTCAGTGTGGGAGCCTTGATGAGTCAGAGACTGCACAACACTGCCATCTCCTGGGAGCAAGGTCCACTCTGGCCTGGTCAGACAGAATCCCAGCTCAAAATACCTGACTAAATCATGCATGAGGCTCTCTACCACCCCAGGGAACCTTCTGTGGTCACGTTATGAATCAGGATTGCCTGTGTTTGTGTATTAGATTACAAAGCCTGTGGAGATCGAAGGCATGGGTTTCCAAGTCAAACATTCAATCGTTCATTTTTTTTTCATTTGACAAATGTTTACTGAGCACCTATTTTGTGCCAAGCACTGTGCTAGGCACTGAGTACATAAGGATGATCAACATAAATGGTCGTGGCCAGGCGTGGTCTCTCATGCTGCTAATCCCAGCACTTTGGGAGACTGAGGCAGGAGGATCACTTGAGCCCAGGAGTTCAAGACCAGCCTGAGAAACATAGTGAGACCCTATCTCTACAAAAAATAAAACTAGCCAGATGTGGTAGTGCACACCTGCAGTCCCAGCTACTCAGGAGGCTGAGGCAGGAGGATTGCTTGAGCCCAGGAGGTGGAGGTTGCAGTGAGTCATGATTGTACCACTGAACTCCAGCCTGAACAACAGAATGAGACTGTCTCAAAAGAAATAAAAATTTTAAAAAGACAAATGGTCCTTAACTTCATGAAGCGTATAGTCCAGTGGTGAAGATGGACTGTAAATAAGGAATTATCTCGTGAACAAAGAATGTATTCGTTACTACTGCAATGAGTGCTGAGAAGGAAAAGCATTGGTGCTGCAGGAGTTTATATTGGAGAGGAGGATTGTAGGGGGACCCTGGCCTAGTCAGGCAGTCAGGGAAGCCTTTTCTAAAGACATGACCTACATGCAGACAGCTGAAGGATGTATAGGAATTAGCTAAGAACAACATGTGAGGAGGCCATGAGATAAGAAGGAGCCTGGCCTGCTTGAAGAACTAAAAGAACGCCGGGCACGGTGGCTCACGCCTGTAATCCCAGCACTTTGGGAGGCCGAGGCGGGTGGATCACGAGGTCAGAAGTTCAAGACCAGCCTGGCCAAGATGGTGAAACCCTGTCTCTACTAAAAATACAAAAATTATCTGGACATGATGGCGGGCACCTGTAATCCCAGCTACTTGGGAGGCTGAGGCAGAGAATTGCTTGAACCCGGGAGGCAGAGGTTGCAGTGAGCTGAGATCACGCCACTGCACTCCAGCCTGGGTGACAGAGTGAGACTCCATCTAAAAAAAAAAAACAAAACAAAACTAAAAGAAGTTCTCCATTGATGGATCCCTGGGAGGAGGAAAACAGTAGTGTGAGGTGAGGAGATCACACAGGGCCTTGACTTCGAGCGTCAAGTGAAGGATGTGGCTCCACACTGGTCAAGTCTCTTTTTGTTACATGGAACTCATTTAAGTAAAAAGGCAATGTGCTGGTTCCTGTAGTTGAAGTTCCAGATATGGCTGAATCCAAGAGCCCAGGGTTTTCGTGGCGGGGCACAGTGGCTCACACCTGTAATCCCAGTGATATAGGAGTTAAGAAGAAATTATTTAGGCAGATAGTGAGGGTAAGGAAGTTCTCGGCAAGGTTTTCCTTTTAACGAAAAGCAGCCCCCAAATCATTTTCTTTTCTAACAAAGAGCAGCTTGTAAAATTGAGCTGCAGACATAGATAAGCAAGCTGGAAGACTGCAAGGGTGAATACCGGCAGTTGTGCCAATGGGAAAAGGCTACCTGGGACTAGGCATGTTCAAACTGTAGCCTTCATGTTCCCTTTTTGCCAGCCATGTTTACAGTAAGAAGCAGACAACATGGCGCCGGCCAAGTGGAAAGGCCATTTGCATAATAAGATGAGGATGGGGTGGCCAGCCTTCCCCCTTGCTATGTAAACGTCACGCCTGGACCAACTAATCTGTGAGCCTTACATAAATCAGATACCACCTCCTCAAGCCGGTCTATAAAATCTGGTGCACTCTGCCACAGGCCGGAATTCCCATTTGGGCCCCATCTCTCTCACAAGCCAGAGAGCTGTTCTCCTTTCTCTTGCCTATTAAACCTCCACTCCTAAACTCACTCCTTGCGTGTGTCCGTGTCCTTAATTGTCTTGGCACGAGACAATGAACCTCAGCTATTTACCCCAGACAACAACGATGGTTCACCAGCACTTTGGGGAGCCAAGGCGGGCAGATCACCTGAGGTCAGGAGTTCAAGACCAGCCTGGCAAACAAGGTGAACTCTCGTCTCTACTAAAAAAAAAAAAAAAAAAAAAAAAACAAAATTAGGTGGGTGTGGTGGCACACGCCTATAATCCTAGCTACTATGGAGGCTGAGGCAGGAGAATCGCTTGAACCCGGGAGGCGGAGATGACAGTAAGCCAAGATCACACCATTGCACTCCAGCCTGGGCGACAAAAGCAAAATTCTGCCTCAAAAAAAAAAAAAGATTTTATTTTCCAGCCAGATGTGGTGGCATGCGCCTGTGGTCCCAAGTACTCAGGAGTCTGAGGCAGGAAGATCACTTGAGCCCAGGAGTTTGAGGCTGCAGTGGGCTATGATGGTGCCTGGGTGACAAAGTGAGACCCCATCTTCTAAAAAAAAGGAAAAAATTTAAAAAGACTTTCTTTTCCACTAATTTATTATCTCTGCTTGTTTCTGAATTTATTAGTTTACCTCATTCTCTCCTGCACTGACAGGATCTGTCAATCTGGTAGGAAAAAAGAGTCACTGATACTCATCAGGCCTATATCCTTGTAACCTATGATTCAAAAAGAAGGTTATCCCTTTACCTTCCATTTGGAAAAAACATAATGGAAAGGCTCTGATTGGTCCATCTTGGTTCACATGCCTACTCACTGGCCCAATCACTATGTCCACAGGGATGTGGTCCAATGATTAGTCTACCCTGGGCCAAGTTCCTGCCCCTGTAGCAGGAATGGGGGTGGAAGGGAAAGGAAGGAAGGCACTGTGACTGACAGCCCTGGGGCCACATGGAATCTGAGAGGAGTTTCGCCCCAGGAACAGAGTGCTGATTATAGAAGAGAAATGAGGAAGATTGTGGGATATCCAAAAACACTGACAAAACAATATTATAATGAACAAAAAGCTATAAGAAACTATTGAAAAGTTGCAAGTGAAAAACGAGAAAAAATTTTTTTTATTGTTTTTTAAGATGACACTGGCTATTGTGAGGGTGGAATGGAGGGGCATGAGTGGAAGCAAAAGGACTTCAGATTCTGGGCACACTGAAACACCTCCCAGCTATCTATGAGTTACCCGGAAATACTCCATACACCACAGCAAAGGCCCTTGTAAATGCACAATAAAATTTGCAAGAAAGTATGAGAAATCCTCATGTGCCAAAGATAAGGTGGAAACAGGAAAACAAGGTTGAGTGAGAAGCTAAAGCTGTAGCTCCCTTAGAAAGTTCTTAGGTAAGTAGGGTGCGGTGGCTCACACCTGTAATCCCAGCACTTTGGGAAGCCGAGGTGGCCGGATCACCTGAGGTCAGGAGTTCAAGACCAGCCTGACCAACTTGGAGAAACCCCTGTCTCTACTAAAAATATGAAAATTAGCCAGGTGTGGTGGTGCATGCCCATAATCCCAGGTACTTGGGAGGCTGAGGCAAGAGAATCACTTGAACCCGGGAGGCAGAGGCTGCAGTGAGCCAAGATCACGCCATTGCACTCCAGCCTGGGCAACAAGAGTGAAACTCGGTCTCAAAAAAAAAAAAAAGAAAAGAAAAGAAAGTTCTTAGGTAACCAAGAGATTTGGATTTTAAGTCACATGGGGGAACAAGACAAGGTCTTGGGCCTAAATGAGATGGGTATTAGATCTGACATCCTTTCTCTCCACTACCCAAACCCCACCTAGAGCTGAGCACCTCAGCAAATGATGAAATGATGGACCGGGGGGAAAATGTACCCATCACCATGGAGAGATCATTTGTGTCTTGGCCTGGGCTCTGGGTAGAACAAAGCCATCTCTTTTGGGACTTTCTAAACATGAATATGTTCATGGGTTTGGGGTTAAACTTCATTCCACTTGCATGGTCCTATAATCCCTAAGCTGATAAATTAGCTTTAAAAAGGGTTCCAGGCTAGCTATACCCTTGAGGCATCTGTGAGAAACACACAACTTCTCCGGAGAAAGACCCTCCGCCTAGGATGCACAAGCACCCACAGAAAATGCTCTCTGAGCGCATGCCCACAATTCCAAGCTGGTGTCTTTAGCCAGTCCTTCACTTTTAGCTGGCCGCCAGCCATCTGGGCATTCCTGGCCCCCTCCCAGCCTGTTTCCGACCCTCCTAGTTTCTGTCCTCATCATTCCTCTTCCTGCCTGTGGCCTGAATTTAGCCAGCCAGAGACCTCATATTTGTCTCACTGTCTGGCTCAGACCTCCTGCCTCCCTCTTAACCTAGTTTGGGGTCCCCTTTGGTTATGAGGCTTTGGCTGCCCCCACTAACAATATTTCTCCACCACTTAGGCCCAGCCTGGCCTTGGGATTCTACATCCTGGTATAACCCCACATCCAGGAATGACCTCACATCCAGGCATGACCCCACATGGATGATGGTCCTCTCTGTTTGCCCTGGCTCGGCTTACTAGACCCAGAGGGAACAGACAAATTAGAAGCATGTTCTGGGTTGGTCTTCATTACAGTCTGTGGCGACTTACAGAGGTGACGCGGCCGAGCACAGCCTGAGCTTCTCCTGACACCAGAACCCCTTCAAGTCAGGCAAGTGTTAGGCCGCCGGTGTGGGAAGCCACTCCTGACCTCCACCCACCTGAATCAAGGAGTGCATTCTCTGACCATGTTCCAGGAACCCGAATTCCTTCTCGCACCATGGCCGGTGGCGGTGAGGCTGGCAACACTGAATGCTGGCACTGAGTTCTGAGGTGGAAATCAAATAACTATCTGACTTAGAAAAACAGATCCAACACAGCAGTCTTTGTAAGAAAAGAAAGGCCCTGAGTGGGCCAGAAACACTGGGCTGGCAGCTCCGCCCTGCCCTGCAGTCAGGAGGAAGCAGCTGCTTGCCTACCTGAGAGATTAAGGCAGGGCCTTGACAGCCACTGCCAGGGCAGGATTCTCTGCCTGGACCCTGACAGGCCAGGTGAAGCCAGGCACCTTTCCCCGGCAGGCCCTGGGGGCATTGAAGGAGGGCGGCAACGAACCCTAAGAGTTCACATCTGGGGGTGTGCTTTGCTAATGGCAGAGATAGAAAGGTTGGCTCGGGCCCTGGGCTGCGTGCCCTGAACAGATGCCTTCATCCCTCTATTCCCACAGCTCTCAATGCACAGAGACCTCTATCCCAAGGCCTGATGCAGGGAATTCCCATTATTGGTTTAATTACCTTTCTTCTTGCCTAATCTGTGGCTCTGATGTAGCAGTGTCTGGCACATTGTAGGGGCTCAATAAATAGCTATGAATGCATCATAGACTTCCATTTTCTTACTGTAGATAGAGGAGATGAAACCCTGTCTCTAAAAGACATTCATTTGCATACAGTTTAGCAGTGCCAGGGACAAGGGTTCAAAATCTGGCTCCGCCACTCACTAGCTGGGACTTGCAGCAAGTTATTGAACCTTTCTGTGTTTCCCATCTGTAAAATGGGGATATTATAGTCCTCATCTCATAAAGGTATAGTGAGGTCACCTTTGCAAAGCACTTAGTTTAGGGGCATTTGCCTTGTGTTAAAATAAGAGCTCCACAGACACAAAAGACCATGTATCACACAGTTCCAATGAGACGAAATGCTTAGAATAGGAAAATCCTGTTGGGATACTGTATTTTCCAAAAGTGGCTACACTAGCCCCCATCTCACGTACTGTTCTGCAATATGAACTTGCCACGCTTCCATCAAGAGGTAGAGGGTAATTCCCCTCCCCTTGAATCTGGGCGGGCTGAGTGAGTTGATGGTAATCAGTTGGATATGGCTGAAGTGATGCTGCATGACTTCCAAAGGAAAGAAAGGAAAATACAGCAGCCACTGGACCCTCTTGGCATACTTGCTCTTGGGATACTCTCTTGGAAGCCAGCACCAAGCTGTGAGAAACCCAAACAACAAGGAGAGGTCATGTGCAGGTGTGAGATTTGACAATCCCAGCTGACCCAAGACATTGAGTCATACTAGACACGAGTGAAGAAGCCTCCAGATGACTCTAGTACTAGCTATTTGAATCATTCCCAGCTGTTTCAGTGTTTACAGGTGCTATGGTCTGAATGTGTGTCCCCCTGAATTTCATATGTTGAAATCCTGGCCTAGCGTGGTGGTTCATGCCTATAGTCCCAGCACTTTGGGAGGCCAAGGCAGGTGGATCACCTGAGGTCAGGAGTTCGAGACCAGCCTGGCCAACATGGTGAAACTCCATCTCTACTAAAAATACAAAAATTAGCCAGGTGTGGTGGCACACGCCTGTAATCCCAGCTACTCAGGAGGCTGAGGCAGGAGAACTGCTTGAACTTGGGAGGCAGAGGTTGCAGTGAGCCAAGATCGTGCCACTGCACTCCAACCTGGGTAACAAGAGCAAAACTCCATCTCAAAAAAAACAAAAGAAAAAAGAAATCCTAAGCCCCAAGGTGGTGGTATTAGGACCTGGAGCCTATTGGGAGGTGATAAGGTTATGAAGGCAGACCCTTCATGAATGGGACGAGTGCTCTTATAAAAGAGGCCCAAGAAAGACCCCTCACACCTTCCACCATGTCAGGACACAGCAAGACAGCACTACCAAAGCCAGAGAATGGGTCCTCACAAGACCAAATCTGCCTTGATCTCACATTTCCCAGTTCCATAACTGTGAGAAATAAATTTCTGTTGTGTCAGTTACCTAGTTTTTGATGTTTTGTTATAGCAGACAGGCAGGCTAAGATAGGAAATTGGTACTGAGAAGTGGGGGTGCTACTGTAACAATTACCTGAGATATGGCAGTGGCTTTGGAACTGCGTAATCAACAGAAACTGAAAGAATTCTGAGTTGCATGCTAGAAAATACTTACATTGCCATGTATTAACTACAAAAGGCAATTCTGGTAAGGGCTTAGAAAAGGAGGAGAGCTGGGCCAGGACAGTGGCTCATGCCTATAATCCCAGCACTTTGGGAGGCCGAGGCAGGTGGATCACCTGAGGTTGGGAGTTCGAGACCAGCCTGACCAACGTGGAGAAACCCTGTCTCTACTAAAAATACAAAATTAACCGGGTGTGGTGGCACATGCCTATAATCCCAGCTACTCAGAAGGCTGAGGCAGAAGAATCACTTGAACCTGGGAGGCAGAGGTTGTAGTGAGCCAAGATCGCATCATTGCACTCCAGCCTGGGCAACAAGAGCAAAACTCCTCTCTCTCTCTTAAAAAAAAAAAGAGTAGAGCTGTAGAGAGAGCTTCAGTCTTCTTAAGGAATAGCTATATGGATGTGAGCAGAACATTGGTAGAAATGAAACTGCCTCCACAAAATTATAACTGAGACAGTGAAAGAGATCTAACCTAACCAACTCTTATCTTGCTTCTAACCTTTAAGCTGTCCTTGTTCCTTCCTGGGCATAGGCTGAACTAACTTTGGGAGGAACTTAGTTTATAGTTACAATTTTAAACAAAGATGACAACAGCCCTTTCCCAAAACAAACCTCCTTGCCTGGGGACTAGACTGCCTTTGTAGGACTAACAAATTAGCCACAAGATTAGAAATCATGTTAAGGAGTCATGCAGTTGGAGGATACAAGATTCTGACCTTCCCTAAACTGCTCCTAAGATCAGTGCTTGAGATATATTGCAGACCCTCCACTTGATGGATCAGCTGGCACCACCCAGATCGATAAACTGGCTTATCTGATCTTGTGGCCCCCACCCAGGAGCTGACTCAGCGCAAGAGGAGAGCCTCAGTTCCCTATGATTTCATCTCTTACTTGACCAATCAGCACTCCTGGCTCACTGGCTTCTCCCACTCACCAAGTTGTCCTTAAAAATTCTGATCCCCAAATGCTTGGGGAGACTGATTTGAGTAATAATAAAACTCTGATCTCCCACACAGAGAGCTCTGTAAGAAATTACTCTTTCTCTATTGCAATTCCTCTGTCTTGAGAAATTGGCTCTGTCTAGGCAGTGGCAAACTGAACCCATTGGGCAGTTACAGAAACATGGACAGTGAAGACCATTCTAATAAGATTTCAGATAGAAATGAAGAACATGTTATGGGACAGTGGAGGAAAGACCATGCTTCTTATAAAGTGGCAAGGAAGTTGGCTGAATTATGTTCATATTCTAGTGTTTTGTAGAAGGTCATGCTTGTGAGCAATGAAATTGGATATTTGACTGAAGAAATTCCAAGCAATGTATAAAATGTGCTGTTTGGCTTCTCTTGAGTGCTTATAGTGAAATGTGCGAAGACAGAAACGATTTAAAGTTAATGAAACTGTTAACCAAAAGGGAACCAGAGCCTAAAAATTTCGAAAATTCTCAGCCTATCCATATTAGAAAAAATCAGAAAGCTTGTTTGAGAGAGAACATGAAGGGTGTGGCCAAGTTTGATAAGGAAGTTAGTTCAGAGGGGCCATCTCAATCAAAGCTAGAAGCTATTCATCCAGACAATGGGGAGATTAGACTCCCGTCTAAACAGAAGCCAGGACCTATTGTGCAAGACAATGGAATAACCCCGAAGGCATTTTGGAGATCATCAAGGCTGCCCCCTCACTTCACAGGTCCAGACTGCAAGGGACTGGGGGAACAGAACAATTTCAAGGCTCTGCTCTTTGCCAAGCTCTTTGGCTGCCCCAAGTTCAGCTCTAGTGAATTCAAGTGCATAGTGGTACTCTGTAGCTGCTCCTCCTCCAGAGGGCACAGAGAGTAAACTTTGGGAGTGTCCACAAGATGCCACCTTCACCAGCACATAGAGTATACAAGCCAAGGAGGCATTATTCCCTCCATCAAGATTTCAAAGGATGGAACTACCCAGAGCCTCAGGTGTGTGACCCAGGCAGAGGGCTGCCAAGAGGGCTGGGCCACTGCAGAGTCCCTACTAGGTCAATGTCTAGTAGAGCTGCTGTCAGACCAGTAGAACCGCCTATATGTGATTCCAGCCTGGGAGAACTGTAGGCACTTGACTAAAACCCACGAGAGCTGTAGCATGGGCTGTACCCAGCAAAGCCACGGAAGTAGGGCCATCTGGAGCCTGAGGTCCCAATCCCTGCCCCAGCATGTCCAGCAGGTTGGATGGCAAACCAAAGATTATTCTCAGTCTTAAGATTTAACATTGTTGGCCAGGTTAGGTTTCAGACCTGGGTCCTGAGACCTGTTACCCCTCTTCTTTCCTGTATCTCCCTTTTACAATGGGAATGTCTATACTATGCCTATCCTACCACTGTATTTTGAAAACACATAACATGTTTGATTTCATAGGTTTACAGCTGGAGAGTAAATTTGCCCCAGGATGAGTTGCACCTTAAGCCTCACCCATATCTGATTTAGCTGATATTTAGAAAAGACTCTGGACTTCAGACTTTTGAGTTGATGACAGAATAAATTAAGACTTTTGAGGCTAATGGGTTGGAATGAGTATATTATGCATGTAAGAAGAACATGAAATTTGGGGACCCAGGACCAAAGCCTACGGTCTGAATGTTTGTGTCCTCCCAAGATTCATGTTGAAATCTAAATCCCCAAGGTGATGGCAGTGGGTGATGGGCCTCTGGAAGGTGATTAGGTCATGAGGGTGGGGCCCTCATGAAGGAGATTAGTGTCTTTATAAAAGAGGCCTGAGAGAGACCTGTTGCCCCGTCCACCATGGGAGGACACAGCAAGAAGGCACCATGTATGAGCTAGAAAGTGGGCCCCTACCAGACACTGAATCTGCTGGTGCCTTGATCTTGGACTTCCCAGCCTTCAGCACTGTAAGAAATTTCTATTGTTTACAAAACCACCAGCTTACAGTATTTTGTTATAGCAGCCCAAACAGACAAAGATACCAGATAAGGCCTCAGACATTGTGGAGCAGAGACAAGCTTGTATCTCCACTGTGCCCTGACTGGCTTCTTGACCCGCAGAGTCTGTGAGCATCATAAAATCATGCAAAAGTTTAATACCATTAGATTTTGGGGTACTTTGTTATACAGCAAAGGTTGAACAGAAAAAAAAAAAAATCCAAACATCCAAGGGTGATTGGAGGTGGCTGGTCTGCTTTCTCCTTCATCATTAGTGGGACTCTGCACAAATCACATAAACTCTCACAACTTCCATTGCTTTATCTGGGATAATAATAGCACTCCTACCATCATGTAAAAATGAAGTCAGAAACCAATGAAGATGAAGCTTTTATGAAATGACACCGTCATGAGAAGCAAAGAGATTGCTACTCGTAACTAGCCTTTCTGTTAATTGGAGAGCTGCACTCAATAAGACATGCTTTCTGGAAAATAGTTATTAACCCACACCCACAATGACAACTTACTGGATGGAGGTGGAGCTTTCATATTTGGTGAAAACCAAACCAAAGCCCTCCACGGTTTCCATAGGACGATCAGACAGACATGAGACATGCTCCCGCCAGTGACCTCACTTGTTTTGGATAATGACACACTTGTGGGAATGCTTCTTGTTCTGATAATGGGAACTGAGAAGAGCCTCTCAGACTTCCAGAAATAGATGCTCAGAGGAGGATCCCCATGCCAGCATGACGCCCAGTGCCAGGGTACCCACTTTACCCATCATGGGTTCCTTTCCGTGAATCTGCTCAGAGGGGGGCTTTGGGGATTGAGGCTGGTTTTATTGATTCTGTTCCTTAAAGCACTCATTTCTGTATTCAGTAGAACTCTTCCCCAACTATACCTCCCAATTAATTTTGTAGCAGTGGGAGATAAAATGTGTTTTATCATTTAAATTAAACATTTTCTTCAAAGTGACCATGACACATAACTCCCATCTATTGCCAGTACCCTCCTGCCCGCCTCTCCTGGGTGCTTTCTCACTTGCAGCCTCTAACACTTTTTGAAAGAGTTCTTGGTTAACCAGTGACTAGCATGGAAGTTGCTCAAATCACTTGTCACCTGTAAAATTGAGACAATCCTGCCTTATAGGTCAGGGAGATTCCAGCATAATGAAACATTCTGCCGTGCAACTAGTAGATTTCATTCACTCATTCTGAAAATATTTAATGGGGCTTTTGCTATGTGCCAGACACAGGCCTAGATCCTGGGTAAACACTGGTGAAAAAGGCAGTCTCTGCCATGTAGGAGTTCCCAGGGCAGTAGAAGAAATGGAAAGTAAACAGGTTATGAACATAGAATGGGATAAGCGCCTCGAAGGGGGAAATAGAGGTGATAGGAACACCAGAAAAAGCTCCCAAACCAGACACTGGAGGCTCAGAAAGCACTTCTTGGAGGAAACGATGTTTAAATTGAGACCTGAGGAACAAGTAGGAGTTGGGAGAATATGGCGGATGGTGGAATGGAGGGGAAAGGTGGAGAATGTAGTGGAGGGTGGGATGGAGGGTAAAGGTGATTCAGGTGGAAAGAAGAGCAGCTTCCAAGGCCTGGGGGCAGGAGGGAGGTGCCATGGTTCCCCAAGACTGAAGCTTGGAATGTAAGGCTGTGAGTAGGGGGAGAGGAGCGGGAAGTGACAGGCAGGTGAGTCACACGGACCTGGAGGCTACACAAAGGCCTCTGCACTTCAACATTTGAAAGAGTACTTAGCTGGTGGTGTGGAGAATGGATCAGAAGGGGCAAGTGGGAAGGCCAGAAGGCCATGGGGTGCCCCCGCCAAAGCCCACAGGCCATGCAGTGAGTCCTGCATGAAGGCTGTTATACTCATATCCAACCCCCTCTGCTGGGGGGGTTCAGAACGCAGAAACACAAGGGGGGCACCTCTTACTCATGGTAATATGTTTTCTGGAGAATTCTTATAAGCAAGGCCAGCTTCTAATGAGTCAACAAGAAACGTTGAAGAAAGCAGCATGGCAGAGGAGGCAGAGGGACCCTGTCCTCAAGCCTGGCCTTGAAGGGCCAAGGAGATGACACTCCCCAGAACCACAGTGAGCTTGGCCTCTGCTTTCACTCCCTATGAGGCAGAGCCCAGCCACTGGAAGCCTGGCCACTGTGTAGGCCTGGGGCACATCGCTGAACAGGAAACTGCTTCTCTGAGAGAATAGCTGAATGTCAAGAGGGAGAGAAAAAGTGAAATTTCAGAATTGGGCCCCAAACAGTTCCAACCCAATTTTCTCACTGTAATTCTCACCACACCCCAAAGAAAACAAGCCTGACTCACAGACCACATCAACGCTGGAAGGCGGGGAAGCCTGGCTGGGTGCTGCTGCCCGCCTCTCAGGACTCCTCTCCCGCACTCCCTGGGGCACACACACTGCGGCATCTCTTTGGAAGCCCTGGAGAGACACAGTGATCCTTACTACCCACACCCACCTCCACTGCCCCATGGCTCCAGCCACCTCCTTCTTCCTCCCCTGAGCTTTTAACTTCCAAGCTGTTGCCAAGTGGAGGCAGGAAAAGCAGTTGAAATACGATCAGGGAGGAGGAAATTTTTGAAGCCATTCCAGGGGCCACAGAACTGGGAGTATCCGCAGCTGATTCAAGAGATGAGGAGGCAGAAAAGGGTCAGGAAACATGAACGATACTTAGGGTCAGAATTCCAGTTCCATCACACGGTAGCTGAGAACCTGGGGCAAATTAATGAGCTTCTGTTGAGCTTCAGTTGCCTCAACTGGAAAGCGAGAAGAATGATGTCTTGCTTCGAGGGTTACTGGAAAGCATCTAGCCCAACATCTGAGATAGAATAGGTGCTTGGAGAATATGTAGGTTTTACCTACACAACTCATAACATTTATCCCATACAGTTTCTACTTGTGCTAGATTCGATTCCCCTGGCAAGTCTTACAGGCAGCTTGATGGCATGGGCTCTGTGTTATACAGCTCTTCCTCCCAAGCACCTCACACTTAATGTGGATCAATACATATTTCCGGGCTGACTGATACATCCAGATATCCAGATCTCTGCAGGAGCTAATATAATGCCAAAATAACAGATTCTTTGGCATCCAGAGCACACAGTATCCCCCTTTAATGCGTAAAGCACAGGGGCATTTGCACACCTTTCTTCCACGTTAGGTGTAGCCTAGAAGTAGACAGTCCGTAGAAGAAATCTGAAGTGGTTTGAACCCTGTAGGGCTGGAGCTGCACTGTCTGGGAGCATCTACCACTCCCCAGCAGTGTGATCTTGGTTGAGTAACTGAACCTCATCTGTAAAATGGGAATATTCAGAGTACCTACCTCAGAGTTGTCAGGAAGATTTAAAGAATATATGGAAAGCGCTCAGAAAGAATATATGGAAAGTGCCTGGCAAGGGGTTAACGTTCCAGACAAACTCATCACCACCACCACCATCATTGTCATCATTGTCAAAGCATAGTTTTGTTTGCTGAGCTGGCAACAATGGAAATCTTACCCCAGATAAAGATCCTGCCACCTGTATCAGGGAGTCCATACTGAGTAGGGGAGGGGTACAGAGCTGGGCTGACTTTTTAGAATAGCCCATATGGCAAGGTGACTTTGTGAAAGTACCTTGGAAATGTAAAATGTGTTACAAATATTAGTGTTACAGTTTTTGTTTTTCCTGTATATACAGTACTTTAAAATCTAAAAATGGTATCATAAACATAATTCTAGTTTTCACTTATTTAACAATGTACCATGCACTAGATACTGTGCTCACTGCTTTACACAAATGTACTCACTTAAGGTACTCAACAATTCATAAAGGTAGAACTACTTTCATCCCCACTTTAAGGATAGGGTAATGATATTCAAAAGTCACTCAGGGTCTCAAGTGGGATTCAAACTTGGGTCTGTTGGCTCTCAAGTCTACGCTTATTTAACTATAATATACTCATGGATGGAATATAAGTGTTCTGAGCTGAATAAGATGCCAGTGGGCTCAGATTTTTGGCCAAATGTCAGTAACCCTGCTCTCAGATTCTGAGGGTTCTGCCTCCATCCCTTCAATAAGCGTCAAGGCATCTCCGCACTGCAGAGCACGTACCAGTGCTTTGCTATTTAAGCACTAGGAAGAGGAAAATCACTCTTCCTTTCCCTTGTTCCAAGTTAACCATGTCAAGCTTGATTTGTCTACCTTGGAAGAATCCAGAGCTCAGTTGACCCTGCTAAGATTTTAAATTACAATTCTCTTAAAATTTATGTTACTTTTTAGAATATTCAGGACAATAAAAAAAATTACAGTTCTTGAGTCTAAGGATTTGCAACCTAGCCTAGAGACCATTTCATTTTCTGACTAGGACATGAAAACAAAATACAATACTCCCCTCCTTCTAAAAAAAAAATTGTTTTTCTTTCTAAAATCAAAAAAGTACTTTGCAGTTAAGAAAAAAAGACGACAAGCAATTGTAGCTTATTTTCCTTTATTATCCCAAAATATCTGTGTGAATGGGACAATGTCGCAAAACAAGGCAGAAATCTGTAGCCAAGTACGTCTCACTCAGAGGAAAGAACTGATTGGACAGAAGGCACTAGAAATTGCATTTTGTTGGGTTACATGTAAACAGGAAATGGGGGGAAAGATTCACAAAAGAGAAAGGAACTTGCACCATCATTTCATTGCCACATCCTAAGGATGAAGAATGGCCTCACTCACTGCTGATGCTCCACCTATAGCTTACATTGTAGTGTAAACTGTACCTGATGGCTAAGGAGACAAATACCCACGCAGCAGCAATGCAGGAGGGCATGAAAAGGAATTGAGATTGATCTAAGCCCGCAGGTCCTCTTTCCCTCACAGCTCCCAAGGGCATCTTGTTTGGCAGTGCCTTGTAAATGCACTGCTCGTCAACTGGTTAGTGAAAAAGTCAAATCCTAAAATGCTTGGTGAATACATTTTGTTTCTGTCATGCTCTTCAATCAGATGACTTGGATGGGTCCGGGGGTGGAGGGACGTACCACATCAGGCCTGTCTTCTTAGGTGATGACAGTGGGTGCAGTGCGTCCCGTCCTCTCCTGCAGCTGGGACACTTTCAGAGCAATGGAAATAAGGGGGGCCAACATGACCTGAGGAAGACATAGAGAGAAGCTTTTCCATCACTTCCTCTAAACACAGATGCTTAGCTCCAAACCCGTACGTCTGACTGCCTACTTCCAGGTCTCCAAGGCTCCTCAAACTCCACAAATCCAAAAACAAACACATGTTATTTCCCCCAATACCTAGTTCCAGCAGTTTCTATTTCAGTGGATCAACACTACAGTCTTTCATGTAAAGTGAACAACTAGGAGTTGCTCCTGACATCTTCCTCTGCATTTTCCCCATGCCCAGTCCATGAGCAGGCCTCAATGACTTTTCCCCGCTAAATCTCTCTCCATGGCCCCCTTTTCTCTCCACTCTCCTGCTGTTAAGTCTTGCTAAGTCAATGTCCTGTCTCTTACCTGGAGCAGTGAGTGCCTCCACATCCACTTGTGCATCTTCCAATTTCTTTCCCACACTGTTCCCAATGGGACTGATGTGGTTTGGCTCTGTGTCCCCACTCAAATCTCATCTTGTAGCTCCCATAATTCCCAAGTGTTGTGGGAGGGACCCGGTGGGAGATGATTGAATCATGGGGGTGGGTCTTTTCTGTGCTGTTCTCATGATAGTGAATGGGTCTCATGAGATCTAATGGTTTTAAAAACAGGAGTTTCCCTGCACAATTTCTCTCTTTTGCCTGCTGCCATTCATGTAAGACATGACTTGCTCTTTCTTGCCTTCCACCATGATTGTGAGGCTTCCCCAGCCACGTGAAGTGTAAGTCCAATTAAACCTCTTTCTTTTGTAAATTGCCCAGTCTCAGGTATGTCTTTATCAGCAGTGTGAAAACAGACTAATACAGGAATCTTTTTTTTTTTTTTTTGAGATGGAGTTTCACTCTTGTTGCCCAGGCTGGAGTGCAATGCTGCGATCTTGGCTCACCACAATCTCTGGCTCCCAGGTTCAAGCAATTCTCCTGCCTCAGCCTCTCTAGTGACTGGGATTACAGGCATGCGCCACCACGCCCGGCTAATTTTGTATTTTTAGTAGAGATGGGGTTTCTCCATGTTGGTCAGGCTGGTCTTGAACTCCCGACCTCAGGTGATCTGCCTGCCTTGGCCTCCCAAAGTGTTGGGATTACAGGCGTGAGCCACCGCACCCGGCCTAATACAGGAATCTTTAAAAATGCAACAACCCCTCCCCACATCTACTTCTCGCTTAAAGAAAAAAAAAAAAAAGAGAGAATTCTGTTGCTTAATAAATGCTTTCAATATTAAAAAAAAAAAAAAACTACTAATCTGGTTGAACTGCCCATTTTACAGATGAGAAAACTGATACCCAAAGAGATGAAGTGATTTGACTAAATGACTCAATAGCAGAGCCAGGAGTAGTACATTTTCTACTGCTGAATGCTACTTTTTCTTATCTAAATCTCCACCGATCCATTATACCTGGAAAAGGAGAATCAACTCCACCTGCTGAAACTACCACATTTCCCCTTAGGGCTTGGGCAGTCCCCACAAAGTGCTGATGGCCTAGCAGCTGCAGAATAAGGAAAGGCAGCTCCCCGGCTAGATGGTGATACACCTGGGCATTGTGGGAACCTCACACCATCCACTGCCATTCCACCTGCTGAGGACTATGGTTCAGAGGAAACAAATTTCATTCACTCTTTGAATCTACCACGTGCCAGGCATTTATCTTGATGATCAAAAGACAAACACAATTTCCTTCTTCCTTTTCTCTTGTGCTATTAAGTGTCTATAATGCAGACCCCATTGCCTTTGGTTGAAGTTTTAGGGATGCCTACAACACAACAAGGTACTGGTGATGACTGAAACTGGGGCCTGGCCACTGGAAAAAATGTAAAAGTGAAGCATTCTCTCATCTCCCACTTTCTGTAATAAAAGCAACTATACTACTCATGTGAGGTACCTACAATGGTCAAATTCACAGACACAGGAAGGAGAAAGGTGGTACCAGGGATTGTGAAAAGGGAGAAGCAGGGAGGTGCTGTTCAATGGGTACAGAGTTTTAGTTTTGGGGGAAAAAAGTTTTAGAGATACGTTGGACAACAATATGAATATGTACAACATTACTAAACTATATACTTAAAAATGGTTATAATAGCATTATGTTACACTTAAAGTTAGACTAAAAAAACTAAGAGTGCTGCTTATTCTGAAAAGTTAATCCTATATGCCAGCCACAGTGTTTAAACATTTTACATTTATTATCTCCTTAAACCCCGGTAACAACTAGATGAAGTAGGTATTACTCTGCCATTTGACAGACAAGGAAACCAAGATTCATAAAATTGTAACAACTTACCCAGGGACACACAGTTATTAAGTGGCAGGAATAGAATTTAAAACAAGATCTCTTTAACTTTGCTCAAAACCACTATGCCAGGGGTTTCCAAATGAGTTTCACAGGATTTTAATTAGGTGTTAAAAGAAAAAAGCCTTTGTGGAAAAATAAGCATGGCAAATGCTATTTATTTTATTTTACTTTCAATTTTTTAATAAAAATTGTTTATGTTTAAGGTATATAATATGATGTCTTGATATACAAATACATAGTGAACTGATTACTAGAGTCAAGCCAACTAACATTATCAATCTTGTCACCTACTTACCTTTTTTGTTGTGGTGGTGATAGTGAGAACAATTAAGATCTATTCTCCTAGTACATTTCAAGTGTTATTCATTATAGCCATCATGTTGTACATTCCATCTCTAGAACTGCTACATCCTACATAACTGAAATTTTGTACCCTTTGGACCAATATCTCTCCATTTTCCCCATTCACTACCCCCTAGTAAGCCCCTTTCTGCTCTGTTTCTATGAGATTCACTTTTTTTAGATCCCACATACAAGTGAAATCATGCAGTATTTGCCTTTCTGTGTCTGGCTTATTTCACTTAGCATAATGTCCTCCAGGTTCATCCATGTTATTGCAAATGGCAAGATTGGCAAGATTTTGGTTTTTGTTGTTTTAAGGCAGAATAATTTTCCATTGTGGTATACACACACACACACACACACACACACACACACACACCACAATGTCTTCATTCATCTGTAGATGGGCACTTAGGCTGGTTCCATATCTTGACTATTGTGAATAATATTGAATGAACAAGAGAGAACAGATATCTCTTTGACATATTTATTTCAGTTCCTCTGAATATATACCCAGAAGAGGGATTACTGGATCGTATATTAGTACTAAAATATTTTTAACTTTTTGAGGAACCTCCATATTTTGGTTATTCCAAAATAGCTATACCAATTTATATTCCCACCAATAGTGTCTGATGGTTCCCTTTTCTCCACATCCTTCCCAACACTTGTTATCTTTTGTCTTTTTGAGAACAGCCATCCTAACAGGTGTGAGGTGACAGCTCATTGTGGTTTTGATTTTCATTTCCCTGATGATTAGTGATGTGGACCACCTTTTCATACGCCTGTTGGCCATTTGTATGTTTTCTTTGGAGAAATGTCCTTCAGCAAATGCTATGTAAACAGGCACCTTTACTGCAAGTCTTCTCAGCACCCTCTTTTTTTCTTTCCTTTTCTTTTTTTAGAGATGGGGTCTTGCTATGTCACCAGGCTGAAGCGCAGTGGGTATTCACAGGTGCAATCCCACTACTCATCGGCATGGGAGTTTTGACCTGCTCTGTTTCCAACTTGGGCCGGTTCACCCCTCCTTATGCAACCTGGTGGTTCCCCTCTCGGGAGGTACCATATTGATGCCAAACTTAGTGCAGACACCCGACAGGCATAGCACACTATAGCCCAGAACTCCTACGCTCAAGTGATCTTCCTGCCTCAGCTTCCTGAGTAGCTGGGACCACAGGTGCAGGCCACCATGTCCGAAATCTTGGAGCCTTTATGGTGCATTGCATTGTATGCTGTGAATCACCAAGAAGGGGCTAATATACCACAACACTTCCCCAACTTTTTTTTAAGCTATGGAGCTCTGGTTGAGATAAGGATTGTGAAAAACACTTAAAGAAACTGTCCTGTCCTTCACTGCTTCCCCTTGGCTCCTCCATTTTTGGGGGTTGTCCTTCAAGTTCACTGTCCCACCCTTTGCTCCCAGAGTCCCTCCTTACTCTGATATACTTCTGAAGACTTTTGGGGGAATGGCTGAGGAACCCAGCTTACCAAGCTGCAGGTCTGCAGACTGTTCTGTGAAGACACATGAAACTGCCTCTCCCTGCCCCCACCAAATCTAAGACCCAGTGGTGTGTTCTGCCCAAGCAGGTGATCAGACCAAACAAAGCAACAAAATGCTGCAGACAGAGCAGAACACCAGATGAGGGGCTGATTTAAAGACCAATTATCCTGGGTTGGGTGCAGTGGCTCACACATATAATCCCAGCACTTTGGGAGGCTGAGGTAGGAGGATTACTTGAGGCTAGGAATTCAAGACCAGCCTAGGCAATGTACTAAGACCTCCTCCCTACAAAAAGAAAAAAAAAAAAAAGGAAATGAGCAGAGCATGGTGGCACGTGCCTGTAATCCGAGCTACTCAGGTAGCTGAGGTAGGAGGATTGCTTGAGCCCAGAAGGTGGATGTTGCAGTGAGCTGAGATTGTGCCATTGCACTCCAGCCTGGGCAACAGAGTGAGACCCTGTCTCAAAAAAAAAAAAAAAAAAAGAGAGATTCATTATCCTTACTAGGCATGTAAACCTATTAACTGTTGCTTAACTTTTCTGTGCCTCAGTTTCCTTATCTGTAGCAGGGAGAATAACAGTCTAAGTTATTTGAGAATTAAATGAGTATATTTTCATAATGGGCTTACAACACAGCCTGGCAAACCATAAATGCTCAGAAAATTTTTTATTTTTAATTAATTAATTAATTAATTTTTGATATAAGGTCTCACTCTTGCTCAGGCTGAAGTGCAGTGGTGTGATCTTGGCTCACTGCAGGCTTGACCTCCTGGGCTCAGGTGATCCTCCCACCTCAGCCTCCCTATTTTTATTATTATAATTATTATCTATAATGTTGACATGGAGAAAGAAACATGGAAGAAAGTAAGCACAGCTGGTACCTTGTTGAGTCATTTGAGAAATGGGCATTGAAACACAGGCTCAATGGGAAACTATCATTCCCTTGAACAGAAAGAACTAACCAGGGCACAGGGCTGGGCGTTACCTGGGGGTCCTGGTTAATCTTGGCAACGTCCTTCTCATAGCTATCGATGTACAGCCGAATGGTGGCCCCGGCACTCCCAGTGCCGCTCAGTCGGAAGACGATTCGAGAACCATCTGTGAAAATGAGGCGCAAGCCCTGGAAAAGATAAGCAGAGATTTTTTTCCCCAAATGCTGGGAGACTGAAGGCTGGCAAATTATGAGGGGTCTATTTGGGGATGTAATTTCATCCATACTTGTTCATTGGAGGGTTAAATCCTTGATAAATGGCAGCAGCTGCACCTTGTGAGCCTGCCTTCCGTCACCCTCTCTGCATCCAGCTGATGGGGGCTTAGCTACGGTGGGAGAAGCATTTCCAGGGTCAGGGGAGACCTGACCTCAGTGATGCTGGGTGATGTGAGGGCTTCCCTCCTCTCCCCACTTCCCTGTGATTTATGGACTAACCATTCCAGTTTGAAGCTTAATAATGAAGCACATAAAGCTGCTAGATGCAAAAATTCAGCCCCCAGATCAAGAGGGAAACATGGACCAAAGGGGCTGAAACCAGAGCTGAAGAGGTTTCAGGCAGATGAGGGGAAGGACTCTTACAAACCACTAGCAAAGGTCCTCAAAAGAGAACAGGAAGTCAGAGGTCCCAAATGGCAGAGACTGGCTATTCCCAACCTAACAAGCAGGAGCCAGTGGCCAATCTCCTGCCAATCCCTGATGGACCCAAAGCGAGGTCCGTGTGAAGTGCCAAGCCCATCCTTCTCTCTGCTGCCCTCTCTTTTTCCTCCCCAGCGGTATCTCTGGACATCAATTATCTTCTCACTTGGGGAAAAATGTGTGGGAACTCTGGGGTAGATATTTCCCAACCTGAGGGAAGAAGGCTGGGACAGAAGTTGCCTGAGGACTCTTCAGTCTTTATGAGTCTATCCATCCTCTGTAAAAAGGAGAACCTTGCATAACACCAAAGACTGACCAAAAAGATGCTGCTCTTCACCTGCTGTTCGTCACCAATCCCCATCTGGTGTTTAATGGTGCCATTCATTAGCACTGATTAGTGAAGACAGTAGATGAAATACACAGAGGATATGCCACAGTTAGTCACTATGGGAAGGATACGGTCCATTTTCACTGACCATTTCTTGCTTTCTAGGAACACACCAGGGTTGGTCTCCTTTCTTCACAGCTTCAACTTGAAGCCTCTAAAATTCTTTTCACTAGATTGCAGATGTTCTATCTATATATGTTGGATCATATTTTTCCCTCCTATCTGGTCTCACATCAAAATGCTTGGATTTTCTGATTACAGAAAGTGGGGCAGCTGCTTTCTTTACAGCACAGAGGGCAGCTCTCGAGCTTAGGCCACTGTCTCCTATACACACCTTTACACCTCTTCTCCCTCCTGGCAGATGCCAGAGGCACTGCAGAGCTGGGATTTACTTTTCCTTGACTTCCCTTCTGTCTCTGAAGGCTTAATGACACAAACTTCTGTCCCACTCTGCCATCCCTCAGCTCCACTCCTTTTCTACACCCCTTTCTTCCTCAACCACAGGTCTCTCTTCTAATTATCTCAGGCATAATTTACAATCATCCAAACTGGACCCCAAGTTCTCACAAATGGCAAACAGGCACAAGGATGAGAAACCACTTGTGCTAGAAGTTGAGGAGGGGAGACTCCAGGCACTGAGGGTTGCTGTGGCCCATCCATCCATTCACTGCCTGCTCCCCAGAGGGAAGCCTCCAGTAAATCCCACGGCCCGGCCCTTCCAAACCCTATGAGATGCCTTGACAAGGACCAGGCCAAAAATCTGGGTCAATTGGAAAAAAGTAAACTGGGAGGTTGTAACAGAATCTTCATCCTGCTCTTTATTCTATTATGAATTGTGAGAGATGAGTTTACTCTGTGACAACAGGCAACAGAAGCAGAGGTGAGAGAACCCTGGTGCGTAAGTGTTCATGAGAAGCCAGGAGAAAGCCTGACCCAGCCTGCAGCCTAGGGTACCCGGCACACAGTAAGGGAAGCACTAACAATTCTGTCCACATCTAGAGATGCTCCAGGTCCTAAACTGTGGCGTCTTGCCAGGTACTGCTGTGTTAGGTGGGGTGCCACTCATGTGCTGCGAATGACGATGGTCAACGTTTCTAAGTCTGGGAATGCCTCATCTATTTTTCTCTCCTTTAGAAATTAGAACATACGAGAGAAACGTATAAGTATAATGCCACTTACATGCTGTCACTCTGCTATAATCTGCTGACAGAAAAGAGAGGAGTTGACATCTAAGTTCCCACAGTTCTCCCTCTTTCTTAGATTCTGGGGCTCCTTTCTGCATGTACAATGGACACATCATCTTGCATATCATTCCAGAGAGTGCAAAAATCCCTCTGGAGTCCAGGTTAAGAATCCCAGAATGAGGGTACTGGACAGTGCACAGAACAAGGGCATAAACCACTGTCCCAACGAGTGCATGTGAGAGTCACGTGGGACAGCAGAAAACCAGGTAAGAACAGCTACCCTAGAAAAACACAGCAGCAAAAGAAAAATAGCCAACAGGAACTTTTTAATTTTTCCCTTGAGATGTCAGAGATGAAGCTCTGAGGTCTCTCTCTCACTTACACACCGGTCTGTTTCTACCTGATTTCTTGAAATGCTTCCATCCACTGGGTCGCTGTATTCAAAGTTATCGGCCTTCTCCACAGTGTAAACTTTGTCATTTGCTGAGAACTGCTTCCCCACAAAGGAGCGATCAAACATCAGGGCCTCCAAGTCCTTCATCATTTTGTTTGCGCCCTCAGCTTCCACCTCCTCGTAATCATACCTGGAAGAAGTCACGAAGTTGAGGCCCACGGGCTGACTGCAGATCACACCAAGGCCTATCAGTCAGCACTTTCTTCATCATTTGTTTGGCCCTCCCGCAAAACTATCTAACTTCAGAAGAAGCTGGCAAAAAAAATACAGGCCTGTCAGTCACTGGGGATGGAACAGGCCAGGGATGAAAGGAAGGGTTTGGAGGATTTCAGGGAAGGGTTATGAGCTTCTGAATAAGCAGAAAACACCCATCTTGGCATTTCTACAGAATAAAGCTCTAAGATGTTTCAAAGGCTTTTGAAAGATGCTATCTAACATTTAGTCACCACATCCTGAGGAGGTAAAATGAAAAGCAATGTTATCTCTGGAGAACTCTCTTGAAAGGAGCACGTGACTCAGGCACTTCTCCTCCAAGCTCCCTGGGCTTCTCTGGGGTGAATGCTGGGCCTGCTCCCAGCCTGAGACCTGCCTGAGGCTGCTGAGATTTTGACTAAGCAGAGTTCCAGCTCCACAGGAGCTTCCTAAAGCAGGGCCAAGTTTTCACCGACCAGATGAAGACGCCAAACACTGACTCTTTACATCTAAAATGCCTTTTTTTTTTTCATTAATTTTAGTAAGTTTCAAGATACATGTGCAGAACGTGCAGGTTTGTTATATAGGTAAATGTGCCATGGTGATTTGCCGCACCTATCAACCCATCACCTAGGAATTAAGCCCCAAATGCATTAGCTGTTTATCCTGATGCTCTCCCAATTTTTTTTTTTAAATTTTGTTTTATTTTAAGTTCTGCCTCCCTCCTTTCAGTGGCAGTGGATTTTGGTCCAAGGTCCTTTGGGTTCACCCTGACAGAAGAGGCCCAGTGCGGATGAAAAAGGGCCAAGGAAAAAAGTGCATCACAAATGAAATTCTATAAAGATGAGTTTTCCTTCAAGAATTCTTTTTGACTTCTTTCTTATGATGTTAAAGACTTGTACAGGTGGCTTTTCTTGACCTAGTGGCATACACCCTCTTGAGAGAGTTATTTTTTAGAAGCTCAAGATAGCAGAGTCTATATTTATTTGTAATCGTGAAATAGATATCATATATGCAAGATGACACCTCTGAGACATGAGAAATGCTGAGGAATTAAGGCCAGCCTATTCTGGCTCCAGGATTCTATGAATCAAGGGCCAAACAGTCCCCTTAATCTTAAAGTCAGCTCTTTCCCCTAGTTAACATGATAAACAACAAGAAATTACAACCAGGTGTTTGTGCTTTACATTTTTGACCTCTGGGTACTCCAGAGAAATGTTTTCTAAACCCTAGGCACAGAGGGGTGGAATAGAAGAGTCTGGGTTTTGCAATCAGACAGATGAGCTATGAATCCAGCCTCTATTGGCTATTAATTGTGTGACTACAGGGCCAGCTGCCCTATCTCTCAGAATCTCAGCTACCTTATCAATAACTGTTTTGAGGCTAAAGTGAGACAATGCATGCAAAAGTGCCTAGCGCTTTTGTTCAGTAAGTGGAAGGTATAATGGAGTTTTAACTAATCATAAATGCAGGTACTAAGGATTTGATTTGTAATACTTGGTTAGCAATTATATTTGATAATTAATAAAATCATGTTAAAATAGTTTTTATATGGAGGATTGTGACTAATTCAAGGGTGTGACCCTTTCTCTGAACAACCCCTCCTAACCTTATTCTACTCTGGCTATTGTTCACCTGTTAACTCATTCATTTATCGGTTCAAAACGTATTTATGCAGTCTCTACTATGAGTTGGGTGCTTAGGGCACAAAAACAGACATGGCCTTGTTTTTATGATACTCTAGGTTCTAGACAGTTCATGACTGCTGTTCTGAATGACCAGGTTTTTCTGTCTGTTATAAAGTAGGGATTTTTTTGCCTTGGTTCCCAGGGCTACTGTGTGGTGTCAGGTAGTTATTACTTATTCCTTCCACAAAACAGTAACGTGAGAGAGAAAGAGATCAATGAATCCGTCCAAAGTTAATAAAATAATTCTGATTAAGGAGCTTAATTTACTTAGTTGAATTCTTTCTTGACTATCCAGAGATCACGGACTATAAAATCTGGGATATATTTTTTAAATTCTCTAGTCTAACTCACCCATTTTATAGAACAGGCAACTGAGGTCCAGAGAAATTACACCTATTCATTTCTTATACATAAACAATTCATCTAATATCCTTTTTACCATATTTTCTCTCTATAATTGGAATACTGAGGTCCAGAAAAATTCTTGTTAGATTTTTACACTAACTGGGGGAAAGGCAAATTGGAATTAGTGAAAAGTACTACTGTCAAAAATTTTTTAATGCTTTTTAAAAATAGAAGTACGCATGATAAGGAATAATTACTAAGTATTCTAAGTATTTTGTTCACTGCTGAATTCCAAGTACCCGATGGAAATCGGGTATACAGTAAATATCTGTTGAATAAATTAAAAAAATTATTGACAAGTATATAGCCCTTGGGGACCTATTTCACAAGGCAGAAAAGTCGATGTGGACTAAGCATAACTGTTTCTATAATTTATGAAAAAAAGTTTCTAGGCTTTCAGTGCCCCAAAGTTAACAAAACATTTTCAGACTCATTATTCATTTAATCCTCTCAACAGCTGGACTGTTATTCCCATTTCTACAGATGACAAAACTGAGTACAGAGAAAAGCTAAATGGCTCCCCAATCTAGTAAGGGGAAGAAATAAAATTCTAATCCATTTCTCTGAATCCAAATCCAATGTTATGATCATGTCCACCCAATGGACACATTTAAAATGCTTATAAAGCATTTATTCTTTTGATTATGTTAGCTAAACTTTTAAAGCCTCACTCTTTATGGCTGACATAAAAATTGACTTCATTTCATCCCTGACCAGATTATTTTTAAAGTCTCCAATTGAGAGAGGCTGGATGACCTAGGGTTTTATTAGCACTTAAGACAGGAGAGGCTGTGGATGCGCAAGAATTCTCTCTGCCCACTTCCCCACCTTACCTTGTACCCCAGCTGGGCTGTGGCTCACCTGGTGAAGAAATTCCGGCCATACTTTTGCCAATGATCTTTGAGAATGTCCTCCACACTCTGCTTGCGGGTGGCTAGGATGGAGAGCCAGGCAAGGACAGCCCACAGTCCATCTTTCTCACGGATGTGGTCAGAACCTGGAGGGGGGACAGCAAGCTGCTGTAAGAAACGTGCTTTCTCCCAGTACCTGAGAAGGTACTTGATATGGTTTGGCTCTGCATCCCCACCCAAATCTCATGTTGAGGGAGGGACGTGATGGGAAGTGATTGGATCATGGGGGACAAAGTTCCCCCTTGCTGTTCTGGTGATAGTAAGTGAGTTCTCATGAGATCTGGTTGTTTAAAAGTATATAGCACTTCCCCCTTCACTCTCTCTCTCCTGCAGCCATGTGAAGAAGGTGCCGGCTGCCTCTTCATTGTTCTGCCATGATTGTACATTTCCTGAGGCCTCCCAGCCATGGTTCCTGTACAGCCTGCAGAACTGTGAGTCAATTAAACCTCTTTTCTTCATAAATTACCCAGTCTCAGGTAGTTCTTTATAGCAGTGTGAGAACAGACTAATACAGTACTCAACAGTAGGTGTGCAGACCCAAATAAAAGAGTCACACTGCCTGACTGAGGACTTGGGTATACAGGAGGAATCACATATTAAGTAGGCAACATGATACTGAAAAGAAATTGATGCTTCCCAAAGTGATTTAGAAATGTAAGGCATAAGTCAATAAAAATGTCAGTGAGATAATTAGGTGGAATTTGATATATCAGTTATAAAGTATTAATGTGAAGAGAAAACACAATAGATCTTAAATGAACAAACAGCAGAAGAACATGACCATTACAAAATTTCAATAATTCAAATAGTCTGGTAGCTTAATAGAACAAGAGTGCATCTGGAAAGAGATCCAAGCACACAAGAGGCTTGAGTATGACAAAGGTCTCACTGCAAGGCTGTGGGAAAAGAGTAGATTACTTTTTAAATGGCGTTTGGATAACTGGATAAATAGCTTTAAAAAATTGTTTTCTTCCCTATAAAACACCATAACAAAAATAATTCCAGTTGAACTAAAAATTCGAATGTAAAACCTGAAAGCTTTTAAATACTAGTATATATTATATTAATATACATGTCTTTTTATATATTTATATATATAAATCTTAGGGGTGATAAATAATGTAAATTCGGTATTCATAAAAGAAAACACTGATGTATTTATCTACTTAAAAATCAGCATTTCTATAGTGTAAAACTACTATGGACAAAATTAAAAGCCCATTGACAAACTTTAAAAAATTAAAGAGATCTGGTTGTTTAAAAGTGGATAGCACTTAAGGTAGATGTTTAATACTATATATATATATATATATATATATATATATATATATATATATATATATGTAAAATTTTATTTTTTGAGACGGAGTTTCGCTCTTTCGCCCAGGCTGGAGTAAAGTGGCATGATCTTGGCTCACTGCAACCTCTGCCCCCCAGGCTCAAGCGATTCTCCTGTCTCAGCCTCCCGAGTAGCTGGGATTATAGGTGCCCGCCACCATGCTCAGCTAATTTTTGTAGTTTTAGTAGAGACAGGGTTTCGCCATGTTGGCCAGGCTGGTCTCGAACTCCTGACCTCAGGTGATCCATCCGCCTCGGCCTCCCAAAGTGCTAGGATTACAGGCGTGAGCCACCATGCCCGGCCACATTTGATATATTTTAAGGCAGATGTTTAATACATTCAATATAGAAAAAATTCTTATGTATGAATAAGAAAAAAGAATTTCAATAGAAAAACAGGCCAAGGATATCAATAGGCGATTTGCCAAACAATACACATAGACACATACACCCAACCAATTAGTATAATAAAAAGCTGGTGTTATTTTTAAGAAGAAAAATTAAAGTTAAAACCACAATGAGAAACTGCTACTTGCTTGACAAAAGGTGTAAAAATCCACAAGTGTAAAAATCCGAACAGCCAGTGCCAGGAGAATAAAAGGGAAACGGGATTCCACCAAAGAGCTGGTGGGAGTGGACGCTGGCACAATCCTTCTGGACATCAATTTGGCAAAAAAGGATCAAAGCCTTCAAATTGGACCTACTCATGGATCCAGCAACTCCAAGACACTGTTCTTTAACCATTAAGGTTTGGTTAAACAAACCTTAATGATGTCTCTTAAAGGAGACATCTGTCTCCTGCTAAGGTCCTTGCTAAAATCTTTAACAAAATTTTAAAATGGGCTTCTCGGGAGGATGTGCTTATATGCATGGACACCCTTTTCCAAGAGCCTGATATGGAACACAACTCTCATTTTTTTGCCTTTAAACTCTTTATTCTGAAAGAAAGCAGTCTACATGGAGCCTTATTTTCTGATTTCTGAATAGAACTGTACACAATTGCTCTATAATCATGCTCTCACATTATCCTATGTTGAATTCTTTATGTGCCTGCCCTACTGCACTTCCCGCTGGTCTTATTCTTCTTGGAATTGTTAGAGTATCTAGCACCATGCTGGGTATGCAGGAGGCACGTGGTGTTTTTCCTTCCTCTCTTCATCTTTTCAGACCCAGCTCAAATGTCCTCTCTTTTTTAAGACTAGCTCCCAACTTCCCTAGGCAGTCATGAACTCCCTTCTCTTTCTTCTCCTGTAGCAACCTGCACAAAACATCTGGGGTGGCATCAGCCTCCTCGAGTCTCAACCATCTGTTTGTGAGCCTTTCTCCCCACTAACTGTGTGCTTCTTACGGGCATCTCTTATTTATCCTTGTAATTAAGTCTGGTGACTAGCATAGCACAAGGAATACGGTAAATAACTAATTATGAAAGACTGTGTGAATGAATCAACCAATCAATTTACTCCAACACTTTCTCTTTCTATTTTTGGTTCTTAAAAAAACATGACTTTTTCTTTCAAAAGACTTTTCTCTTCAATAGGATACTACTTTTAGAAGTTAACAGTCCTCAAAACCCGGATGCAGGCAAAACTAGAGAGTAGGCAATATTTTTAGTGCTTTATATAACATATTTTAAAAATGTTTACCTAATTTTACTATCTTTAGACTTTTATTTGCCCTTACTGCTATTTTAAGGAGCAAAAAGCTCTCTGGCTCTTACGGCTTTTGCAAATGATATGTTTTGGCAACAGTTCATCCTGAGAAGCAAGATTCTGGCAGCTTCCCTAATATATTGGGAATTCATGACAGCATATACAGCTTGGAATTATTTGTCTGTGCCCCACTGGGTTTTTTTCTTCCTTCTTTTTCTCCTTAATTTTTTTTTCTTTTTTCTCTTTTGGCTAGACTGAAAGCATAGAAGGCAGTGTTCCTTGTGGCTTTTCCTGCCCTAAGCAAGGAATTTGATTTTTTCTTTTATGTGGAAATGAAAATAAAATCTAAAAATCTTACCCAACTCTGGCCAAGTTACTTGGAGATAACTAAATCATACACCTAATACTATAAACAAAATACCTGCCCTGGGTAACATAAACAAATATCCAATTCCAATTGCATAATCCTCAGCCTCTTTGGATATTCTGGTTCATCACTAATCACCTTGGATGTATCAAAAATTCCAGGTAATTCAATTAATACTCAGGAAGTTGGAGCAAATTTCATTTTCTTCAGGGTTCTGATGAATGATGCCAAGTTTCCAGTGGAAAATACCAATGGTGCAGGTACGTGTTTCTAAAGCTATTCTTTTTGCAGTTGTGGCTCAGTAGATAAAGCTTGATACTTAAGAATCAGATAAACCTGAATTTGAGGCTCTGTTACTTGTAAACTACTTGAATTTGGACAAATCACATTTTCTGTGGCTCAGCAGATAAAGCTTGATACTTAAGAATCAGATAAACCTGAATTTGAGGCTCTGTTACTTGTAAACTACTTGAATTTGGACAAATCACATTTTCTGAGCCTCAGTTTCTTCAACTGCAAAACAGAAATAATGCTAACTTCTCTCTCATAACTGTGAGAAATTACTACGAAAAAGCAAGTAGAAATAGTTTATACATTGTGAGGTGTAATGTAACTACTAGATACTGTTTCGAATAAAGGGAAAAATAAAAGGCTTTTATGGAAAATTATTACATTTTCCACTGACTTTATTATGCTTTTAAAAATAATGCTCCTTGATTGTACATATTGGAGAAGAAAATGGAAGAATATAACCTAATATGCTCTTTCCTCTGGGCACTGGGATTAGTGTTTTTTTCCTCCTTCCTTATTTCTCATAATGAACATAAATTACTTGTTTCATTATGTTTTAATTTTAGAAAGAGAATGAAGCCAAGCTCATTTAACTGTGAGAAAGGTAAAACACTCTGGGCAAGGACTTCTAGTCCCAGCTGGCACAAAAGACAGTGGTGGGTTTTGCACTGGGTCTCTTCACCCTTGCTCCGCTCAGGGACAGGAATTCTACCCTTTCAGCATCTTCAAACACCTGTCACTTTACTTCGGCCTAATCAGCACCTTGTGATAAGCACATACTCGGCTCAGCCAGGGCACATCCTGGGTCTCAGCCAAGAAAAATGTCAACCATTCCTGAGGGAGCCAAGAGCTAACAGTTTAGGGATTGGGTTACATTTACCAGTATGGGCATCTCAGGAGCTGTCCTGGCTTCTGCCCCTGCCAGGTGACAGGCCTGAGGATGGGGGCATGACAGCTGAAAAACAGCTGCATGGAGTTCCCTGAAAGTACCAGTGTCTGTCTGTCTCTTTCTTTTTCTGTCAATTTCTCTCTCTCCTCCAGCCCCCTGAACATACAGTTCTCACTGCCTGGAAAGCCCATTCCACATACACCTACTAGCCTGGCTAACATGTCCTGCAATTACTTTCAACTTCAGTCTTATCCAGGATGCCCTCCCCATGCCCTCTGTGCTTCTACCACTCCCTGTGATCACGCCGTATCCTAGACTATGAGTTGTACTCCCCAAACAGGGGTTGGCCCAAAGTCAGTTGTTAAGACAGTCTGCCCAAAGAATGGCCGGGCCCCAGTTGACTGGCTGGGAGGCTCAGCTGACCTGCTGTGTCTGCAGTCCTGTCCTCTTGGTCTTCCACTGCACAAACAACTTCACTTGGAAAGGAAGGTGAGCTCCTCAGAAAGCCTTCTCCAGACCACTCCAGTCCCCAGGAGGCTGGCCCCAGGAACTGTCAGGCCTTCCACTTAGCAATGAGGCCTGACCTGCCTCATTACTGCCCCTGGAACTTGGTTTCCTTTCCATAAGGTGCCTTTGGAAGAAGGTAGTTTAAGTGCCTGATAAGCAGGAACTCTGTCCTAACACAAACTTCACTTTACACTCAACAAATGTGAATCAGTGCCAGCATGTACCAAGCACATAAGAAGATACCAAGATGCACAAGGCGTATCCCCTGCCCTCACAGATGAGCACAGACATACAGGTGAGGGAGACAGACAGGCAGGTAACACTTTAAATGAGTGAGTTATAATTAGGGTATAAGCCTAGTTCTACTGGCGTATTCTGTCTAGGCTATCCCCAGACATGGGGTGCTACAATCTTCCCCTGTGGGCTTTGCCTACAGGGAAATGTACTCAGTAGCTATGCAAATTAGAATGGGCAGAAAGCCAGAAAGAAAATCTGATCTCCTACACCACAGAACCAAGTTAGGCACCCTGAGAATAAAGCTCCCGAAGTACCCCTGTACTTCACCTTCTATTGCTTTGCACACCTGTAATTCATGGAGCCCTCTATGAGAAGGCCTTGTTCACCATGTGTCCCAGAGTCTAACTCAGTATCCAGGATAAAATCAAAGTTCAATAAATATTTGAGGAATGAATCAATGCAAAATGTGCAAACATGAAGGACTTTTCATATGAAACTAAAAATTAAAAGAAATTTGCAAAGTGTTAATGCTGTATTTCTTTAAGTTATCACTCCTGTATGATACATTAGCACTAGAACCTTTAAAGACAGGACAGGGAAAAAATATTGCTAGCCTCTAGACCTGACCAGATCATAACTTACATATCTCTAAGTGATACCAAGTTCATCATCAACCTGGTTTCCCATCGCTCTTTCCCAAGCCCCCTATTTTCCTGAGGAAGGGTTCAAATGCATGGTATTGTATACTATTCAGTGACTTCACTTTCAAAGTCCCAACAATTCTAAGGTGGGATGGAACTGACAGTCTGCCCTCTACCATTGTGTATAAACATGTACATAATCATCCACGGTTAGGAAGAAAAAACAGCTTTGTACCATGAGATCAACAAACAACAACAGGCTTATCCTGTCCAGTTCTGGTCCCCATTTATCCCTGGTGTTTGTAATGCTGACCTCTGAAGAAGTAAGTGACCTAGCTTCTGTGGTTACCATATCCAGGTGAGAAAGCTGCTGCTCCTCCAGCACAAACAGACTAATGTATAATGTATACAAACAGACTAATGTATAATGTTAGTAATATTCCAAGATTGTTCTGCAGATGCTAGTGGTTTGTTTTACTCGGTGGACCAGTCCTGAAGTTAGACTCCTTTGCACCTCTTTGCAAGCAAACTTCTTTTCTTTTGTAAAAGTGCATTTCTTCCCGCAAAGACCCTGGGGTTCCCAACCCTGGACTGTGGAGTGGAAGTGGTGTTGAGTCATTACAAGGGTCCCAGACTACGGCAAGAGGTGAGGTGTGGATTCTCCATTGAGGTGGGTGGTTCAGCCAGAAAGCAGTGACCAGTCACTATGGTTCCAGCATCATACAGGAATTTACATCAGATACCTTTTAAAGTTCTTTCTTTTCCAATAGCAGGAATCTGTCTAAATGGAAGGTGCCAAGTGAATAGTGTTCATGAACTCATTCAACAAGCGTTTACTGAGCACCTGTTCTATGCTGGGCTCTACGGGAGGCTCGAGGGACACAATGCAGGATAAGACACATAAGATCTCTGTCCTCATGGCATATACAGCCAACAGACATTAATCAAATAACCATAAGTAATTGTAAAATCACAGCTGCAACAAGTACAACAAAGAAGAGGTACATGGTGCCACAAGAGCCAATAATCAGGGGATTTGGCCCACTCTGAAAGGTCAAGGAAACGTTTTTGAGAAATTGTCTCTCCTATCGCCTGGAAAAATACAGAAATAAAGCACTCTGTGCTCAATTAAGCTATAGAATTCAAATGTTTCAAAGTTCATAGAGTCACTAATGTCTACCCTGAGAAACTCTATGAAAGAACTGTTGGAAACATTCACTAGCAAGGGGCGTGGTTGCTAAAAATTAACTCCTCTATAAATAAGAAGATCAGGAGTTCAGTTAAATAAGCCCAGCTGCACTCGTTCACAACAGCGATCTATGGCTATGCAGCCTGGCTGTTTAAATGTTTATCTCAGAAATATTACACAAAAATTTTCTTTTTTTGAAGAGAGAGAGAGAGAAAGAGCTTGTGATTATCCTCATGATAATGAAGAGCATTCTCTCTTTGGACATGAAATATACCAAGGAGAAGCTAAAACCATGATTGGTACTAGGTATTTGTTGAATGTGTTAATAAATGAGAACAAACTTTAACAATAGTCTAAAGTCTAATACTTTGGTTCAAAGAAATCAATTCCACAAACATAACATGAGAGACTTCCCTTGGCAAATAGTTCTAGGTAAAAACTTTAAGGGTTTAATTACCCACAACCTTATGTGGGCTAAACAGTATTATGCAACTTCCTAAAAACTAACATAAAGGAAAGTTATGTCAAGAAAAATACAGTGTCCTAATCACTAGAAATAATCATCCCACCCCACTCTTCACTTGCCAGGCCAACCCTGGAAGATTTGGGCTCAGTTCTGGGCATCACCTTCTAAGAGTGGCACTGGCAAACTCAGAAGCACCTAGAGTCTGGCACTGAGTCTATAAACAATGTGAAATGAGGAATGACTGGAGGAAACAAAGATGGACGGCCTGAAGAAGGAAGGACCTGAGAGCTGCTTCTTGTATTTGAAGGCCTGTTGTGTAAGAGGAGCAGCTTGTGCTATCCTGTCTTCAGGCCTGTTCCCTGTGGGTCAGCACCAGGGATTCCTACTTGGCTCTGGGGCTCTGATCCCTCTTGACCAAGGCTTCCCACATGGGTCTGTGGAAAAAGAAGTTACTGTACATACTACGAAATGATAATAATAATAATCATTATTGTGGTGATGATATTGTATCATATCATCATAATTATTATATATAGTGGTAAACTATATTTAGGCAAAACTGTACTAACAGGATTCTTTATGGCAGAATGTTCTGGAATCTTCAAATGCTAATATCATTGTGAATATCCAAAACAGAGAAGTGTGGTCCAATTTTTCCAATTTTTCTTGACCCCTAGAACCCTCTCATGGAACTAGTATTCTTCCACATACTCACATGCTCTGGGAAACCTGACTCTAGACTTTTATCTTTTCACTAGGCTCAACACTGATACTGGTACAGGAGAACAGGAAAACAAAGGTTTTGACACAGTTGCTGCCTTCAAAGACATCTTCATTCATAAAGAATGACTGAAGCCAGGCCTGAACTAGATGACCCTGTGGGGAGTTTCATGGGAGAAGACCACCTCATAGGCTCATTGGGCACTCATGTAGTATCCCTCAGAATAGCATGGCACCATGCCCATTATATGAAGTAGAAAAGGACTAAGCAGTGGCCTTGTAATCTCTGATTTAAACACCCACAACTTTGGGAAACTGTCTAGCCTTTGTTGTGGAAGTTGTTCAACCCCAAGACTCATCCAGCCTTCTTCATACCTTCCAATTCTATCAAGGCAGTTCATTGCCAAGGAATATTACCACTCTCGAAAATATCAAGTTGCTTAGAACTCTGTAAATATGTGCCTCCAATTTAGCAGCTCATTCTACCTGCTCTACCTCCAGACTTATAGGAAAGGAAATGAAGTCAGTATTCTGTTCTGTTTAACCTGGCATGAATTGCAACTCAATTGCAAAGCTGAGAGAATGCTTGATTTTGATCTTCTTTTCTTCACTAAAGGGTGACAGTAGAGTACTATAGGACCAAGATCAGCACATTTACTTAAAAATATTGGGTAGAGGGAATAAAAGGAGAAGAGATGCAGTCACTTAACTACCTTATAACCTGGCCGGAGACTGATACATGGGACAGGGCCACACACCTGAACAGACTTTTAGGAAAGAGAGACTGATACAGGCAGCATGAGGTAGCAGAGAAGGTCGTGAAGGAGGTGGGAGTTCGGGTCAATATTTGGACAAGCAGAGAGGAGGAAGGAGAGCGCAGAGAGTGAGGTCTATAGGTCTGGGGTCATCCCCTGAGAATACTATGTACCCTTCTTTCACTCTAATATTAATACAATTACACAAACATCCTCAGGCACAACGATGTATTTTTAATTTCTTGATCACCTAGCAACTTAGTTCCACCCTCATGGTCTTCCTTCATTTAGCCTTGATTACTCTGCTATAGAAAACTTGGGCCTATAAAAGAGAAAGATTTAATGCTGTGCTGAAACCTCTTCTTAAATAAAAACAAAAAACCGACTTGCTCCACCGTATTTCTTCTCAGAAATGAAAACATTTATAAAGGTTTCTTTGACCACCGAAGGAAGAAAAATCTGTTTATCGCTCTGTTTAATCCCTGCAGACTCAATGACCACGCTGCTGAGGAGGCCCCCCAACTTCCTGTCTGAGTCGATATGATCCTCTGAAAGTAAAATTAGCCTTTCTGGCTGAATGTGCTCACCCCTTTTCAAATGTGCACATTTCATCAGGGTTGTTATAAATAATTTGTGCCTTGATTTAGGACACATCGGCTACCGTTGGTATTTCAGTGCTACCTTAGCAGTCTAAGCTTTTACTGGAAATAGTGGTTACAGGGAGGAAAATGCTAGCACAGGAGTGTGACTTACCGGTCCCGAAGCTCTCCTCCCCACAAAGGGACAGTTTGCTCGCGTCCATCAAATTCCCAAAAAACTTCCAGCCAGTTGGGGTCTCATACAAAGCAATCTTTGTAGCACTAGCCACCCTTCAAAGGCATGAAATCAAAGTTACATCACAGCAGGACTGTTAGCGTGGCCATGTGAGGGACGGAAAAGGGCAATCGTTATTGTAATCAAGGGTCCCATTTAGCATTGCTCAGAGTCATACATAATTCTAAGATTGGTGGAAAATCATAAGAGAAACCTTGTGCACAATGGGCTATTATATGTGGATTCAGAGAAGGCGGAAGAAGAAAGAATTAATTCAGATCATGGAGTTTAATATTTTAGAAGAAGCATCCGTAGTAAAATGTTCAGGGCTGCTGTTTAAGCTATTTAAATCCACATTTTGGATACAGACTGCATCTATAATCAATCTATAAAGAAGAGAAGAATGATGTTTTGATGCACCTGTAATCACAGAATCATGACATACTGGGTCTGGGCAGTTAGCATTTTACAGAGAAGGAAACAGGGCCCAGAATGTTATGTGATCAGACAAAGGTCACAAAGCCAGGATGACCGACCGCCCAGTATTCAGCTCTCTGGTCAGTGCTGCTTTTGTCTCATCAGAAGTCTCCCCAGGGGAAACGCCCAGTGGGGTCTCCCCTAAGTACTGGCTTCACCCACACTGATTAGTGGTTCCCCTTCCCTTCTAACACGTCTTTTATTTCTCTCTAGGTATCTTTAAACTATTTAAAACCTCTGAGTGACTTAAAAAAAAATTCCTTTCCCTTTGAACATGAAAAGTTACCTGATAAGTTCCATTCACTGTTTGAGCGAGATTTGCTTCCCAGAATGTTTGCCTTATTTCCAGGAAAGCAATGTCAGCTTTGCATTCTGATATTTGAGGAAAAATCAAATCTATGATTTTGAAAACTATGAAAGTACAATAAACTTTTATCTGGGTAATGAGGTACTTCAATTGTGATTCTATATGTGGATTATCAATTTTTCCAAAAATTGGAATTACACTGTTCTTGGATGACATAGAAGGTATTCCAGGACCTGACAGGCCTAACATATGATAGTGTGACCTCAAACCAGCTCATAATTTCAAATGCAGGACCTGATGGTAGACGTGCTGGGCTCAAATGCTAGCTCTAATTTGGTGGTGAGATCTTGGACAAGACTGCTAACTTCCCTGACTTTCCATTTCCTCTTCCTTAAAATGAGGTCTGCTGTGAGGATCAATTGAGATGGTGAATGTAAAAAAACACTATACAAACTACAAACCACTATATGGATATTAGTGGCTATTTTCTTGTTAGCTGAAGCAAAGTCAGCACCAATTCTATAACCATCTCCCCTCTACAGAAAACAACTGCATGGCCCAGTGAGTGGGAGCAAAGGCTCTGGGTTCAAATCCTGAGTCAGCCATTTACCAGCTGGGTGACCTCAGGTAAGTTACTTCTTCGTCCTTTGGTTTTCCCACCAGAAAAATGGTGTTAAATACAGCATTTACCTCATGGGGTTCATCTGAGAAGTAAATGAATTAAAACATGCAAAATATTTAGTGTCTACAACAAAGTAATGTTCAATAAATATCAGCTATTATTATAAGAGCCTAGAGATATATTACAGCCTACTTTCCTCCCTGGCCTTGACCTTTTATTCATTCATTCATTCTTTACCTTTTATTCATCAAACATTTCCTGCACACCTGACATATTCTAACTAATGTTTTCCCTGGTCCTCATCTGTTATGACTTTCATTTTTCAACTTTTTAAGTGTGATCTAACAAGCCACCTCAAAGCCTTTGTACAATGAAGTGATATATAAACATTCACTGTGTTTGTGTGGGCAAGAGCGATCCAGTCGTTGAAACTCTAAAATTACTTCAAACTGCTCTTTCACCCACACTCTGTGCACACTGCAAAAGAAAAGTGATCCTCCAGAATGATGTCTTGAGTACTTCCATTGTTATTCATTAACACTCAACTATTCATTAACTTTAAAAAATTATACGTGTATGTGTGTGTGTGTGTTTGTCCTACTATGTGCCAGGCACGCTATGGTCAGGCAGAGTCCAGATGGTGAACAAAACAGTCCTTTCTCTGCAGAAGTATACAGTCTAGCAGGGCAGCCCATCAAGAAAACAGCTACTAGAACACAGTGTGGTAAGTGCCAGGAGGAGGAGGCCCAGGGTGCCAAGGGAGTGCGGAGAGGGGCATTGAATCCAGAAAAAGCCAACCATCCCCTCACACAAGAATCGCTCAGCACACTCTATGCATCAGATGCCCATGCTGAAAGGGAAGGACACGTGTTCCAGGCACAGTGAAGGGTATGGTGAAGACTGGGACGACCTAAGACAGGAAGGCCAAGGGAATGGAGACACCTACCGGTCCAGAGCACCACTCGTGGGCATGCTCCGTGCAAAGCCGCGGACCCCAGTCTGCTGGAAATACGGAATGCTGAAGATGTTGGCAGCAATGACAGCCACAGAGTCTGAAGGGTTCACAAAGAACCCATGCTTGCCCAGAATCATGTTTCGATCCTTGGGGAGAAGAGAGGATCAAAGAAAGACCTTTTAATCAAACTATAAGAAATCAAACTATCTTTCATGGGGGTTTTATAAAATGTAAAACTATAAAATTTGAAATTGATCTCCTTTCCATACTGCATTTTTAACACTGGGTTTTATTTTCAATGAGTTTATACAGTACCATTGGGCCGAAGGCACCTCCATGCCAAAAAGTTAAAACTGTTTTCAATTAAAGTCCAAGCACAACCTCCTTTTGAGCTGAGTCCTCTGTTCTCCCTCCAGAGGCCAGCTAACTTTAACCTCCTAGACTTTTTTCAGACTCTGGAACCAATCATCTTTTTCCCAGGGGAGGGGAAAATGCAATGAGAGAAGAAATATTGGCTGTTTACATAGTTTGGTAGGTCTACTGGGTAAACTGTGTACCACAGTCTGTGTACCACAGTAACTGGGAGGGTGGCCAAAAAACACTCCCAGAATGCACTCATCACAAAGATGTACTACAGAATAATGTCTGCTGGAACCCCTTTAATTTCCCAACATTTTGATAAGGGAAAAATCATTTTTCAGGAAACAGTGGATTCTAGCTAATGGTAACACTAGCAACAACAAAAATATATTTTCAACTAAGTAAATGTATACAGTGCCTACCATCAGTGAGATACCAGGGATATAAACCTAAGACACATCTCTTCCTTGTCTGGTACATAGTCACCCTTGTAAATAAAACAGCTTATTTCTAAACATTTTAATGGTAGAGAATGATTAAAATGTTAATTCTCTCAATATCATCTTCATATAGGCAATGAAATTACAGCTTCAATATTCAGCTCATGTGAATGAATGAATGGGTGTATTATAAGACCAAAATCTTGTCCAGAGATTAAATAAGTAGCCAGCTGCTGGTTGAGAGCAGAAACCCACCTTAAGACAGGCATCTAGAACTCACCCAGCTCAGGAAATACCAGTCATTCTATCATAATCAGAACCTAATCATCGTGCCATTGTTAGCAAGTATGGATGTCTGAAATTAAATGTGTGGGTTTCATTTCAATGACTCCTATTCCTGTTCAAGAGGGGCTTCTAATAATTTAGTTCTGACCTCGGGTCAGAATGAGGGATCCTTAACAGTTATTCCCTGGGTCTGGCAGAAGCAGCCCACTTTTTTCCCCATCTGCAGGATCAGGCCTGGCCTGCACCAGAGTTCACTTAAATGCACTTATACCCACCCCATCTCCATCAAAGGCAGCCCCAAAATCATGCTCTCCTGACTTCATGGTCTCCACCAGGTCAGCTGCATAGGTGAGGTTGGGGTCAGGGTGGTGGCCTCCAAAGTCCTCCAGAGGAACGCAGTTAACTGCCGAGTTCGCAGGGGCACCGAGTTCTTCACAGAGGATCTTCTTTACATACGGTCCCACAACTATATACAGCATGGAATAAATGTATGCAGAATCAGAAAATAAAACTCCTTAAAGTATGTGAGGATTCAGGGGTGAGGTGGATGCATTCTGGGGAGAAGAATGGCATGAGAAACAACAGGAATGTGTGAAATGTGTTCAGGGACTAGTGGAGAGATACGCCTGACTGGAGAAGAATGTTCTCTAAAAAGGAACAATGAGAGATTATGTTGGAAAAGGTGGGGCCAGTTCATGAAGGGCAGAGTGGGGAAAGGAAAGGAAACCAACCATTATAAAGGCCCTGCGGTATACCTGTGCTTTCCCATTCAGTCCTTCAGAAAAGCTCAGAAGGTTGTACAGCTTAGAGCTTAAGAGCCTGGACTCTGGAATCAGAGTGTCTGGGTTCAAATCCCAGCTCTGCCAGTCATTGGCTGTATAATAATTTTGGGAAAGTTATTTAAACTCTCTGTGCCTCAGTCTCTTCCATCTGCAAAATGAGGGTAGTAATGCTAACTACTTAACAGGATTGATGTAAGGATTAAATGAGTTAATAGCTATGAAGTACTGAGAATAGTACCTGGCAGATATGTTATAAATGTTTATATTATGATTATCACCTGCAGTTTACAGATACATTGGAATGTTGGTGTTCTGAGGTAAAGACATTTGCCCAAACTTACATGGCTAGGAAAAGTGGGAATTGGGATTCAGAGCTGTTATCTTTATATTATGACAAGCTAGCTGACAAACTGATTAAAAAAACACAAACAGGCCAGGTACGGTGGCTCACACCTGTAATTTCAGTACTTTGGGAGGCTGAGGCAGACAGATCACATGAGGTCAGGAGTTTGAGACCAGCCCAGCCAACATGGTGAGACCCTGTCTCTACTAAAAAAAAAAAAAAAAAAAAAAAAAAAAATATATATATATATACACACACACACACACACACACACACACACACACACACACACACACACACACAGAGACACAGACACACACATGCATACACAAAGATTTGCCAGGCCTGGTGGCGGGCGCCTGTAATCCCAGCTACTCAGGAGGCTGAGGCAGGAGAATCGCTTGAACTTCGGAGGCGGAGGTTACAGTGAGCTGAGATTGCACCACTGCACTCCAGCCTGGGCAACAGGGCAAGACTCCGTCTCAAAAAAAAAAGAAAATAAAAAACCCACCACCAAAAACAAACAACAGGAGAAGCCAGTTACATATGTTTACAGTGACATTTTATATAACTACCAAGAACACGCATCTCTGAAATGCTGAGAGAGTATTTTCATCAAGGATGGTACTAATCCCAATACAGTACATGCCCCAGAGGTCATAACACTGTAGAATAAATGTGTCCTATGAGGCATCACCTATTAAGCAGGTTACTGACACACCACAGAATGAGGTCAAGGCAGCCAGGGCTGTGAGGGATATAGAAACGAAAGCATTAGAGGAACAGCCAAAAGACCTGGAGAAAAGTAGTCTTCTTCCGGAGAAGCTCCTCTTACCCAATGCCCTCCTCACATGCCCCATTATCCAGCCAGCCCAGGCCTCTCGTTTCCCTAATGTGACATCCATTTTTAAGCCTTCATGCCTTTGCCACAGCCACCGACTCCATGAGAATGACCATTGCTTGATTTTTCATCACTCTAGATCTTTCTTTCATAAGAACTGAGTTGGATGCCACTTCTTCCAGGAAACCTTTCTTTATACCTAGTCAAATTATGCCTTCTTCCAACCCCAAAGAGAATACTTGAAATTCCAACTCTCATTTTGTTGGCCTGGCAGGAGTTAGTTTTTTAGGGATTTTTTGTTTTTTTGAGACGGAGTCTTGCTTTGTCGCCCAGGCTGGGGGGCAGTGGTGTGATCTCCGCTCACTACAACTTCCGCCTTCCGGATTCAAGCTAGTCTCCTGCCTCAGCCTCCTGAGTAGCTGCGATTACAGGCATGTGCCACCACACCCGACTAATTTTTTGTATTTTTATAGAGACTTTTATAGAGATGGGGTTTCACCATGTTGGTCAGGCTGGTCTTGAACTCCTGACCCCATGATCCACCTGCCTTGGCCTCTCAAAGTGTTGGGATTACAGGTGTGAGCCACCGCGCCCGACCCCGGGGTTAGTTTTTTACCCACTTCGTCTCCCCAAACATTGCACATTCTTTGAAGAAAGTAATCTGCCCAGTTCCTGCCTATTCCCCAGGCATGCATTTTGCAGGTATGCAATACACATCTGTTGAATGGTTTAAAATGACAGAATCGCTTTTGTCTGAGTAAGGAAGTAGATCCATTCTATGGGAGTCCAGAGGCCAGCTAGGACCCAAGGGGAGAAGTTTCAAGGATGGAAGGTTTTAGTTCACCAGCAGAAGACTTTCTGTGGTTTGCAGTGTCACAGGAATCCCCGAATTGCATCACTAAAAGGGTTCAGTTGCAGGCAGAAAGGCTTCTCCAACCAGGCAGATGTATGTGTATAGGTTTCAGGGATTCTCATATACCTACATGTCTGAGAAAACCCTCGTGGTTCTGGTTCACAGTGATAGCTGCCCTCTCTATGGACCTGACCACACAACCCACGGAGGAAGAAGAGAGGGCTGTACACATCATGTTGCTCCTGAATTTAATCCTCAGCTTGCTCTTGCCCTCTTCTAAGAAAACGAGCATTTGGGGGCAGGTGAGTGGGGGTGTGGGGCTCAGGAGTATGTTTATCACATCTCCCAAATGACCGTCCTCTCAGAAATACATGGGGGCATGCAGCAAGAATGTAAGGTATCTTCTGAGGGGGAGGGAGAGTCCACAACAGCAGTTGCATGTTACTCAGAACCTGATGCTTAAGGTGGAAACACTGACCTTCACACGAGCTTACCACGAGGAGTGTCTCTACTATTTTTGCTACATACAATTAGATTTTTATCTGTGTGAATATTGCTCTGGTTGCAAAATAACTCTATTTAAAAACCATCAGAGAGACTTGAGAAAAGGCTTGTTGAAGCATCATGATACACACAGAAGAGGGCAACTTCCTATCCTCAAGAGATGGGAATTGAAAAGAAATGATTGTATACCTCCATGCATAGCATCAATACGGATCTTCAGTCGGTTTGGCCCAGAAAGTAGTTCTTTCAGTGCACTGAAATCAAAGATGCTTCTCAGCATTGTAGCATAAGCTTCTACCGAATCCACAATTTCCACTGTGAGAACAAGCAACATCAAAAGATGGAAGGATTAAACACATTTAGAAATATTATATTCTGATGTGACTATATTGCTGTAAACCTGCTATTGCTATTTTAAAAGGACAATTATTGAACAGCTCCAATAATACGGCTGTTAAGTGATATCCGATACTATCTAATACTACCAATCCTTACCCAATACTAACAATTTTCCTGAGAGGTAAATGTTATTAGTCCTATTTGATAGATGAGGAAACTCGACGTGTGAAGGGTTAAGAAACTTGCCCACACAGCTTGGATGAGGCACACAGGGGATTTTCAACAGAGGTTGTATAAATTCTGCTATGCCACCACAGTGCTTCCCCATTCGTCATCTTGAGAGGTGTGTTTTGGTGTTATAGAGAGTAGAAAATGTAATCCCCACTTTTCTTTCCTTTTCTTTTTCCAAGTCCATTGTCATCAAGACTTAATGGTACTAAGTGGAAAATGAAATTTTTTAATGAATCACTTTTCACAGGTACTGCTTAAGGAATAAAACAAAAATAAAACTTATATAAATATAAGAACTTAGTATTGTTGTTCTTGTTGGATGTTCAAGGCTTCTGAACATTTTCAAAACTGCTGGATATTCAGGGGTTCTGAACATTTTCAAAATATGAAGAATTTAAGAAACTCCCTACTGGAATCTTCTGAACCTCAAGAATGTCTTCGAGATGACCAAAGTGTCACTTTATCTTTGTTAGGATGCAATTGTCAGCTCTCCCTGAGTAGGTTCAAACAAAAAAATGCAATCCATCCTTTAGCCAGGAACTAAATGACTAATAAAATGCATTCCATAAAGTTGCAATCCAGAAGAAAGAAAACATGTTAGGGCAAAGTCAAAATGCAAGTTCATTGCCAATCATCTCATCCTCATTTTATTAATCTGAATACTTTTATAAATATTTATTCTGTCAATTATTACAATAATTCAACAACAAAATGTTAGCCACAGCTGCCTATGTAGGGAGTTGCAATTTGGTCCCCCCAAAATAGTCTGATTGATTTTACTGAATGAGGAAAACTAAAATGGAAAGTGTAGTCTTGCGAATCATTCAAACCTGAGTTGAAATCTTCGTTTTGCCATTCACTGACTGTGACCTTGAGCCTGTTACTTAATCTCTCTCAGCCTTTGTTTCCTCATCTATAATAGTGAATGCTGACAGTGCTGCCCTGACAGATCTACTGTGAGAATAAAATGGATTAACACGTGTAAAGACCTTGGCATGTAGCAAGAGGTCAATAAAAGTTAACTATGAATGTAATCCTGCAGGTCTTCTAGTCAAGGCATGAAAACTGAGGCCTAGAGTGCTGGAAATGACTTACTCGATGTCATGCAGCTGATCCCTGGCAGGGCCCAGGGAGCCCAGGTCTCTGGTCTCCCAAACCTAATTCCAGACTTGTTAATTAACTAACACTTGCAAAGCTTACAGAGCACTCACGGAAATCTTTCCAAAGCTGAAGACCCTCTACTAAAACGTTGAAAGGAAAATCGCTCAACTTGGAAATAGGAGTGGGCAGAAAGAGGAGGAAAGTAAACATGCCTGTGAAGGGTTTGAACTTATTTTCCAAGTCAAACTGCTGCTTTCCCAGAACACCAAGGTCTACTTTCAGGTCAGGGCAAACTGCATATTCTTCAATTGTCTTGCTGATTTGGAAAATTTTATCAGTTATTGCTTCTGGAGCAGGACCTGGAAACCAAACAGCAAACAGTGGGTTACTTCGTGCAGCTCACATGGAAATACAAAGAATCCAAAGCTCATCAGTTCCTCTTCACTAGCACATCTACCATTTCATCATTCAGTCAGCAAAGTAGCAGGATTTTTCTAAAAGAAAATATCATGTTAAGGAAGATTTGCGCATGGCTCTTCATATTCAGGTACAGTCAAATGAGAAGCATTTCACTGTCACTGAAAGGAAGCAAAGAGCACCTCCCTACCCCCTGCAAAGGATCAGAACCAAAACCCTGGTCTCCCAAGGCTCCAGGTATTGATTTGTCCTACTGAATGTAAACTTACCTGTCCTCAAAATGACAGCAAACTCACCTCCATTAGAAATATTGAATTTGATTCCAAAATCTCCATTGGGGCCCCCTGGGTTGTGACTGGCTGTCAGAATGATCCCACCAATGGCTTTGATTTTTCTAATGATGCAGGATACAGCAGGGGTGGAGAGGATTCCATTCTGTCCGATAACCAAGCGACCGATCTAGGAGAAGAAATCCAGAACACACTCTTTAACATCAATACATCCAGAGTCACCGCTCAGAAACAACACCAAGACAACAGGCAGATGGACAAAAAAATAATAGTAATAATCTGTTGGACAAGAAAAGATTTTATTTAATAAAAATCTGCAGCTTGGATGTCTCCACCATATTACTGAAATAGAATCAGCAATGTTGAACAAATTCCTTCAGATGGTTTTCGGGACTTTGTAGTTTTAGAAGTGTGTGGTCTGTGTGCACTGTAAGGCTCCAGCATGAAAACACAGCATATTAAAAAGAGCCTTTCCAGATCGGGGCCACAATTTGGATGCATTGAAAGAATATGAGAAAACCCACATTTTTATCCAATTCAATCATACTTTCAATCCACAACGGGAGAAAAGAAAAGGTTTAGCTAATTAAAGGGATTCTACCCAAAGAGAAGGCTTTTTTAAAGTAAAAAGGGCAAATTTTATATCAAGATTATTGAAAAATGACTCATCAATTTATCTTTCCAGTCAAGCTTGGCTTTTTCATATAGTGGGTTTCCTCAAAGCAAGACACACCTACTTCTGTTACAGTGTACCTGGGTTACCTCCTGGGCCTAAGACAAGAATGCTGGAGTTATTCCTGAGTAAACCAGTCAGAATGACCTACATGAAAGGGCGACAGATGGGACTTCTGTTGCATTCTTAACTTACCTTCCCATATCTCTTACAGATGGTATCAGTACTGCTCCTAAATCTTTTTTGCTAAAATGACAGTAATTTATATCTGTTTCAACATGACTCAAGTTGGAAAAGAAGGTTGAGGTGCTGTCAGTTCCTCTTAAAAAACAGGGATTTTTTTACATTTTCCATTTGTTATTTCTTTTTGCTTCACCCAAGATAAACATGATTGAAGAAACAACTTGATGGTGGAAGATGTGTTTCTAGTGTTGAAAATGTCCGTGAGATACCTGGATTCCCTGGGGAGAGTTTCTCTGGGACTGTTGGCTCTGCCACCCTTCCATAGCCCATTGAAAACCGTCAACCACTCCACTACCAACCACCTCCCAAGGAGCACCTGGTTCCCTTCAGTTACCTCTTGGCTCTCATATGTCAATCTCCGAACAATTTTTGTTGTAGCTCCCCTAATATATTGGTTATATCCTGCCTTCCCCAGGAAATGGTAACCACCAGGGTGGATGCTGTCAGTAGGCTGCTTTTTAGACTACAGGAACCTGCAGATAGTGTGAAATCAAAACCGATGATTGTTACTGAGCTACAGAGTGCTTTCTACATCCCATGGTACTTTTGATCCATTCCCACATTTGCTCTTCCCAAGTACCACTGCAAACATGAAGAAGCTGAGGTCCAGAGTTATCATGATCCTGCCCATTCATTCATTCTTGCCTCCATCCAGCAGCAATAATAACAAGCATTAATGGAAAGGTACTATGGCAGACACTGGCGTAGATGACACGACAAGGCCACACAGCACATTAGCGGCCATGGTGGGGGAAAGTATTGAAACGTCCTGACTCAACACAGTGACATTTCACCTTCCAGCAGTTTCCAGGTGTGGTTGTGATGAGAATAAAAGCCTATGTTCGGGCAGTTCCAGAATGTCCATAGGAGGGGTTTAGGGGTGGCTTGTCGAGTTGTATTTACACACCAAGCATACCAATTTTTATATAGATTGTATTTGGTGTGGAAGGAGAGGCTGGTGATATTAAGCTACACCACCCATGTCACCCCTTAATTCTACCATTCCTTATGGTGAGATTTGCAATGGTTCCAGGCTGAGGGGATTATGCCAGGGGTAAGAGTAAGAAGGAAAGTTGAGAGATAGAAGCAAGGTAGCTTCTCTCTTGAGCCCAAGAAGAGGTACATCTGGTGGAAGAACTCCCCTTCCAGATCAGGCTCTTTCTTGGGAATCACCCTCAGGAATATTGCTCTCGATCTGATACAGGAGAGACACTGCTCTATTACCCTCCTTCCCTTAAAGATGCCTGGACCACTGCAACAGCTCCTAACTCAATCTCCCCTGCCTCTGTCCCACATGATTCTCTCTTACTCGACCCTGGCTGGATCCATCTGACCTACTCAAACCCATCTAGTTTATCTTTCTAAATCATAATTCTGTGTCCCTTTTCTGACTCCAAAACCCTCCCAGAAATTCCACTTCTAGGTATATACCTGAAGAATTGAAAGCAGGACGCAGACAGACACTTAAGCACCAAATTTCACAGCAGTATTACTCACAAAAGTCAAAGGGTGGAAAGAACGCTAACGTCTATCATCAAGTGAATGGATAAACAAAATATTGTGTATACATACAGTGGAATATTATTCAGCCTTAAAAGTGTGTGTGTGTGTGGGGGGGGGGGGGTCCTGCCATATGCCACAAGATGGATGAACCTTGAGGACATTATGCTAAGTGAAATTTGTCATACAGCATTTGTCACAAAAGACAAATGCTGTATGATTCCACTTACATGAGGTATTTAAAGAAGTCAACACCATAGAAACACAAAATACAATGGTGGTTGGCAGGGGCTCAGAAGAGGGAAAGATGGGGAGTTGTTCAATGGACACAGACTTTCAGTTTGGCAAGATGAAAACTTTCTAGAGATATGCTGCACAACAATGTTTTGTTACCATCACTGAACCATACACCTAAAAATGGTTACGGTGGTAAATTTTATTACATGTTTTTACCACAACTAAAACTTTTTAAAGAATTTGTCACTGTACTCAAAGATGACATTGCAATCTATAGATATGGATGTGATTGGAAGGACATATATAGGATAATTTTTTTTTTCTTTTTTTTTCTCATGTGACTGCCAGGTCATAAGGATAAATATTTTTTAACTTAAAAAAAGGGAATAAAATTCTGACACATTCTACAGCCCGGATAAGGCTGGAAAACATCATGCTAAGTGAAATAAGCCAGATGCAAAAGGACAAGGATTGTCTGATTCTGCTTCTATGAGGTAACTAGAATAGGCAAATTCATCAAGACAGAAAGTAGTACAGAGGTTACCAGAGGCTGGTGGGAGTGGAAATGGGGAATGATTGTGTAACGGGTACAGAGTTTCTGTATGGGATGATTTTTAAAAAAGGCTCTGGAGATGGATAGTGGTGATGGTTGTAAAACATTGTGAGTGTAATTAATGCCAGGGAACCATACACTGAAAATGGTTAAAATGGTAAATCTGATGTTATGTACATTTTACCTTTCCTGGCTCCCAAGTTAGAGATAACCCCCTCAGCCAGGCACTAAGAGTCCATCCTCAAATGGCCTCCCCTGCCTGCCTTCCTTTCCCACGACTTCCTTCCTTAAAACTCACGCCTCCCCACCAAAATGGGTATCTCATTGTTCTCCAAACATCTAATAGTCAAACATGGCAGGGAGTAAACTTTAAATATTCCTTTTAATTGAAAACAGGGCTTGGTATTTTCTTAGGTTATTTAAAAAACAAGTTCCATTTTCTTTGTCCTGTAATCATGCACATGGGTCCTGCTCTTACCTCTAAACTTACCTCTCAGTTTAGAGCTCTGGGGACTGAATGAGATATCAATATTCTAAAAGGGGCCCGTCAATATCTTATTTTGTGCAATAAAACGTCCTTTAAAAGCAGAGAGCTCTATGTAAATAAAAAATGAAGAGAAACTTATAACCCATAAATGCACCAGATAAAGTATGGTAAAGGGAAAAAAAATAAAATGATCTCCATTTAGCTCAGTGGGCTGAAAAGCCCTCCAAGAATCAGCTTATGGGCACAGTGGGTATTAAAGAAAATGAGAAAGGAGCACTGACTTTTGTCAAAATCTGTGGTAATAATTATCCTTCCTTTAGATTTCCTCCCTGCAGTCCCACCCACAATCAAAGGCATGTTAAAACAGTCAGAATTTAGGATATGTTAGAAAGAGAAGAAATCAAACCCTTTAGAATTTCACAGGTTTAAAGCGCATCCGATTGAAGTGCTTTATCCAGTCCACTAATATTTTAAGCAATTCAGTTGGTTAGCATGACTGTTTTAAATGCAGTGCTATTTTTAATAAGGTGGCTCTCACCTCTAAGCTTACCTTGAAAAGACTTGAAAATATTGCTTGGGCTGCCAACAGCTCTAACAAATAGGCAGCTACCATATTTAGTCAATTATCACTTAAATGTATTATTTAGCAAACCTTCAGAGGGCAAATCTGAGAAAGTCTGTAGGGTGTGCCTGAATTACACATTCCTACCACTTCTTCCACATTCTTCAGCTCCACACAAAAATGAAATGGAGCCAAATATATCACAGCAAAGGGGACAGTGTACCAGATCCACTCAACAGTCTAGATATATGTGGAGAAATAATGTTCCATTCGTTCCCTCTCAAAAGATTAAAAGCATCTTAATACTGTTCCCTTTGCAGCTCTCCTCAAAGAAAAAATTTATGGCATGTCACATTTTATCTTAAAAATGTGTATGCTTCATAATAATTTCATATTTGAGTGCTTTATCAGCAACTTTTACATGAGAGGCATTCAGATTCTGAAACTGAGTATCAGGAAAACTCTAATTATAAACAACAGGATCTACAAACACTTTAAAATTTAGTGTGGTGGTACATTTTATTTTGTTTTGCTTTAATTTTGCTTCTGCAAACATACCTGCTCAGCATATTTTGAAAATACACTGAAAATGAATGTCTAACACACTTAGTTGCAATACTACATTTTATCTACCAAGAATCAGAATCTCTTCCAGAAAAGAAATACACCAGATTTTAAAATTTGCAGGTACTGAAGGACTATGTGCTCCAACTAATTGCTAATCATTATCTAAAACACTAAAAATGTATTTCTGGTCCCACTGAGGAATTTGCAGAGCAAAAACATCAATGTCCTGATGCCCACCTTCCTGGAAACCAGTGGGCTGCACGAATTGTTAGATTATCAAGATCAATGCGTTCTGGTACAATATTCCTTCTCATTTGCTTAATCCAGCCAACACGGTTTTTCACGATGCAGAGGTTTAGCAGAGCCGCCTCATACTATAGTCTTACAGGAGTTATTATCTCTACCCTGCTGCACAAATTCACCATGCGCACGGCTTCTTTGTGTCCAAGGTCATTATAAGCAGGTGCCCCTGTAACAGGTCCCCTCAAAAGGCTCACACCTAACATTTTCCAACCCCTCCTAGCATTTCTGCGTGACTACCAGGATCCATAAACAACAGCATGCCCTGGCTTTTGTTTTCCTGTTTGACAAGTGACTGAACTTCAACAAGAAAGCCATTGAAAGAAAACAAAATCCTCTTCTCTCCACCATTCAGTAGAGCCCTCTTACACAGGACAGGGTGCCCCTTGAAGCTAGTTAGAATGTAGATAAAACAGCTTAAGACCGGGAGTGTGCTTTAAATGTCTAAAAAGCAACAGGTACTTTGTCAAGCAACAGAACACAGCATAATACCTAAGAAGCTGAACTTAACATTCCTGTATCCCAGTGTGGCTAATGTAATTTCTGAAGTATTTTCACAATATACAATCACTGAAGTTACAATGAAACTTAGCTGGATGTTAGTAGAATTGAAGTGTATACCACATATAAATCCTTGTACGTTTGTATACTTCTGTAAAATTAAGGTTATTTGGAGAGCCAGAAACATAACAATACTTATCATATACCCACCCCATTGGCAGCTGCCATCTGCACTATTGTTTCTATTGCTGATTTATTAAAGTACCGCCCATCTCCACCAACCACCAGTGATGATCCCTGGCGATCTTTTAGGTCTATGGAAAAGAATATACTCTGGATGAAATTCTCCAGATAGCATGGCTTTTCCTCAAAATAATAGGTTTTCTTCCGTAATCCACTTGTTCCTGGTTTCTGATCGTGGTAGGGAGCTGTAGCAAAAGTCAACAGAGGGAGAGGACCTTCTTCCATTTTTCTATATGTCCCAGAAATCCATTCTTCAAAATCACTCATCCTTCACTTCCACCGACTGGCTCAGTGAGGGTGTCCAGAAAGCAGTCAAGGGACTCCAAAATAGGTCTGTCCAACCTGAAGCTGCAACAGTGTCGTATGAGTAACTAAAATAGAGGGTTTGCATGGACGATCACTCTCAATGAGAAAGCTTGGTTAATTCCTTGTTGTTGTTGTCCCTTGTGAACAAGTTAAGGGCCACACACCCACTCGCACCCACACACAAAGCAGGTCTTCAAAGTTGTTTTGATGAGGACACTTCTGCCCACTTAACCAAGCCAAATACCCTTCAATTATTTTTGTCTCATTTCCCCGTTAGGGTAGAGATAGCTCCAAGGAGTGCTGCATGCAGCCAACTTCAGCTGTAAACACCAGGTGGCTGACAGGCTCCACTCTCAGAGCCCAGGCAAAGAGGGCAAATGCAGTCCCACGAAGCAGATTTGTGAACAAGACACCCTGGTGTGGCTCTCACTGCTCCTGCCATCCCTTAAACCAGAGCCTCTCTGGGCATTCATCTCTGAGAAGGCCATCTGCAGCTAAAGTTGCCCCATGCCACCTAGCAAGTTAAAGGTCAATCTTAAAATGGAAGTGAGGGAGCTTAATTTACCCCTGGTTTTCTTACATCACTGTCATTTTGAAACCTAAGAAATTATTTTTACTTCACACATGCAATCTATCAGGAAAAAAATTATCTAACAGATTTATTCATTGGCCACCAAAGATTTAAGAAAACAGTGTTCAGTTCTAGAAGAACAGATACCTCCAAAGTTGCCCTGAATAACCAACAGCTTGGTCATTCCTTTGAATATACAAAAAAACAGGCGTGAGGATGCACCAAGTCCTTAAAAATGTAAGCAAAACACGGAAAAAATATACATATGTTTTTCTGAGTACACAGGGTTGGATCGAGTTTTTATTTAGAAAAATAATATGAACATGAGATTCGTTTTTAACATTTTCTCAGTTTTAAGCATACTTGACTTTTAATAAAATGTTTTTAGGGAAGCAGTTTAAGTCCTTTGTATTTGAAGAAACTAGGATGTTTAAAAATATTTTACCTAAATAAATTTCATATCTAATTCCATTTGATCCCTGAGATTTTATTAATGATCTATTTAAATACATACATGTGTGTTCTCAGCCAGGCATGGTGGCTCACACCTGTAATCCCAGCACTTTGGGAGGCCAAAGTGGGCAGATCACCTGAGGTCAGGAGTTCGAGACCAGTCTGTTCAACATGGTGAAACCCTGTCTCTGCTAAAAATACAAAAATTAGCCAGGCATGGTGGCGTGCACCCGTAGTCACAGCTACTTGGGAGGCTGAGGCAGGAGAATTGCTTGAACCTGGGAGGCTGAGATTGCAGTGAGCTAAGATCGTGCCATTGTATTCCAGCCTGGACAACAGACCAAACATGCACTGAGGAATTAAGGTTTTGAAGGGAAAAGTGAATCATCCCTTGAGCAACAAAATCTGAGTCTTTTTATACTAACTTGTCAAGTAGCATCCGAAAGTAGACAGGCACTGGTAGCTGCCAACTGCCCTCTGTCAAGAATGCCGCTGTGTTCCGGGGCTGCTCTGCACAAGACCAGCAGGAATAACAGGCTCACAAGCAGAAAGTAGGCCACTGGCAAGGGAGCCCCTTCAAATGACAAATGGGCCTGGCCCATGTGCAGGAAATACCTCGAGACATAACATTAACACAATTCACAAAACACATCTATTATGTTGAAAACCAGTCAGCCAAAAGACGACTACTTTTTATAGCTTATTTTGGGCTCTTAATTTGTTTTTAAAAGTCAAATTCTTTAGAAATTAATTGAAAAAGCAAGCATGCTTTATTAACAGTTTACATAACCACTGTTTTTCAACGTACTATAAATGATTTTTTAAATTCCTATTTTGTAAGTTCTGTGCCAAGTTTTCCCTGGTTTTATATGGGCTTGTGAATTAGGCTGGCATGTGTGTCTTGACATATCCGATAATAGATCCAGATTTATAAAATATCATTCCAATAATCTTTTCATTGGAATAACAGAGCAGCCAACCACATAATTGGTAGTTTTCTTAATGAGATCTTGAAATCCCAGGGTAAATTTGGGGGTACTTGGGCACAAGGATATTCCCACATCCCATACCAAAGCCTCTCTGCCCACATAATACACCACACTCCAGCATAGTCTCTGCTGGCAGCCTCCCAGTCTCTCGGTGAAGTTCTTTCTGAGGGCAGAATTACGAGAGCAACATTTTAAGCAACGACACATGCCAGGCATGGTGTTTGTCAATATGCAAAACTATACCAAAAGAACATAATCCTTGCCCTAGAAAAGCTTCTATTCTAAAAATGGGCCTGATCATAATTTTATGAACACTATAGAACTCAACCCCATATAAAAATATTACCAGAAGCAGCAATGTTAGATGGACTGTGAAGTATAGTAAAAAAGAAGAGACATTAAAAACATTAAGCTTCCTAAGACACTCAGACTAAGTGGGGCAGCTATTAAGAAACTCATTTGTTTTAGCTCTCCAGCAAAGGTTGAACTTCATCTTCAGAAACGTTACTGTCGAGCATAGCGAACCCAATTTGGCCTAATGAATTCGCCTGCATTGCCAGTACTCCTTCACAATGACACAAATTACATTTAAACCATATGGGGGATTTAAGGATTACTCCCTTCAGACAAGGAACTTTCATACTGGTCTTGGGTCCAATCAATTTCACAATGGCAGAGTTATGAACCCCTTCGCTCCCAGCCTTGCAAAGACTCCAGCTTCCATTTGCATCAGCAGTGATACCTTCCCAGTAGAGCATAGCAGAAACCGTAGACTTACCAATCCTTTATTCACTCTTTCTTTTCTATGTTTCTTTAAAAAATATTTAATGGACAGTTAATAATGGTGTCCCAGGCCCCATGTGAGGGCTGGCCTGAATGGGTTCACCTCTTCACACCAAGAATTCTTTCTTAGCTAATGTCCCAGGAGTGGGCATAAGGGATGAGCCTGATAACCCTATTTCCAGGCATAAGCACTAGAAAGAAAGGCAGAAATTTGGCTTAAAGCAGCAGGGTTAATCAGACACTCCAGCCCAAGGCCCTATGCTTGTGATGGCTGCAGGTGCCTGTTCCAGAGGGCTTGAAGTGTTTGTCCCCAAGAGTGGAAAACGGTTATTCATTTCTCCAGCCACCAGTAACTAAGCAGGTAGTAAATGCTCAGCCCCAGGCAAGGCACTACATTCTAACGGGAAGGGCACAGGTTCAGCAGCCAGATACAACTAGGGCTCAAATCTTTCACTGTAAAATGTATGAGAGGTACAATCTAGAGCAAGTTACTTAACTCATCTGAGCCTATAAAATGGGGATAGCTCTGAAGTTTGTTCAGAAAACTGAAAACAGGTCACATGTGAAAACACCCAGTACTGTGCCTGGTATAAGGTAGATTATCGGTCATTGTCAGCCCCCTTGTCCTTCTGAGCCTCAATTTCTTCATGAAATAATACCTCTCTCCCAAGGTTTTTGCGAAGATTGCCTCAGTTAATGTCTAGGAAAGCCTTTATGAACTGGAAAATGATGTAAAGATACAATTTTTTTTCTCACATTCTGAGTGGGGTTGGAGATAGAAACAAAGGTGGATGGGCCTCTGTTCTCAAAAAAGTTCACATCAGAAAGGAGCCATCATAGCGGGATGGCCTTGGTGCTATCCTGAAGGTGTGTTTACAGAGCTGCGGCTCTGAAGAGGTTGCAGTGACAGGGATGAGACTGGAGAAATAGTTGGGGCAAGTCTATGGAGCCTTGTGAACCGTGCTAAACTTTATTTTGAAAGTGCTGGGGAACTATGGAAATTTGTAAGCAAAAAGAATATAAACCAATATGTTTTTGGAAAGTTGACTGGCTGGCAGTGATGCCTTGAATGGCTTGGAGAAATAAGAGTGGAAAAAGATTAACCAAGGCTTGCAAAAAGGGTCCCATCCTTAGCTGGGGTGGCTTTGAGGGTCCCAGTCAATGTGATCTTGTCCAGCACTGTTCCTCTGCCAGCTTTCTACACACAACTTCAACTCTGAGTTCTTGGCCCAGTTTGAGCACTGCTTTTGTTTTTTTCCTCTCCTACTGTGAAGATACTCCTTGAACAACCTCTTTCCTCTGACCCTTTTTCCATACTGTGCTTTCTACTCATCTCCTCTCTTCTCTGAGAACTGTCCCCCAACTATTCCATGAGAGTGAAGGCCTGAGGCCAGGTGTCTACTCCAGGACCCTGACTCCAGGCCATGAGCAAATGGGGTAGACCCCTGACTAAAGCTGGACCACTCATGTTTTCTCTCCTTGGAATCTAGAATTGGGACTCAAAAGTGTACTAGCCAGATTAGGTTAGCCCTTGAACCAGAAAGACAGGTAAACTTATGAGCTGTGGGGCAAGAACAGTTGAGGCATGAGAATATCCACAGAACTGCTGCTGACAGCCTGACAATATGTGAGAGTCCGTGACAGCTATGCAGGATCCAACTCGGGATCATTCATACATCTCTAAGAGTTGTGGATCTGATGTACGGGAAGAATCAGAAAAGAATTCGAAATAGTATCAAGCAGAAAATAGGTTAGATGAATCTTCTCACGTAGGTAGGGCTTGCAGATTCATCAGACCTGAGAATCGGGAACAGGGGCTGGGAACACAAGCCACTGGAGAATCCCTTTTGGCGCTGGTATTCTGGACTCGGTGCCTCCACATCCAGACCCTTGGCCGAGCCACACCTCACCCAGCTGGTGTCACCCCAATTCAACTGGAAAGGTAACCCCTCATCACTTGAGGTGAGAGAATGGTTTTTTAAGTAGGCATTTTAAAACATACTCTCTTAAAATTAAGTGTACAGATGATGAAATATATCACATAGGATACAAATAATAAAATGAACATAGTATTAATATTTTTGGAGTAAGGGGGGGAAAACTAGGTATATTTGGCATTTGAAATACATTTAAGAAATGTGGGATATTAGTTTATCTAAAGATTAGCCTTGTGGTTCCAGTTTATAATTAAGTGCAGGTTGTGTTACTTATTTAGACAGGATTTTAAGTTTAAGGAGGTATGAGAAGAATTTTATGAGAAGAATTTTATCAAAATTATAAACATTAGTGGAACATTCCAGAAAACTTGGACTGTATTATATTTATAAGTTTAAGTCATCACATGCAGACAGTATACTATAGTACTTGAGGGAATGGCCTCTAAAGCCAAAGTGACAGGGTCTGAACCCTTATTCTACCAGTTACTAGTAATATGATCTTGGACAAGTTACTTAACCTCTTTGTGCTTCCATTTCCTCATCTGTCAAGATGGAGATAATGATAGCAGCTCTACTTTACTTGTTGTAGTCAAGTTTGAATGAAGCAATTTACAGATAGTTCTGAAACCAGGGTGGCTATAGTATGCCCTGTACAAGGATCTGCTGTTATTATTTGATTACATGAGAACAACTTGAATACTTGAAAAGTTTTCCTTATTAGACAAGGAATTTTAAAAGAAAACAAATATTTGACTTAAAAATTTGAAATATTCATAGGTGCTTGATTAAATGAGTTTGTAAAAAAAAAACCACACACACTGAGAAACCTAATTTCCATTGACAAATGGGTCAGCAGAGAGAGAGGAAAATGAAACAGATGTGCTGAGACAACCAGGAGACGCTGCCTGGGTTCCTCTTGTTTCAGGGTCTTTTTTTTTTTTTTTTTTTTTTTTTTTTTGTGGGGAGGCAGAGTCACTCTGTCTCCCAGGCTGGAGTGCAGTTGTGCAATCTCTGCAACCTCTGCCTTCCAGGTTCAAGCAATTCTCGTGCCTCAGCCTCCTGAGTTCTCGTGCCTCAGCCTCAATCCCACCTGAGCTGGGATTACAGGTGTGTGCCACCATGCCCTGCTAATTTTGGTAATTTTAATAGAGACAGGGTTTCACTGTGTTGGACAGGCTGGTCTCGAACTCCTCATCTCAAGCGATCTGCCCGCCTGGCCTCCCAAAATGTGTCTCAGGGTCTTGAAGTCCATCTGCCCCACCACTGCCTGTGGCTGCAGGAGACGCCCCTCTCTCTGTGTGCAGTCCTTGTGTGTCAGGCCTCATAGGGGCTCACTGAACCCTAATTGGGCTTCTGCTACTTATAGCTGCTTACATCTCTTTACAGGGCTGACCAGGGCTCCGTAGTACCTGGGTCCTGTTTGCCAGCTGTGAGCCAGGCCTCACCTGCTGTCCAGTACAGGCAAGAAAAGGAAGAGAGAACACTTCCTCCCCTTCTCCTTTGAGCTCCCTCAGTCCACAGCAAGGAGACAGGCCGAGTACCATTTTCTGACTAGGGGACCGTGGGCAAGGGATGTAGGCTCTTTGTGCCTCTATTTTCTCACCTTTGAAACAGGGATTGAAAGTGGTAGCTACTGCATAGATTTGTTGTATTAAGAGACAGGAGTTTACAAATGTAAAGAGCTTAGCACCAGCTGGTTCTAGTGCTTTGCAAGCCCTGCGTAAGTATTAGCCTTTAGCACTGCTCTGAATCTGAAAACAAGCAGGCGTGTTTCATACCCAACAATTGGGACGGGCCATTGGCTATGTGCATTTTAGTAGAGTTAGGAAATGTTCTCTAAAGAAAAGGAGAAATTACATTAAAATTGGAAGAAGGTACAAGGTCAGAAGAATTACAAGGGCCAGATGGCTTAGAGCTCTACAGAATCCCATGTTCACAGAGACTCCTGAAGTAGATTTTGAAAATAAAAACAAACATAACAGCTGCCTCTGCCTCAGAGAGTGTACAACCTTTAGCACGCGTCAGTTGGCTGTCCATCTGTTCACCCATCCATCTACCCAATATGTCCTATATAGACCGATGTGTTGTATTCATTTCACCAGGCACTGTACACCTCAGGAAGACTCAAGTTGCCAAGAAACTTTTGGTGCAGAAGGAGAGATAGATAAGCCAACAAATCATTTTAAAATGGAGTAAAAAGTACTCATCTGGGAGCCTACAAGAGAGCTATGAGCACTCACAGGGCAGACAAGAAGCCATGGAAGGCATTCTCCATCTGCATAATTGCCATTCTGAACCCATGTGGTTACGTCTGAAAACAATCTCCTCAATTTGAAGATGTGCAAGGCTTAGGAACCCCTTTTCATAAGTAAGGCACGTGTGAAGGAGTCTCCTGTTTTATCAGAAATGACCCATATTCAAACATTTTGACCTATAAAAACAGCCATTTATGTGGTTCATATAACATTTTTCTATGTCTTTTATTTCCTTTTTGGAGAATTCTCAAGACAATTTGAATTTCAATCCCTTAAGAATATTCACTTGGCGCTAACAGAAGAACTTTCCCCATTCTAACTTACCAGGAGCACAATTATTAAAATTCTTTGGTAAAAAGAGAACCAGTTAAGGAATCGCTTTATTTTCAAATCATTCATGGTCATATGTTGCCCTCTTGTGGTGGAAAATGGAAAAACAAGCAAGATTGCCAGCAGCCTCGTAAGGGGCAGTGCTTCACTCACCTCTGCCCAGAGCAGCCTTGCACAACTCTATGGGCTCCCTTCACCAAGATCACAAGGGAAATTGTGCCCCTTTAAGTTTTGTGGCAGGCAGTGGTTGGCCCTCCATCAAATAATTAAAATATGGTGGGACTCTGGGGCTTTTAAGAAGAGGAGAGAACTCCTGACCTCAAGTGATCCGCCTGGCCAACATGGTAAAACCCCGTCTCTACTAAAAATACAAAATTAGCCAGGCATGGTGGCAGGGCCTATAATCCCAGCTACTCAGGAGGCTGAGGCAGGAGAATCGCTGGAACCCGGGAGGCGGAGATTGCAGTGAGTCGAGATCGCGCCACTGCACTCCAGCCTGGGCAACAGAGTAAGGCTCTGTCTCAAAAAAAAAAAAAAAAAAAAAAAAAAAAAAGAAGAAGAAGAAGAGGAGAGAAATGGTGAGGTTATTTTCTGTCTGTCTCATTATTAAGATCATTTTCAATTATATGGTCTGGCCAAAATAGGATGTCCGGCTGTAAAGGACATGAAAGAAGGTGGCCACAAAGAGGGAACATCCTTTTCGATGGGGTCCTTGTAAGCCAGAGTTTCCATAAAATGCAGAGAGTGAAGCCTCCTTTAGAAGGTTCTGAAAGTAAATGAGGAAAGGTATGTGTGAAATGCTTCTCACAATGCCTGGCCATATAGTAGACACTCAATAAATGTTATCCAAACTACTAAAAACAGAAAGGGTATTGATAAGGACTGATCACATCCTTCTAACACATCCCCTGATCTCGAAAGCAGGTAAGCCTAGGTAGGAGGGCATAGATGCAATGGGTTTATCTGTGGATAAATACTGATTAAACATCTCCAATGGTCCAGGCACTGGAGGAATGGGACAGGTAGCAGAAGGAGGATTTAAAGAATCAAGTACAGTCCCTGCTGTAACCACTGGGCTCTGGAGTCAAACAGGCCTGAGCCTGAATCCTTGCTTTGCTCGAACCTTCTAGTGGTATATGGCCTTTCTGGCCTCAGTTTCTTTATTTGTAAAATAGTAAGGACAATGATGCCTGCTCAAAGGTAGTAGAAGATAAATTCAGTAGGCCACAATGTGCTGGGTCATGTTTCAAATGCATTACAAGCATTAACTTATTTAATCTTCACAACAACTGTATAGGGGCTTATTATTCTCAGCCCTTATCCTAGGGATAAGGAAAATGGGGGATACAGAGATTATGTCATCTGTCCGAGGTCAGGTAGATTGTGGAGATGGGCTTTGATTTAGTGAACTGTCTGTATATCATTCATTTTACATATAGATTTGATTCAGCCAACCCAAGTTAGAAGGCTTGCTCTAAGAAGACACCAGGTCATACGCAGTCTGTCTCCAGAGCCCAGACATGTAACTATCATGCTACCTTGCCTTGTAATGTAATATGCAGCCAGGTGAACAGCAAAGACTCAATAAACAAGAGCTTTTAAAGCATGTGGGTAAATGTGGGCATCTGTGGGAATTCCTTAGATGGGCAGTGGCTCATGGGGGCAGCAGCAAGGCATTCTCTCTTGGCCTCAATCAAGGCTTCAGTGAGAGCAAGGCTTTAGGGATATAAAAAGTTGGACTTTCCTTAAAAAGTTTAGGAACCCCTAGACTGTAGCGCTACATAACTATTAAAAAGGGTCTTGAGGAATAGAGCACAGTGGAAATCCAGGTTCAAATTCCAACTCTTGATACTTTTTAGTATCTTGGAGATCTTGGGCGAATCACTTAGCTTCTATTTCTGCATCTGTAAAACAGAAGTCTAAATACCAATCAATTAAGAGTTGTTGAAAAGACTATATGAGATCATGTAAAGTGCTCAGCACAGTGAATATCATTACATGTAGGTTTTCATGCAGGCTTAATAACAACTCAGTGGTGTAGGTATTCTCACTATTCCCATTTTACTGATAAGGAAACTGAGGATTAAAGAAGTTACACGAGTTGCTCCAGGACTCACAATAAATTGGAAAGGCAGGCTTCAACACCAGTTTTAAAGCCAAAGCTCACGTTTCTCATCATTGGGCTATGTATGGCTCCTTTGGATGATCAAATTTGTTTAAACTTGAAGAAAATTAAGAGGAAATAGATCCCAAGTGACTCCCAAAGGGCTACTGCCCAAGTGCAAAGTATATGTGCTTTGGTGTCTGTACAAAACCCACCTGCATTTGGTGGACAGAGTATAGATGTCATGGTTGAATGGTGCACTACTCCCGCCCCCTCCAAAAAAAAAAAAAAAAAAAGATACATTGAAGTCTTAACCCAGGAACCTGGGGATGTGACCTTATTTGGAAATAGGGTCTTTGCAGATGTAATCAAGTTACAATGAGAGCATACTGGATTAGGGTGGCCCTAAATTCAATGACAGGATTTAGGAGAGGGAAATTTGGAGACAGAGACAGAAGAGATACATAGGGAAGAATGCCACGTGAAGACAGAGGTAGAGATTGAAGTTACACTGCACCAGGGATTGCTAGCCACCACCAGAAGCTAGGAAGAGGCAAGGAAAGAGTCTCCCCTAGAGCCTTCAGAGGGAGCATGGTCCTGCTGTCACCTCGATTTCAGACTTCTAAGCTGCCAGAAGTGCAAGAGAATAAATATCCATTGTTTTAAGCCACACAGTTTGTTACAGCAGATAGCAGCCCTAGGAAACTGCTAAGTGCTTAAAAAAAAAAAAAAAAAAAAAAGATAAGCCAACTCCTTTTGCAGCAGAGTGGCTGGTCTGAGTGACAGGCAGTCTGGGTAGACTATTCCTCTACCCTGCCCCCCAACCCCCTACACCTTTTCTTTGCCTCAGAGTGTTTGGTTTCTAGCATTAAGTAACCCTGCATGGGCCATGCTCCATATACACAAACAAGCTTCCTCCTTTGCTCTGTGGTATGGAGAGACTGCATCTCACTCATTTTTAACCTCAGTACCTGGAATGGGGTTGGGCACATACAGATAGTCAATAAATGTGTGAGTGACTAAAATATTTAAGTGAGAGCATCAAACGACCCCTGTAATTAGTGTTTCTGAGCAAGGAGGCGAGTTTTCAGGCAGGAGTCAGGAGTGGTTTCCCTTCCTGAGACCAACCTCAAATAGAAAATTACTCCCCTAATCACAGACAACTTCCCAAAGCACAAGGTGTCTACAACAGAGGGCACTCTGCCTGGAACTGGCATTCCAAGTAGTTGCAATAGCACAAAGTCTTGTGCAACAATTACGAACAGAACTAGAAACTGCAATAGTGAAGGAAGTAGAGCCAGTTAGTCTGCATGGTTGAGGCTGAAAGCTTATAATTGCTTCCCAGGATAACTGCAGGCAGAGTGATGAAGGAGGGGTCTTCATGGCGCTACTCAACATGAGGTAGAAAAGTGGTGAGAGTAAGAGAGAAAAAGAGATGAATGCAAGCGAGAAAAAGAGGGTCCCAGCTGACCTAGCATCCCAGCCCCTTTCCTAATATTAGAGCAGTAGGATACAACACAACCACACTGTATGTCAAAATTTTTTTTGCGTCTATAAATGTATAATTTAACTTAGTGAACTATATATCAATCATTCTACGTATGGGTTCAGGCCAGTTGACCCAAGTTAGAAGGCCTGTCCCAGTGAAGACAGTAGGTCACATGCAGATGGTGTCACGTGTCACGTAACCTGCTGGTTAAAGAAAGAGAGTCAGAGCAAACTGATAGAGCCTTTTTTTTTTTGAGACAGAGTTTCGCTCTTGTTCCCCAGGCTGGAGTGCAATGGTGTGATCTCGGCTCACTGCAACCTCTGCCTCCCAGGTTCAAACGATTCTCCTGCCTCAGCCTCCCAAGTAGCTGGGATTACAGGCACGCGCCACCATGCCCGGCTAATTTTTGTATTTTTAGTAGAGATGGGGCTTCACCATGTTGGCCAGGCTGGTCTCGAACTTCTGACCTAAAGTGATCCACCCACCTTGGCTTCCCAAAGTGCTAGGATTACAGGCCAGGCGTGAGCCACCACGTCCAGCTCCTGATAGCCTTAATATGTTACTGGGCAAATACTTCAACCCAATCCTCCTTACAAATAGCATTTTCTGAGAAGGAGTCTCGCTCTGTTGCCAGGTTGGAGTGCAGTGGTGCAATCTCGGCTCACTGCAACCTCCACCTCCCCTGGTTCAAGCGATTCTCCTGCCTCAGCCTCCCGAATAGCTGGGACTACAGGCATGTGCCACCACACCCAGCTAATTTTTGTATTTTTAGTAAAGACAGGGTTTCACCATGTTGCCCAGGATGGTCTTGATCTCTTGACCTTGTGATCTGCCTGCCTTGGCCTCCCAAAGTGCTGGGATTACAGGTGAGAGCCACTGCGCCCGGCCTACAGATAGCTTTTTAGGTTTTTGATCCTGTCTCCAAAATCCTCCCTTCCCTCAGGGCCATAAGAGAATTCCCAGGCTGGGCCTTAGGATAATTCCCAGACTGGGTCTTATGTTGGCCTGTGTATAAAAGAAAGCCTCAGGGGTTAAGGACCTGTGTGACCTCAGGGGTTAAGGCAGCTGAGTCACCGGCGGCCTCCCTCTTCCCTTCCTGCAATGCTGGAGTTAGGATGAGTCCTACTTTACAGTCTAAGGCTGTGCTTTTACTTTCTACAAGGATCTCCTTGTTTTGCAAGGGCTGCTCCCACTACACAGAATGTCTTCTTCATACCCCCATGTCTACACTTTTTCCTGGCTTCCTCTTTATCATCCTTCAGGACTTGGCTTAAACACATCTCCCCTGGGAAGCTTCCTCTGACCACCCCTGCGTGTTCCCCTCCCTAGGGCCCCCAATACACCCTAACGAGGCACTTCTCACACTATATTGCAATGCCCACTTGCGGAGACCGTTTTATGCACTACTGCATGCCCCAAATACACAGCACTGTATTAAGCAATAAGAAAACATTCAGTAAATGTTTCAGGGATGGAAAGCACCCCATCAAATCTTATTCACGGAGATTTCTGGAGCAAGTGGACCTAATCAACTATTCACCAGAACCACTATCCTAAAACCATAAGGGGTAGACCTGGCATACAAACACCAAACACCGTAACCAGTACTTAAGCTACTCAGGATCAATTTTGCTTACTTTGGGGCTGGCTGCTGTGTTCTTTTGAGAAAACTTAAGTATCAGGCTGACGACATATTACTGAAAACCTAAAGTTATACAGAACAGTTCTCCCTCCCCCCAGGCTCTGTGCATGAAACACTCTCTGTAAGAAAGATATTTCTGTTCTGAAATTTATAAGCTAATAGGTGTAGAGCATCTTGACAGGTCATTGGCAAATCTGGGAAGAAGAGAAGTTAAAATGAGGGGGTAATGGCCGGGAAACCTTTTGCAAGAAGTTTAAAGTGTCTGTATTTCCCATCAAAACCCCCAACATATTAATTTCACAAATGAGTAAAGAAGCAGCTCAAGCAATTTGCCCAAGATTAAACAGCTAATAACTACCATGTCCAGGAATCAAACTCAGATCTCACACCAAAGATTATATATACTTTTAACATAAATTTTAACATAAAAGATGTAATTTTGATATTCCACTAAGATTCTCAAAATGGCAAAACGCCTGTAACTTTTTTTTTTATTATTCTTTAGCACATCTGAATTTTGGACTTTGAGAGAACTAGACGAAACTGTGTGTAGAGATTTGTTTTTGGCAAGAGGCTTACATTAGTCCAGTGGAATGACTTTCCTGAAGCAACATTACAGTTTCAAAAACAACCAAATAATTCATATTTGAGTGGCACCTTAGAATTCACAAAACCTTTGTATGTACATTATTTCATTCTATCCTCATAAAATTCTCTGATATAGCATATATTGGAATTAATCCCACTTTACTGGTGAGAAAACAGTTTTAGATAAGTTAAGCAGTATACATGATATTGTACAATTAATTATGAAACTGAAATTTGAAGCAAAATCTCAAAGTCTTCACTTCCAACCCACTACTATGAACTGAGGTTATGTGGTAAAATTAGGTAGCCACCAAGTGGTCTGACTTCCATTTGGAACCCATTGTAAGTTGAAAATATCATCAGTCAAAAATGCATCTGATCCACCTAACCTACCAAACATCATGGCCTGGCCTAGCCTACCTTAAATGGGCCCACAACACTTACCTTAGCCTAAAGTTAGGGAAAATCATTGAACACAAAGCCTAATTTATAATAAAATGTTGGAAGATCTCGTGTAATTTATTAAATACAGTACCCTGTATTGTACATTATTGGTCGTTTACCCTCGGGACCGCGTGGTGGACTGGGAGGTGTGGCTCACTCCTAGAGTATCATCCTGCATTTTGCTAGCCTGAGAAAAGATCAAAATCCAAAATCCAAAGTATGGTTTCTACTGAATGTGTATCACTTTTACACCACTGTAAAGTTGGACAACTGTAATTCATCATTCCATGGTAAGTCAAGGACTGACTGTAATAGAATTCGCACCCTGTTGTAACTACCCATGGAGTGCCTGTCTCCCCCACCAGCATGAGCACCCTAAGCACAAGGACTTTGTCTTACTCATCCTGTACCCCCAACCACTGTGCACAGTGCCTGGCATACAAAAGTGTTCCGCAATGCTTGTCAAATGAACACATTCACATGTCCCAGGAGGTTTCCAGAAATGCCAGCATACATTTCTTGCAGCTTCCCATCTGCAGCAAGACATTGGCCTGGGCCCAGTAACCATTCCACAGATCCATCCTGAAATATCCATCCTTAGCTAGCCACTGCTAGCTGGTGACTCAAAACAGGTGAAGATCTCAGATTGATGGGCCTGTGGCTGAGATTTAGAGCAACTGTGAACCTCTGCCTGACAGAAAAAGTCCAAGGGATAATGTGTGGACAGAGGCAGGATAGGACAGCCAAAAAGTGAGGGTGGTAAGAGGCACAAAGACCCTCCCTAGGCCCATCTTCTTATCCCCTCCCTCTGCCTTCCAATGGCCTCAGTATTTGGAATAATCATAATAATCATAGAATCATCAGAATCTTCTCTTTACTAACCAGTTACAATGTCAGGCCCTATAACAAGTGCTTCACAAATTTTATTTCATCCTCACAAGAATCTTTCAAGGCAGATATTACGATTACTCTTTCGAATACCACTTCTACATATGGAGGAGCTGTCTATGGCAAACTGTGGGGTAAGTGATTTTCTCATGGATTTGACCACAAAGCGGTTAGAGTGAACTGTGTGGCCCAGCCCAGAGAGGAAGCTGGGCTTTCATGACAGGTGCCAGTCTTATCCCTGATTCCATCTGAGTTTTCTACACTGATTTCCCTTTTGCTTCATTTCAAAATCTTCCTTTAAAAAGCACTTCATCTTGTTCCACAGAATGCATTTTTCAAAGTCCCCATGGAGGTGGTATAACCTAATAGTTTTATTGCTAAATCAAAAGGCCTTTCCCTGTCCCCACCCAGTTATACCATCCCAGATCCATTTTCTGGCCTCTGAAGTCAGGGGACAATTTCACACAGTCGAGGTGGGCACTGGCTTAGCATTTGGGTTTCAAGTTCTATGGTTTAGAGCTGACAGGACTCTCTTCCTCGGTCAGGGCCGGGTATTTGGCCATTTTGTCGGTTTATATTTTAACAAACCTTCCCATTTTGTACAGCTCCTAAATGCCTCACCAAAGCAGGTTTAAACGTTTACCAGAATGGAAGAGAACTGTATCCCCAGGCCACTGCGGTAGGCTGCAGAAAGCAGAATGCCAGACTCTGCCTCAGCAAGAACTGTCTCTTAAGCTCCTCTCTACAGGTCAATGTGCTTGAACAGTATAAAATACAGTAACTCCCTTTAAACAGTTATGCCAGTTGAGTACATTCATCTCAATTAGCATTATCTCTTTCAAAACAATCACCTTGGGAAACAACATATTTATTCAAACAATGCTGACACCTCTCTAACTCTTTTAGTGGGTAACTGTTTTTACTGTCTGCGGCACTTTCTTTGAAAGTCCTCAGTCATGACAAATCTCATCCTTTGAGAATAGATTTGAACTTTGGAAAAAGACAAAAATTGGCTGGAGCCATGTCTAATGAATAAAGTGGGTGATCAAATCTTGTTACATCGCTTTAGGTGAAAAATGAGGCATGACTATAAAATAATGTGACTGGTTTTCCTAGGTGACCCATAAACTGACTGGCTGAAAGATAATTCCCATAGAGGAGTTTCAAATGCTTTGAGCACTACACGCATCACTGGAGTGCGTGCATGGTTCCCAGAGTGGCGATTTGGCAGGGTACGATACTAATTTGGATATATAAGTTCAAATATGTTTATAAAAAAAGAAATCTGATTGCTTACCCTCACGAAAATGAAGAAGCTATTCTGGAGAAATGTCGCCTCCTTTTTTTGACAGCCTGGTCTGCTGTGGACAGAGAGTCTGCCAAGAAAGACACACTTATCTTCTGCAGAACGCCTTCGCTGGGCACACCACCCATCCCAGGCACACTCGCCTATCCCAGGCTGGCCCTGAGCTCCCATGACCATCTCTTTTTCCTTCTGTGTTAGCTTTTATAATACCTAATGGTTACTGTCTGGTTTTGCATGTGTCAATCTTCCCCATTCAACTGGCAGCTCCTTGCGAATGAGGACATCTTTAACCCTCCCATGCTCAGGACAAGGCACACAGAAGCATGGGATACTAATTCCACTGCTCCTGACACAGCCCTTACTTTGCTTCTCATGATCCTGTGGTTTCACTTGGTAAATGGAACTTCCCCTGCCTGGCAACCAAAACTGGACATTTGGTCCATGTAAAGTCTACCCACACAAACGTAGAGACTGAAAGTAGACTAACGGCTGCTTAAGGCTGAAGGGGTAGGGAAGCAAGGGAGATTGGCTGCTAATGTAAGGGGTTTCTTTTAGGATCATGGAAATATTCTGAAGTTAGATTGTGGTGATGGTTGTACAGTTCTGTGAATAGACTAAAAAATATTGAATGATTCACTTTAAGTGGGTAAATTATATAGTATGTGAATCATACCTCAATAAAGTAGTTTAAGACTCGTACAATGGCAATGTTTGTGCCTTGGTTCCTTTCTAAAGTGGGGTTGGAATAATTGACGGCCAAGGTCTCTTCCAAAAATCTAGCTGCCCATATAAAATTAAGTTCTGTCTTCTCTCTGTAACACTACCACTTGAAAATGACAGTGATTTTCACCAGATTTGGAGGGAATGCTTAGGACAGTATAAACTATTGGTTGTTTCCCAACATCAATTCTCTGTTTCATTTGGTTTGTCAAATCCCCAATGTTTAGCTTGACAGATGACACCCAGAATAAGACTGATATTTCACAGCCCTCCTTGCTGCTAGAGGTAGGCTTAGCTAAGTTTTGATTAATGCGACATGAGTGCAACAGATATGTTCAATCTCTGAGAAAGGTGTGCCTTCCTCCATCTTTCTCCCCTGTTGGCATGTTAGCTGGCATGAAGGTAAGGTGGTGGGCAGCCATCCCGGACCTAGATAAGAGCAACACTCCAGGGAAGGCTGCACAACAGAAGAAAAGGGGCATGGGTCCCTGTGTATAATGGAGCCACACATCAGCCCTGGACTGCCCACACCCAGGATATGAAAGGAAGGGTTCCATTACTATCAACTTTTAAGTACTTTATTTGGAAACTCTGCTAACAGCAGCCAAACCTACATTTTAACAAAAAAGTTGGTATTCTGTACCAAAACAGAATCTAAAACATTGGCATCAGCATGCTTTTTATGGCATGGAAAAATTTGTTGCCTCTGATAGCATGGAAGGCAGACCACTGGCCAACCAAATTTGTAGCTTGAGACAAATGGTTGGCAGAATTCAGAACATGAGTGCTTGTCAACTACCTCTTGCTACAATAAAGACGGGAGCTCAGGCAAGGGCTGGCCATTCTGCAGAGAGAAATAAAGGCAGGTTGGGTTCTGCTAAGGGAAGTTTTGTTTTTTGTTTTTACTGTGGCCTGCAAATGATACCGTCCAAGTCCAGGAATTTGTGCCATCACAGAGTTGAGATGACAACTATTTGTGAAACCAAGTTAAATCAGCTATACAGTAAGCAGCAGGCTTAGCAGAGAAGGCTGTGTCTAAAATCTTTCCCAGGGCTAGGTGCGGTGGCTCACACCTGTAATTCTGACACTTTGAGAAGCCAAGGTGGGTGGATTGCTTGAGCTCAGAAGCTGGAGACCAGCTTGGGCAACATGGCAAAACCTCATCTTTACAAAAATACAAAAAATTAGCCAGGTGTAGTGGTGCATGCCTGTAGTCCCAGGCTGAGGCTCAGGTGGGAGGATCACTTGAGCCTGAGAATTCGAGGCTCCAGTGAGCCATGATCACACCACTGCACTCAGCCTGGATGGCAGAGTGAGACCCTGTCTCAAAAAAATAAAAATAATAAATAATAATAAATAAAATATTCCCCAGGATTCTCTGTCAGACAATGGGAACTAGCCCACCAGCAAAATCAGATTAAGGATACTGCCTTCGTACTAGCCTATCTTTTCCACCTGTCTCAAGGTAGCCATCAGTAATAGAGAAATCAAGGGAGGCACAAAGCATCCAATAAATACAAGTCAAAGTTTTTAGGTTTCAAAACTATCTAGGTGAGAACTTTCACTGTGATTACCAGCACATGGAACTGATCAGGATAGGCCAGAAGACTACTAAATTTGTGAAGGTACTGTACAGTGAAAGAGCCAGGAGCCTGGCCTGCAAAAGTCACCCCTGCCTCTTTTCCTCCAACTTTCATCAGCAGGAAGCAGGTTACATAAGCTGTACAGCCCCAAAAGGACTTTTAGGGCCTTCTCCAATGTCCACTCTTACTCAATAAATATATTTACATGAGCAGGTGGATAGAGTTCCTCCCTGAGGGTGGAACCAGGGTTCCCTGTGGACCTACTCCACTGCCAGGACAGGAGTGTGCATTCCCAGCCAGGACAATGCGACAATGTGAACACTCCTATGGCTAGTGACTGGTCTACATATGTAAATATACAACTATATCCCCTCTCTTTACACACACACACACACACACACACACACACACACACACACACAGAGTTATGTAACTCCCTCCCTATATATATAGTTATACATAGTTATGTAGTGGGGACAGGGGGCCTGATAATTTGTCTTTAACTTTACACAAGGAGCCACACATGGGCTTGATGGAGAGAACTATGAACACTGAGTACTGACTGGGTAACTGGAAGGAATCTGGGGTGCCTCCACTGGAAAGGAGTGCTGTGTTTCAATGGGCAGGAAGAACAATGGGCATGGCTGTCTTCATGGCCAAAGAGGTGGACCATGGCACATATTTCTAGTGTTCCTTCTCTTCTTTAAGGTAACAGAACCACTCATTTTCAGGGGGCCATATGCCTCTCAATATAGAGTCTACATTTTCAGCCCTTCTTGCAAGTAAATGTGGCCTGCATGTTAGATCTTCCCAGTGGATTGTGAGCAATAGTCAGGTACACAATTTCCTGATTTTAAAGGGGGAAGACACTCTGCCCCATCTCTCCCCTGTGCCCACTAGATGAAACATGGATGTGGTAGTAGAAGCCATCTGCAACCAGATGGGCAAGGGCAACACCTTCAAGATGGCAGAGCAACAGGATTAAAGAGGCTGGGTCCCAACATCATGGATCCATCATGCTAGTCTTGGCCTGCTGACCCACAATATTCCACAAGACAGAAAAACATCTTGTTTAATCCACTGTTGTTTTGAGTGTCTGTTACAACAGCTGATTGAACCTATAAAATCGTAAAAATTCCTTATAGGCTACGTGGTGTACATCAAATTCACTTTGGAAGGCACCTCAAAGTATACTCTTTCAGAGTGGTCCAAACAGATCTGCAGCGGTAAGATCAAGCCTTGACAGGGAAATCTGAGATTTCAAATATAAGCCCGGTAGAAAGGCACAGGGCATAAGTGCTCCAAGTTGCAGGTGATGAATCATGATTGAGATGATTCTCATATGTGCACTCTGAGTAGCATCAAGAATGTGCAGTGTAGTCACATCATACAAGTATTTATCTTGCACAAATGTAACTGTTGTATATAGAACTTCCAGGGAGACAAAGAAGACAAGAGTGAAATTTAAACAGCATGGGCAATTCTGCCACCATTTCACCCAGTGACCACAGGCCCCTGCTCAGTCTTAGTCCCCACGTGCTTCTCAAAGTATGGGTATCTTGAGTGCACTTCTGCTATTTAAAGACATACCTGTTGTGTTACATGTTGTTCTCCAATGTGGTACTTTCCTATGGGACTTTAAGGATGATTTTGACTGAAGTTTCATCTTCCACTCGAACTCTAGAACCCATCCCACTGTAAAATGCAATTTCCTCTATTAACTAGATGATAGTTAATGGCTTGCCCCCATTGATCCTGGGAAGCCATCTGGTCTTACGATTCTGTTCTACTGACTCAGTTTTCATTTTTTATGTGGAACATTTAAGGAATAAAAACCAATGTGCCTCGAGGTGGATTTTGCCTCTTGTTTTACATTGTGATTCCAGAAACTGGTTTTAATTCAACCCAGTAGTGAGAAAAATAGCTCTGACTTACATAGCAAGATCTCCGCACTTCCCTACTCCACATACTCATTTCCTGCTTAAAACTGCCCAGATTAGCATTATCCTCAGCCACTCTCAGTGGGAACCTGGTATTTGGAACATGGCCCAACACCCCTTACATTCTAGGAAGAGTGGGGGCAGTTCCCAGGCTCTTTTCCTGACTTTGTGACCTGGGACACCTGAAAGGTTTGTTGTAGACAGGAAATAAGGCCATGCATGTGGCAGTAACTTGTAAAATAGAAAACATGAGGTACATTTTTAGTGCAGTTGCTCCTTGCAGAGTATGAAACAAAAATACGGAGTTGGGGGGCAGTGAGGGGAGCTTTCTCTTAAACATGCCAAATTCTCTCACCTATGGTTCTGCCTGGAACATTCCTCTCTGCTCTTCACCTTCAGGTCTGGTTTTAGTTGTCACTTCCCTACTCCCTCTGCTGGAACCAGGCACGCCTCCTTTATGCTTTCCTAGCCTCCTTTGCTCACCTCCATCCCAGTGCTGACAGCACCTTGTGGCAGTTCTCTGCTTGTCCGTAACCCACCTAGCCTCCAACACAAACCTTCACCTTAAGTCCCAAGCATGTGAGGACTGGGCCTGTATTGTTCTCTGCTGCAACCTACGAGATCACCATGAAGTTTCACCAATCAGCTCATTTTGAGCTCCCTGCCAGTTTACAATCCTCACACTTGTCGGTTTAGCCCCCAAATGGCTATGACACCATGCAGATTAAGCCCTCCGGACTCACACAATGTAGTAGCCATTTCAATTCACTCTTGAGCAACATTTCAATTCACTTGTGAGCACATTGGAGTACAACATACAGGACTAATATTTGGTCAGAAGGACTTTTGTCACTTACCTCATAACTCTACATGTGGTGACCTGGTTAGAAAATACTTATTGGGCTGAATCAATCACACTCAAAGCAGCCAAGAACAAATTCATATATTAGTTGCCAAAATAAGCCATATGGTATACATGGATATTAAAACAAAATTTCACCTTCCCTGCATGCCCTTAATGGCAGTTTAAAAAGAAGAAACTTAAATCTGAGAAGATTCTTGTATAATATAGATGGTCCTATCAACCCAGCATGGTATAGATTGGTATTTCCCAAAATTCTTCTGTTTGGGGTCCTTTTACAAACTCTCAGTACTCATATATTAAAAGCTCTGAAACTCCTACTTAACATTGCCCAAGCCAGTTTCTCCATGCTATTAACCAGCATATTATAACAATCCCCAGAACTACTTGCTCTGGGATATATTTATTTATGGAAAAGACCAACCAGATGAAATATCAGAAGACTGGAGTCCCTGTTCCAACACCATTAGCATACTGGACAAGTCAACCAAATATTTCTGTCCTACCACCTATCGCATTTCATCCTTCAAAAACACTTTGGGGTACTCATAGAGAAAAAAAGAACATCTTTCCAATATGAAAACATAATTTTCCAAGTGTTTCTGATTCATGATTAAATCTTTATTGGCATGACTTAATTAGCATTCCCCACTGTGTTAATTCAGGGCTGTCTTTATGCCTTGGGGAATCAGCTCAGTGGTGATTTGGAGAAGCTATGGGAAGGAGGACTTCCAACAGCTGAAGTTTAAAAAACTAAACAAAACAAAACCCAGCTTACATCCATCCGCGTATCCCAACACTAAGCACAGCCTTCTCACCCTTTCCAAACAACTCCCTATGCTGCCCCCTTGTGATTTCTTTCCCCTTTGAGGACCCCAGGGGAGAAAAGTCTTCTCCGCAGTCCTCCCAACTGAAGCCCTCGGCTAGCCATTACTTACTTAACACACTCAGGAGCCATTTTTCAAAGGTGGATCCCAACTGTGAGCACAGCTTCAAAGTCAGCAGAATAACTGGCTATGTCTGTGTGGGCCTCAAGGGAACTTGGAGGAGAATAAAGGGATCAGTTCAAACTTTCCTGCTTCACTTTCTTAGAAGTGTAGCTCACTCAAATCAATCTGCTGAAAGCTCTTCTAAAGTCTAAAGGGGTCCAGACTACACCACTGTGACATAAAAATTATTTTGAGCCAGTCATTTAAAAATAGGCTTTTTACTAAACTCCTTCATCTGTCTTAAAAGCAGTGTGCCCCAAAGGAACTCTGGAGTTTCACAACCAGGGAAGATCGACTCATTACCATAACTAAATAGACACTGGCATAAAACTACCACATCTCCTATCTAGTCTCTTAAGGGCTGATTTATCTCTCCTAAAGTCGTGGTTTCCAGCAAATGCTCTTCTCCTCTTCCGCCTTCCCCTACTGAGATGATGTATAGGCCCCCAAGTCTAACTGCCTCCTGTCACATTTTTCTGTAAACTCCCACAAATGTCTTTTTGTTGCTCATTTGTCTTTTACATTTAATTTGCAAGCCCCCAGTATATAACCTAGGAGGGTAGATGAAAAGTTTTCCCTACCCTAGAGTCCAAGAGAGAAAAAAATTATTGTTAAATATTTGATCAATGTTGATTACACATCTTATTATCCCAAGATAAATTTATAATAGAATAATACTTATAATCTATATGCAAAATGTCATAGTATATTGGGACCCTTTGTACGATAAAATGTATGCTACATTTATTTACCTGAGGCATAATTTTATAACATTAAATGATTATATGTGTTTATCCTTTCCATCTAACTCTTCCTCTGTCTGGAAGTCTTTTCACGGATATCTGCATGGCTCACTCCTTCACTTCATTCAGGTCTCTGCTCTCATGAGGTTTATCAGACATCCCAATTGCTGCACTAAAAAGAGCAGCCCATCCTCTAATGCTGTCCCCTTTACTGGGTTTTATTTTTCTTCAGAGAACTTATCTTCATTTGACACGTTTATCATCTGTCAGGCTCAACGAGAACCCCACAGCTCTGTAGAGCAGAAACTTTGTTCAATTCACTGTTGTATCCGTAGTACCGAGAACCTAATAGGTGCTCAATAAATATTTATTGAATGAGTCACTCTTTCCAAAACAGTAGAGCACTCTTCCCTGTTATCTTGTTTACAAAAACAAAACAAACCCTCTATCTCAGAAAGGGAGAACGTTTTTCTTTTTCTTCTACAAAATTTCATGAGCATTAGATTTGATTAAAAAAGAAAAAGGAAAAAGATGTTTCACCAAGAGCATTAGTGAAGCCAAGAAAGAAAAAGTCCCAAGCAAGCTGATTTAAGTATTTTATGTAACAAAGATTGTTTAGTGACTAAGTGTCCGGCTCTAAAAAAGAGTCCTGCCTATTCTCTCTTTCTCACTTCTCTCGGCAGGTCCCCTTCCTGAAGGGTAGCCCCATCTTCTATCGCACACTATCCGCTCTTCAAGACATAATTGGTTTTAGGTGCAGGCACCTCTTCTTTCCCAATCCAAAATGTTCTCTCTCTCGCTGAGCTCAGCATGTTTTCTAATTCTGTTCTTTGTATGTCTATGTGTTTCTTCTGTCTTATCTCCCCCAAAAGATTGTATGCTCCTGGATGGAAAGGACAATAGGTTATCCATACTGGCATTCAGTGCTGATTCAAAATCAGAAAGTGTAAACAAGGGGAGAACAATTGTTCAAAGCCCACCATAATTCATTTTATATTTATTTATTTATTTATTTTTGAGACAGGGTCTTGCCATCGCCAAGGCTGGAGTGCAGTGGTGCAATCACAGCTCACTGAAGCCTTGACCTCACAGGGTGAATGTGATCCTCCTACCTCAGTGTCTCAAGTAGCCGAGACCACAGGCGCCCGAAACCACACCAGATTAAGTTTTTTTATTTTTTGTAGACAAGGGGTTTCACCATGTTGTCCAAGCTGGTTTGGAACTCCTGGGCTCAAGTGACCCACTCAAGTGCGGTAAGCCACCATGCCCGGCCCCACCATAATTAAAAAGTGGTTTTTTTTTTTTTTAAAGTGGGGGTTACAGCATGTTAAAAAGTGACTTGGGCCGGGTGTGGTGGCTCACGCCTGTAATCCCAGCACTTTGTGAGGCCGAGGCGGGCGGATGATGAGGTCAAGAGATCCAGACCATCCTGGCCAACATGGTGAAACCTCGTTTCTACTAAAAATACAAAAATTAGCTGGGTATGGTGGTGCACGCCTGTAGTCCCACCTACTCAGGAGGCTGAGGCAGAAGAATCACTTGAACCCAGGAGGCGGAGGTTACAGTGAGCCAAGATCCTGCAACTGCACTCCAGCCTAGGGCAACAGAGCAAGACAGTGTCTCAAAAAAAAAAGTGACTTGAAGGTGTTTCTCTGCCAAGTCATCCCTGCCCCAGGGATATAAGGTTTAAAGTTAAAGTAGCAAGGTGTCTCCACCTAACTCCAACTACCCAAGAGTCTCAAAACCTTCCCCTTCCTGCTCAGTGTTCTTTTATTTCCTTTTCAAGAAATGTGAACTGCTATAGCCAGAAACATGTTCCTTCAGCAGTGTTTGCAGATGGATCTCATGAAAGTTCAGAAAAGGGTGGTTCACTTCAAGCGGGAGACAGTGGAGTTCCTCCACTATAAGGCGAAGTTTGCAAAGTCCCACTAGTTTGCTCTGAGAACATGAGACCCTTAACCTCTGGGTCATGTGTTTGAGGTCCATTTTGGTGCAGGCATCACCTGATGCTAAAAAAGGATCATTGTTTAGTGTGGGGTTCTTAACTTGGGATGCTTACATCCCCTTCCCCTACCTCAAGAGGTCCTTGGGTAGAATTCAATGGGATCCATGAATATGAATGACAAAATAAACAAAACAATCTTTATTTTCACTAACATCTAACTGAAATTTAGCACCTCCTTTTATTATAAATGTAGGAAGCAAACCACAGTATTATTACTACTACTGCTACTATTACTACTACTACCTAGGAATTTATCATCAATAAAAATTATATTTTCATATCCTATTATAGTTATCTCAAAATACTGAGATTGCAGACGTCTCAAAACATCATTTATACTCACCACTACTTTGAAGTAAGGCAGTATTAAATCCTCCACAAATCTTCCTATGTCAGTAAAGAAGCATTATCTTGATATATCACAAATCTGGTTTTTTAATATTTTGATTATACTTCAATATAATTTTGCTTCCTTTGTAATGGTTTGTATTTTGTTTTATTCACTTAAAAATAAAAATACTCTGCCCGGCACGATGGCTCACACTTGTAATCCCAGCACTTTGGGAGGCAAGGCCGAGGCAGGCAGATCGCTTGAGCCCATGAGTTCGAGATCAGCCTGGGCAACTTGGTGAAACCCCATCTCTACAAAAAATATAAAACAATTAGCCAGGCATGGTGGCATGCACCTGTAGACCCCAGCTACTTAGGAGGCTGAGGTGGGAGAATCAACTGAACCTGGGGAGACTGAGGCTGCAGTAAGCCACGATCGCGCTACTGTGCTGCAGTCTGGGCAACAGAGTAAGACCATGTCTCAAATTTTTAAAAATATATATTCTGAGAAGGGGCTCCACAGTTTGCACAAATGAGTAGCAAAGGAGCCGTGACAAAAGAATCCCTGTAACTTGACAACAACAACAACAACAAATACCCTCCTTGCTCATAAGTTCCCACAAAGGTATTTATTTTATTTTGCTTAGGGTGGTGATAAATCATCCTTCAAAACATGCACACATTCATTTGTGAGCTTAAACTCTCCTCAATTTCTGATGCTGGTCATTTGCAGATCATTAGACCCAGAAGTGATTTTTAGAGACCAGGAATAGTTTCAACTAAAGAATTCGTTGGGATTCTCTTGGACTTTTCAGTAACATGGGCCAATAAAATTCCTTTTTCACTTGGAGTAATCCAAGTAAGGTTTTTGTCATTTGTACCCAATTGGGCTCTGACTAACACGGAACCCCTCTATATTGGTTGAGGCTGTTGAGGATTAGAGGAAGGTGGGAGACCATCTGGGTGGCTCATATCTGCATCACGTTGGATTGTGTCCTAATACCAACAAAACATTGATAACACACCTATCATTCGAACAGTTTCCAAGTGAGGTACTTGTAAATATGTTGTTTCATCTAATCCTCACAACAGGCTCTTCAGGTATGTATTATTCCCAACCTTTGTGGATGAAACAAAAAAGGACTAGAAATTTGTATTTGTATCTAATCTAAACTCCCTCAATTTGTATTCATTCTGCTAAGAATTCCTCCTACCAGACAAACCCACTCTGGGAACTCCAAGTCATTCTTTAAGACTCAATTCGGCTACCACCCCTCTATGGAGCCTCCCTCCCTTCATCTTCCCCTCCCAAGTACAGCCCCTCAGGTTAAAGACACCTGCACATCCCTCCATCACAACACCTGACACATTGTGCTGTCTGCTTACTCCTGTATACCACCCCTCCCAGACTATGTCTTTCCCAAGGGCAAAAATATTTTGTATCTCAAGTACAATGTCTGAGGCAAAGCAAGCACATAATAAATGTTTGATGTGAATAAATTTATTGGTCACCAGCTACATGCTGGCTTTAAATCAAGTGCTAGAATACAAAAGTGACTCACAGTTCAGAGCAAATAAACAAGAATTCATTGAATGCTACATAGTCCTAGGCATTGCAGATACAGGTAAAACACAGGTCTGACTTAAAGAAGCTTACTCTCTAGTTGGAGGCCGTTGACATGTAAACGGAAAATTTCACTAGAATTTAATATATATATTCTAGAATTATCTATGGGAAAGGAGCACTTAATAGGTGGAGAAGAGTGGTAGGGATGGGGTGTCAAGAAAGGTTTCTGAAGATGCCATCTGGACTGAATCATATCACAAGAGAAAGAGTAGCATATTTAAATCCCGAGTGAGTAGAGAGAGTGAACAAAATCAGAGAACAACCTGAGCGTAGAAACCTAGGGAATAGGCCAGGCGCAGTGGCTCACGCCTGTAATCCCAGCACCTTGGGAGGCCGAGGAGGGTGGATCACCTGAGATCAGAAGTTCGAGACCAGCCTGGCCAAGATGGTGAAACCTCATCTCTACTAAAAATATAAAAATTAGCCAGGTGTGGTGGTGCATGCCTGTCATCCCAGCTACTCAGGAGGCTAAGGCAGGCGAATTGCTTGAACCTGGGAGGCAGAGGTTGCAGTGAGCTGATTGCGCCACTGCACTCCAGCCTAGGCGACAGAGTAAGACTCCGTCTCAAAAAAAAAAAAAAAAAAAAAAGAAGAAGAAAAAAGAAAGAAAGAAAGAAGAAAGAAACCTAGGGGATAGTCAATGTGCAGCCCATGAAGGAACTTCCAAAAAGTGTGAGTAGAATCAGGAGAGTAAGCAAGGCCAAGGGAGGAAGAACTTTACAAGAGTACAAAATCAGCACTGCCAAATGCAGCAGAAAGGCCAAATAAGATTAGACCAGAGTGTATTCCATGAATTTAGCAACTGGCAAGTCCCTAGTAACTTTGGCAAGAGCAATTCTACTGGAGTAGTGGAGGGGGCAGAAGCAGTGAAATGGCGAGTAAACCGGAGGTGAGAATGAGAAATAGTGAATGCAGAAAGCTTTTACAAAGGTTGGCTGAGAGAAGAGCAATAGGGCAATGGCTAAAGGGTGATGAAGTTTTAAGAACTTTTTTTTTTAGTCTTAACTAATTCTTTCCTTCCCACCCCACACTACTCCCAAATGGACAAATTTCCATCTGGGCACCTAAAATTCCCACTCTGCTGTAAGCTCCTTAAGGACAACTCTTGGGTCTGCATCATCCTTTTAGTCCACACATTTCTCTGAACATGGTATTCAACAGGATCTGTTGAATGACTGACTGAATAAATGAATGAATGAATGAAATGCAAATTCAGCACAGGTGGTAACAGGGAAATGATCTACTGGGATACAGCTATTGTCTGTTCTTCTTTCATGGGAATTTGCGCTTGTCTGAAAATTCAGGACCACAAAGTAAACAAATCCAGGCAATCTTCTCTCACTGATGCTTATAAATGTTTGGCCCAGGAAGGCAGATGTAGATAGAGCCCAGTTTAGATTTTGGAGCCTGGAAAACAGATCTTCAAGATCAAGGGCTGTTCATTCTTCATTCTCAGGAGCTGTTCAAGTTCTTGGGATTGGCAGATCTATATTGGACTCTTAGTGCTGCCATTATAGTTTTTGTAAATTATTTAACCTACCTAAGCTTCAGCGTCCTCGTTGGCAACTTGAAGATACCCATAATAGCATCTACCTTATAGGGCTGCAGGAGGATAAATGAGACCCAGAAATGAAGCGCTTACCATAGTGCTTGGCAAATAGTACTCAATGTCAACAAAATAAGATAAATAAAGTACTATTAAAATGAATAAAAATATCCATTTCAGGGGATGCGTTCCAGAAGAATTGGGCATAAGTCAAATCTCACTTAAAATATAGAAAGAAAACTTGGTCCTCAGAACTCCTTAGAAATGTTTTACAAAAGTAAGTGAATAATTAGCCCCAACTTATCAATCCACTTTTTTTTTCTTTTTTTTTTTTTTTGAGACGGAGTCTCGCTCTGTCGCCGAGGCTAGAGTGCAGTGGCGGGATCTCAGCTCACTGCAAGCTCCGCCTCCCGGGTTCACGCCATTCTCCTGCCTCAGCCTCCCGAGTAGCTGAGACTACAGGCGCCCGCCACCACGCCTGGCTAATTTTTTTTTTTTTTTTTTTTTTTGTATTTTTTAGTAGAGACGTGGTTTCACCGTGTTAGCCAGAATGGTCTCGATCTCCTGACCTCAGGTGATCCACCACCCTCAGCCTCCCAAAGTGCTGGGATTACAGGCGTGAGCCACCATGCCCGGCCCCACATTTCCATATATCAGATTTACTGAAAAACTTTTTTTTTTTAATTTCCCCTATCCGAGTGGACCCGCCCAATCAAGTCAGTTAACTTTCCTTGGCCGGGGGCGGAACCAAGGTGTTGCGGTAATTTCCTGGCCTGCCACGACTGCTTGCTTGCGTAAGGGCGTCTTTGGGTATGTTGCCATTCTAATGAAAATTCAGCTCCAGCCCCGTCGGTGGAACAGATCCCGGGCACCACTGGGCAGAGACTAGATGTTTCAAACGCCTGCCCCCCAGCAAGCAGGCCGCGCAAAGGGCAGGAGTTCGGAACCAAGGCAAACTAGGGGGCGGGGAGAAAAGATTGGCACCCGCCTGCTGAGATCTGCCAACCTGACGCCCCAGGGGGATGGGTGCTCTCGCCACCCTTGCCCCACAGTGTCGGGCTCCGAGCCAGCGGGAAGCGCCAGTCCTAGCCGAGAATAGCAGAGGAGCGGGCGGGATGCGAGGGGGCTCTGGGCGAGGCGGCGGCAGTCTAACCTTTCCTGCTTAAGGCGACAGCACTCTGCGCCGTAATCGTATCTTCCAAGGCTGCAAGGTTAGGGCAAATGTCAGACGCCTCGGGAGGGGCGGGGGACGGGGAGAGGGAAGGCAGCGGCTAGAGACGGAGAGTCGGGCGTGACCTTGGGAGGCTCCGCGCCCGCACCTCCCGGCGCCCCGGGAGTCAGGCGAGCAGGTCTGCCGGGTCCCGTGGCCACTTTCCCCAGCCCGGCGACCTCCGTCGGGCCTCCAGGCCAGAAGAGCGAGCGCGAAGGAGAGGGAGGAGCGGGAGGTGGAAACCGAGGCGGCAGCGCGCGGAAGCGGCCGGCCCCGAGCGAGGGAGGGCGCCGCGGGCCGCACGTCGCACACGCGCCAGGGTGCACAGCGGCGCGGGGCCGCGCATCCCTTACCCCGTTGGCGGCAGCGATGCGAGCGATGAGCTGGATGGCCTCCTTCATGTAGAACCGGCCGTCCCCGCCCACCACCAGCGTGGCCTCCTGCCGCTGCGCCGGCTCCACGGTGGAGATGATACTCTGGATGAAGTTCTCCGCGTAGTTGGCGCTGCTCTGGAACACCTTCACCCGCTTCCGCAGCCCGCTCGTGCCCGGCTTCTGGTCCTGGTACGCCTGGGTCTTAACTGTCACGATCTTCACCATGGTGGCGACTTGCTGCCGGGGGTCAGAGCGGCGGACTTGGCTGGCGGAGGGGCGGCCGGCTGAGGCTGCAGCTGCTCTGGGGTGAGGGCACGGCGGGTGGGGGCTACGCCGCACTCTAGGCCGGCGTTTGGCCCTCCTCCTTAAAGGGACAGGGGACAGGGCCCTCCCTCCGCGCCAGCCCACCTCCTGGCAGGTCCGGCGGGAGGGGAAAGGGGAGCGCCGGTCTCTAGGCCTCCTGTGAAATGGGTGGAGCCTTACTGATTTACTCTCCCCTTCGGAATCCTATCCACTGTAAAAAGAGGCCCGCAACTCCTCCTCTAAGTGTTGGGGCAGAGGTTGGGGTAGGAACCCGGTCATAGGGCAAGGACGTGAGGCAGGGTGGAAAAAAGTACAGGGTAGAATGATTTCCAGTGGTTTGGCGAATGCATCGTGTGTAAATAGCTTTCTGGAAACCTGTTGGGAGGGTCAGAAGTGCCAGCCCCAGCTCGATTTCATGAGTCGTAATTCTTTCTATTTCTCCCTAAATGTGAGGGCATTTGAGTTCCGTAAAGGAGTCGACTCCAAATGTTTCCTGCTGCACCACACACTTGACTACCATTGGTGACGGTGACTTAGCTATGACTTGCTGAGTGTAGCGTTTCTAAACCTTACTAAACTCTGGGTTTTATTTTTCCCCTTTTTATGCTTACAAAACTGAAATTCAAAGAATAAAATGCCTTGTCTCATTGCCACACAGCTAAGTCCATGCGGGAGGCCAATTCAGGTGGTCTGGCTCCAAAACCAGGGCTCTTCCCATGATTTGCCCGCTGTGACACCAGGTTGGCAACTAGGAAATGTACAAGCAGGACTTGACAAATGTAGGAGCAAATATATGGTAAGGATAAGTATGAACACCATCAAAATTAGCCAGTTACTCATGTAATAGAAATAAAGTGAGGAGATCAACAAACAAGGACTGACATGGCTGGAAAAGTTTCACGGGGGATAGCAAGGTCAACCAAGGGGATTTGATTATTAAGTAGGAATCTTCAGTCTTTCTTGCTTTTCGGTTTAGTATCTCCCTTAATTTGATGAGAGTGATTGTCTCCTCTGTTCAAGAAACCTGTCATTTTGGTAAAGTGGCAAAAAACTTGGCTTTACAAGGTGTGTGCTCTTGGGAAAGTTAGTTAATGTCCGTGGGCATCAATTTCCTTACTGTAAAATAAACATATCACCTACTTTGGAATATTTTTGCAAGATTTAATGGGGTTTTGTATGTCAGAAATTCTCAGTCATGGATACACAGTAGAATCCTACTGTGACCCATGCTCACAGTAGAATTACTTGAGGTGGTTTCTAAATGACCCAGTCCAAACAAATTCAATCATAATCAGCTGTTAGAAGTAAATCATCTAGCCTGGTGCCTGAAACATAGAGGCCTTCAAAAATATTAGCTCCCCTTCCCCAATTCCAAAACCAGAGCATATCATTCACCTGTGAATTATATTCTTTTGGTAGTTAATTGGTATGTCTTGATCAAGCAGGGAGGCGAACAGACCCATAAGAGTGCAGACTCTCACAAACCAAGTGTTGATATACATGCTCATATAGTACATGCTATGTAGATACAGTGTGTTGATGTAGTCACTATAGATGAGTTTCGGTGGCAAATATTATGTGAAAACGGAACCCTGGACTGCTAGTAATGAGTTCTAATATTTGCACAGGAGTTTACAGAGCAGTGTAATCTTGTGAATTAAATAATATAATCAAGCCCATTTTATAGACGAGAGAATTGAGGATTGGATGGTGAATGTAATCAAGGTTATCTAACTCCACAAAATGAAAATATAGCATAGATTCACTGAGCCTTCAAAATACCTACCTTAGAGTTGTATGGTTTAGATAGAGAATATACAGCTCCTACCACAGTGCTAATAAGTAAGTCATCAATAAATGATAACTTGTAAAGTCACGGGCCCAAATTCAGATCTCATGCCCTTTCTATATTCTTCAGTATCTTTGGAAATATGATGGAGCTTTTCATTTAAGAGGAATTGATCTATACTTCTCTCACCCCAGAAGTTGTAACAATTAGCTTTAACTGCATAACACACCAGTCTAAATCTGAGTGGCTTAAGACAACCCCCATTCATGATTATAGTTCATGATTCTATGAGTTAACTGGCAGTTCTGCTGTTCTGGACAGGGTTACTGTGGCCCCTTATACAGACCTAACATGATCCCCATGTTCCTTGCCTCCTGATAATCATGCCTTTATGCAATCCCCTTGTATTACAGATTGAGTATCCCTTATCCGAAATGTTTGGTACCAGAAATGTTTCAGATTTTAGATTGTTCCGGATTTTGGAATGTTTGCATTACAATGGTTGTGCATCCCAAATCCAAAAATCCCAAATTCAGAATGTTCCAATGAGCACTTCCTTTGAGTGTCATGTTGGCACTCAAAAAGTTTTGGATTTTGGAGCATTTTGGGTTTGGGATTTTTGGATTTGGGATACTCAACCCGTACTTTTCTACTGCTGTATGACAAATTACCACAAACTCAACAGCTGAAAACAACACCCATTTATGATGTCACAATTCTATAGATAAGAAGTCCCAATTCTATAGATCAAAAGGTTTGGCCAGGTTCAATCCTGGTAATCACGGATATATAACAGCTTATAAACATCAAGGAGAAAGTATTTTGACCTTCATTAAATTCTTTTTAAGGCAAGCATACCTGTTTAAACTGATTTGTCTATAGCCAGTTGGTTTAATTTCATTGAATTCTTCCCAGAGCCTCAAGATAAGAACCCACCCAAGCTTGGTGCGTTCTTATCTGGAGCCTCTGGGAAGAACACCTTGATTTGAAGTCAAGAGCCAAGCTGGCTTCTTATCTGGAGGCTCTGGGAAGAATTTCTTTCAAGTGTTAAAGATAAATAAAAATAGAGGCTCCAGTTTAGATATTTTAAGTCCAACCACCCATAGCCAGGTAGCCAAAACTTAAGTCATCCTTATTTCCCTGAAACACTTGCTCTAGACATAAACAAAACACAAAATGTCCTTGACAGTGTGAGTCAATGAAATTAAACCAATCAGCTATAGACAAATCAGCTTAACAGCTCTACTCGCCTTAAAAAGAATGTAACGAAGGTCAAAATACTTCTTCCTCAATGTTTATAAGCTGTACTGTAACTGCTGTGAGCTGGGCTTCTTGCCACTTTTGGTTAGATGTCTTCCAGTTTGTAAACTGTTCTTTGTATGCATGCTAAACTTTTAAAAATTTTTAAAGTTTGATCTGATTTTAACACAGCGCATTCAGATTGCTGGCAGGATCTATTTCCTTGCAGTTGTAGGATTGAGGTCCCCATTTCTTAGATTAGACCTACCTGGATAATCTCCCTTTGTAACGTGTTCATAGGAGTAATGTATCATCGTATTCACAGGTTCTACCCACGTTCAAAAATTGACTTGCAGAGATTTCCAAGTTGTAGTATTTATGAAAAGCAAGAGAAGGAGTCTTATTCCCCTGTGGGTAGCACTGAAATCGGGAAAGAAGCCATTGGAAATATACCAAGATATGCAACAATGATTACCACTGAGTTGCAAGATAGGGCAATGTTTATTTTCTTTATATTTTATCTGGATTTTCCAGGTTTTCTATAGGGAATTTGTATTATTTTTAAAATGATAAGTACATATTATGTATTTTCCTTTTCTTTGAAATACCTTTTAAGTGGTAATCCTTACTTTTTTTTTTTTTTTTTTTTTTTTGGAGACAGTCTCACTCCATCACCCAGGCTGGAGTGCAGTGGCACGATCTTGGCTCACTTCCACCTCCACCTCTGGGGTTCAAGCAATGCTCGTGTCTCAGCCTCCCAAGTAGTTGGAATTACAGGCACATGCCACTATGCCCAGCTAATTTTTGTATTTTTAGTAGAGATGGCGTTTCGCCATGTTGGCCATGCTGGTCTGGAACTCCTGACCTCAAGTGATCTGCCTTCCTCGGCCTCCCAAAGTGCTGCAATTACAGACATGAGCCGCCACACCCGGCCCTCATTATTTCATTAATGAATTATTCTTTACCATTTAGATGTATTCGTTCGTGTATTGATTCATTAACTCTATAAATATGTTTTGAACTTGTACTAAATGACAGCTCTTTGAAAGGTGTTTGATGAATAAGACAAAATAGTCTCGGCCGGGCGCGGTGGCTCACGCCTATAATCCTAGCACTTTGGGAGGCCAAGGTGGGCGGATCATGAGGTCAGGAGATCGAGATCATCCTGGCTAACAGGGTAAAAACCCATCTCTACTAAAAATACAAAAAATTAGCCAGGTGTCGTGGCAGGTGCCTGTAGTCCCAGCTACTCAGGAGGCTGAGGCAGGAGGATGGCGTGAACCCGGGAGGCGGATCTTGCAGTGAGCCAGGATCGCACCACTGCACTCCAGCCTGGGCAACAGAGCGAGACTCCGTCTCAAAAAAAAAAAAAAAGCAAAATAGTCTCTGGTCTCACAGATCTTGCAATATGTTGCAGGAGACAGATACTGAATAATAAATCATAATTGTGATAAGTGCAACAAAGAAGTATAGGTGCTGTTAGATTGTAAATAGAAGGATCTATCATTGGAGAGAGTCATGGACAATATCCTGGAGAAAGTGCTATGTAAGCTGAGGGATAAAACAATGAGTAATAGTACCTGGCCAGGTGAAAAGAGAGGAGGAGCATTTCATTCCAGAAAGAACGTTAAGGGAAGTTTAAAGTAAGAAGGAATCTAGTGTCATCAATAACTTGAAAAAAGACAGTTAGTGTAACTGGAGTATAAAAACCTCGGGGTGGAATGGTAGGTCTGATCATATTGGGCCTTGTAGGGGATGTCAGGTGTTGAGATCTTTATCATAACAGCAGTGAACAAACAAAAGCATTTTGTTTTCATTGTGGCAAGACATACGTAATGAAATTTACCATTTTAATGATTTTTAAGTGTACATTCAGTGGCACTAAGTACATTCACATTGTTGTGCAACCATTGTACCATCCATCTCCAGAACATTTTCATCTTCGCAAACTGAAACTCTGTACCCATGAAACAGTAACTCCCCATTCCCTCCTCCCTCCTACCCCTGAAAACCACTATTCTGTCTCTATGAATTTTACTATTCTCAAGTACAATCATATTTATCCTTCATTTGCATTCCAATTGCAATGATTTAAAGAAATGTATTTACTATAGGATAGCAATCTTTGATGACTGCAACAAATAATCAATGGTATGTATGTGAAATTTATAATAAAAAAGATGTATGGAGTTTATAATGAAAATACTGGATGGTGAAGTGGGTGATATAGTGGCATTAACATTTAACAGTTATTAGTTACATGGCTTATATAGAAACCAATTATCAAAGTGAGAAATATTGAAAAGTAATTCATTAACAACATATAGACAAAGCCTTAGCAGGCACCTATTTGGCATACAATAAAAGCATGTATCATGTTATTGTTAAAAACAAAACAGCTCTATATCTATGTATCCTCATCTTCCTGTCTGGTGGTGTCAAGTAATGGTGGAATAATCTATATTGAGGAATATTGAGGATGTCTACAGTTTAGGACTAGAATGTCCTAAACTAGTCTCTAACTAGAGACTAGTCTCTCAGTTAACAGAGCTCTAATAGAGTAAGTCAGTTGTAAATAATCTTCTATAAGAATGTACAGTTATTTGTAACTGGAAAATAATTGACAATTCCATATCAACCCAAATTAATGCTGAACAATATTGCAAATGTCATTTTAGTTCATTTATGCAGTCTAAATCATAGGTTCTTCTTGACTGCAGATTCAGTTTATTAAATCCTGATCTATTTGTAATTTGCTGAAATGACTAGTTCCTACATATGGAAGCAATATGAAACCGATGTCCGTTTGTATCCATAAGTTATTCAGGTGTTTAAAACTTTTACTTGAATAAAAGTTAATAGATATCTGCATGCTGTGATTCTGAAGTTTGTTCCTGTGCCAAAATAATAATAGTTTCTGAATTCATGTTTCAGTGTCAAGTGGTTATTCATGAGGCTATGTGTGAAAAGGATTGATATATGTGATAAATTGGACTTTTTCCTTAGAATTCATTTTTGGAATCTTCTATAAAGGATATCAGTCTGAATTAATTTATATGAATATTTGATATGCAAATATTAATATTTCAAATGGCAAAAGATAAGATTTTTAAAAATACAGATTGTGAAGGACATTTTTCAAGAGATAATGAATGTCTTCATTTTTCCATTTCATCAGTATTCTTGATTCCTTGTTAGATGCTGTGGTAGGTTAAATAATGGCTCCTAAAAGTTATACATTTCCTAATCCCCAGAATCTGTGAGTGTTACCTTATATGGCATAAATGAGTTTGCAGATATAATTAAGAATCTTGAGATGGAAAGATTATCCTGGATTGTCCAAGAGGGCTCTAAATGCAATTACAAGTGTCCTTAGAAGACAGAGAAAGGGGGACATTTGACTGCAAAAGAGGAGAAGGCCAAGGAGGCAGATTGGAGTGATGTAGTCACGAGCCAAGGAATGCTGGCAGACACCAAAAGCTGGATGAGACAAAAAATGCAGTCTCCTTTAAAACTTTCCAAGGAAGCACCACCCTGTCGTCACCTTGATTTTGGCCCAGTTATACTGATTTTGAAATTCTGGCCTCCAGAACTGTGAGAAAATAAATTTCTGTTGTTTTAAGCTACCAAGTTTGTGGTAATTTGTTACAGCACTTATAGAAAACTAATACAGATTGATATGGTTTGGCTGTGTCCCCACCCTAATCTCATCTTGTAGTTCCCATAATCCCCACATGTCATGGGAGGGACCTGGTGGGAGGTAATTGAATCATAGGGGCAGTTAACCCCATGCTGCTGTTCTTGTGATAGTGAGTGAGTTCTCACAAGACCTGATGGTTTTATAAGGGGCTTCCCCCTTCTGCTGGGCACTCATTCTCTCTCTTGCCGCCCTGTGAAAAGGTGCCTTCTGCCATGATTTTAAGTTTCCTGAGGCCTCCCCAGCCATGCAGAACTGTGAGTCAATTAAACCTATTTTCTTTATGATTTACCCAGTTTCAGGTATTTCTTCATAGCAGCATGAGAACAGACTAATACACAGATGCTTTAATTTTATGGAGGGCTATGAGCCACAAAACTTATGGCTTGATCCTCTGGAGGCCTAAAGCATGATTTCAGGTGACAGCAAGAGACAGAATAAGGAAAAAAAAAAAAAAAGGCTATCCTAAGGCTCTACAATCAATAAACACCAGAGAAATATATATCAAGTGTAGCACGAGTGAAGGAAGGAATCAAGAAAATCACGGAGGTAAATATCTCCAAATTATTATCTTGCTTAAATTATCTGAAAAACTAAGGTCAAAAATGTTTTTTTCCTTGAATTGTCTAGGAAACATAGTTCTTTGTTTATTCACTATGTAGAATTGCTGCAGTGTACTGGGAGTGTTCTGTATGCCACCTTGAGATTCTGAACGCAGTCTATCAGAACTAGTTTAGAATTGGCTGGTATTAGCAATTTTTCCTCATGACAGAACTGTTTTTCTTTTTTCCCTTGATATCACTTCCCTGGATATGATTCTTAGGTTCTGTTATTTTTCTTAATTTTGAAACCTTCTTTGAAATACTTTTATTCATACCTTCACTTACTCTCCCTTTCACCCATCTGTTCCTTTTCAAACCACCTATCAAATTTTTACTAAGCACACAGTACAGGATAGTCAGTTAGGTCCCAGATTAGCCAACCAAAATAAGATCCCTGCACTCCAGAACATTAAAATAGGGAAATCTAGACATGTACACAAATTAATAAAATATACGAAGTATAAGCTACAAAAAGGTACTGATTTTTAAAGCTAATATTAAAAAGCAAGATCTTAATAATCTAAGCTTCTACCTTAAGAAACTAGGAAAAGAACAAGTAATCCCAGGGTAAGCAGAAAGAAGGAATGAATAAAGGTAAGAGCAGAAATCAACAAAATTAAAAACAAAAAAAGAGAAAATCAATAAAACTAAATAAAATCAATAAAACTTTTCTTTGAAAAGATCAATAAAAATGACAAACCTCCAGCAAGACCAACAGAGAAGACACATTTTATTAATATCAGAAATGAAAAAGGGATATCACTACAGACTGCATTGACAATTTTAAAAAATTCTATGCACATAAATTTGACAACTTAGATAAAATGGACCAAATGCTCAAAAACTACAAACTACCAAAACTCAACCAAGAATAGGTAAACTGAATATCCTGTAGCTGTTAAAGAAATTGAATTTGTATTAAAAAAAAAAAAACCTCTTCCAAAATAAATCTTCATGCCTAGATGTTTCTAATGAGAAATTCAAGTGAACATTTAAAGAAATAACACCAATTTTACAGTCTTTTCCAGAAAACGAGAAAGCATTCCCAACTCATCTTATGAGGCCAGAATTACTCTGATACCCAAACAAGACAAAGACATTTCCAATTAAGAAAACTACAGACCAACATCCATTTTATGCAGTCACAAAAATGCTCAACAATGTACAGTTGACCCTGAAATAATATGGGGGTTATGAATGCCAACCACCCCCACAAGTGGAAAATCTATCCATAACTTTTGACTCCCCCCAAACTTAACTACTAATAGCCTATGTTGACCAGAAGCCTTATGGAACATAAACAATAAAGTTAGCTAGAGAAAGGAAAATGTTATTTGTTACCATAAGAGAACATATATTTACTGTTCATTAAGTGAAAGTGGATCATCATAAGTCTTCATCCTCATTATCTCCATGTTGAATAGAAGGTGGAAGAAGAGAAGTTGGTCTTGCTGTCTCAAGAGTAGCAGAAGCAGAAGAGGCAGGCACACTTGGTGTAACTTGGAAATACACTGTAATTTTTTTCTTTTTTCAAGACAAGATCTTGCTCCATTGCCCAGGCTGGATTGTGGTGGTGCAATCATAGCTCACTGCAGCCTCGAACTCCTGGGCTCAAGTGATCCTCTGGCCTCAGCCTCATGAGTAGCCGGGACTACAGGTGTGTGCCACCATGCCCAGCTAATTTTATTTTTTGTAGAGACAATGTCTTACCATGTTGCCCAGGCTGATCTTGAACTCCTGTCCTCAAGCAATCCTTCCACCTCAGCCTCCCAAAGTGCTGAGATATAGGCATGAGCCACCACACCCGGCTACACTGTAATTTTTGTCTGACTTTTTTGCTTTCTCATTTCTCTAAAAATGTTTCTATACAGTACAATCCATCTTCCACTGTTTGCTTTAGTTTCCATGTTGCAAAAGAAGTCAAAAGTGATCTTGAATAATCAGAACCCTTATGCCAGACTGTCTCATGTCATTTTGTTTCCTGGCACTGCTTCTTCTATGTCTTCTTCCACATCATTTGGCACTGGTTCAGAATCACTCAACTCTCTCCTGTTGTCTTAACTCCTCTGGTGTGGTGTCTTGAATTTCTCCAAGATCCATATCTTAAAACCTTTCACCTCCCACTTTTTTTTTTTTTTTTTTTTTGGCCATATCCACGTCTTTCATTTCTTTGATTAGGTCTGTCATAAATTCTGTGAAATGATGCACAACATCTGGACACAGTTTTCTCCATCAGGAATTTATTGTTTCAGGTTTGATGACTTTCATGGCTTTTTCTGTAGCATAATCAATGGTATTATCTTTATAGACTTTTATGATGTCCTTTTGTTATTGTTGTTTTAATCTTTCAGTCTTTTATTTTTATATAGTTTTCTTTTCTAAAAGGCCATCTCGGCTTCATATCATGGTTTCTCTCTATTGGGGGTTCTCATCCATAGCGTTGACATTCCTTTCCACAGAGTACCTCCCACGTGAAATGAGACTTAAAGGCCCTCATGACCTCCAATCTATAGGTTGAATTAGGAACCTTGTTTTGGGGAGCAAGTAGACCTCATTGACACCTTCAGTGTTGAATCATGGGGTTCCGTGTGGCCAGGGACATTGTGCCAGATCAAAAAAACTGTAAAAGGTGGTCGCTTACTGGCAAAGTACTTCCTGACTTCAGCGACAAAGCATTGATGGAACCAATCTAGAAAAAGGGTTCTCATTGTCCAGACCTTCTTGTTGTACAACCAAAAGACTGGCAGCTGGTGTTTATCTTTTCCCTTCAAGGCTGCGGAGGGTAGGGCATTGAAGGGGGAGAGTTTAGCACCTTTATAGATAAGGGCAATCTTGATCATAAATGTGACTGCATTCATAAAATGGTAGAGTTTGTTATCCCTTCCTGCCTTAAATCCTGGTGCTTGCTTCCCTTACTTACTAATAAATGTCTTCTGTGGCATGTTTTTCCAGAATAGGGCACATTAGTCTGCATTAAAAACCTGTTCAGGCAGATATCATTCCTCCTCAATGATTTTCTTAATAGTATCTGAGAACTCATCTGATCCTTCTTTGCTGGCAGAAGCTGCTTCTCCTGTTATCTTGACACTTTTTAAGTCAAACCTCTTTCAAAAATTATCAAACCATCCTTTGCTGGCACTAAACTTTTGAGCTTAATATCCTTAAACTTCCTTTTGCATGGCTGGGTGCGGTGGCTCACGCCTGTAATCCCAGCACTTTGGGAGGCCGAGGTGGGTGGATTACCTGAGGTCAGAAGTTCGAGACCAGCCTGGCCAACATGGTGAAACCCCATCTTTACCAAGAATACAAAAATTAGCTGGGCATGGTGGCATACACCCGTAGTCCCAGCTACTCGAGAGGCTGAGGCAGAATTGCTTAAACCCAGAAGGCAGAGGTTGCAGTGAGCTGAGATGGCACCACTGCATTCCAGCCTGGGAGGCAGAGCGAGACTGCATCTCAAAAAAACCCAAAAAACTTCCTTTTGCTTTGTCATATAATGACTTCACTTTTTTAAAAATCCTGTTAATTTACAGGTATGACTTCCTTATAGCAATCCTGTACCCACATAAAAGCTGCATTTCCAATATGAGATGAAAAGGTATTTTGCAAAAAGGGCAAGGTTCTCATGCCTGCTGGCATAGCTGCAGCAACGGTGTTATGAATTTCCTTTTCTGTTTTTACAATGGTCCTTATGTTTTCTTAATTTATCTTGAAATGGCAGGCAACCACATCTGCAAACCTCAATCCACAATGCATATCAAGCAATTCAACTTTTTCTTGTAATGTCATGACTTTGCTATGCTTCTTAGGAGCACTTCCGGCATCACTAATGTCACTAGTGGCATTTTGAATGGGTCCCATAGTGTTAGACAAGGTTTACAATATTCCATTAAATACAATGAAAAATACATAAGAACTATGAGATCATTTCTTTACTTTGATATGCAATTTACTGGAGAGACAAGCTGCTCTCACAGTTTAGCATCACAGCATGCAGTGTTTTCAGTGGATACTCACAACACTTGAGTTTACTGCAATAGCAGCAGGAGGTAGCTATGAAATTATTACAATACTGCAATATGTACTACAGTTAATTTTATACAGTTATGATTTAATACTGCATATTTACGTTTGTTTACGTTTGTCTCGACTATGAATGGCACCATGTGTAGTCTGTGTTTATGTGCCTAAATTTTGATAAATTTTAACTTTTTATAATAGATTTTATGTATGTGTAGATTTTATGTAGTAAATGATAAAACAGGCCACTATCTACATATATTTTATGCATTCATGACATACCTAACTTTTTCTTGCTTTTTTGGTTATTTCTAGGCTATGCAGTGAGTTTTTTCAAAATGTCACAAATCTCCAAAAAATTTTCCAATTTATTTATTGAAAAAATCCACATATAAGTGGACCCATGAAGTTCAAACCCAATGTTGTTCAAGGGTCAACTGTATTAGCAAACTGACATCCAAAATATATAAAAAGAATAACATATCACAATTAAGTGGAATTTATCCTAGAAATGAAAGGCTGGTTCAAATTTGAAAATCAGTCAGGTTTCAGATCAGAAAATAAGGTACCATATTAACAGTCTAAAGAAGAAAACCCAACCATACAACCACATCAATTGAAGTAGAAAAAAATATTTGACAACATTGAGCATCCACCCTTTTTTTTTTTTTTTTTTTTTTTAAGAGACGGGATTCTTGAATGCTCAGGCTCAAGTGATCCTCCTGCATGAGCCTCCTGAGTAGCTAGGACCACAGCCAGAAGCCACTGCTCCTGGCTCATCATCCATTCTTAATAAAAACTCTCAGCAAACTAAAGAGAAGTAACTTCTATAACCTAATTAAGGGCATCTACAAAAACATCCACAGCTAACATAAAATAGTGGTAAAAGACTGAATGCTTTCCCCACTAAGATTGTGAGCAAGGAAAGGATATCCACTGTCATTGTTCTTATTTGATATCTTAATGGGAAGTCTTAGCCAATGCAATAAGGCAAGAAAAAAGACATAAAAGGCATATGGATAGGAAAGAAAGAAATGAAACTGTCCCCATTTGCAGATTACATGCTTTTCTAAGTAGAAAATCCCAAGGGATATATAAAACACAATAAAAAAAAACCTTCCTAGGACAAATAAATGAGTTTAACAAGGGTCTCAGGATATAAAGCCAACATATAAAAATCAATCATATTGTTACATATTAGCAATGCACAGCTGAAAACAAAAATACAAACAGCTCATAAAAATAAAATATTTAGGTATAAATCTAATAAAGGATATATAGGAGCTGTATGCTGAAAACTACAAAATGCTGATCAAAGAAATAAAACCTACATAAGTGGAGAGCAATACTATGTTCATGAATTGGAAGAGTCAACATAATAAACATGCCAGTTCCCCCCAAATGATCAATACAGTTAACACAATACCAGTTAAAATCCCAGCAGGATTTATTTTTTGTAGATATAAACAAGCCAGTTCTAAAATTTATATGAAAAGGGAAAGAAACTAAAATAGCTAAGATGATTCTGGAAAAGAACAGTACCATTGGGGAAATCATGTTACCTGAATATAAGACTTACAATGAAGCTACTGTAATCAGGACAATGTAGTATTAGTGAAGGGAAAGACACATCGATCAATGGAACAGAATAGAGTTCAGAAATAGACTCATGCAAAGATATGGTTCTATATGACCAGTGAATTTTTCAACAAAGGTACAAGAGCAATTTAATGGAGAAAGGATAATCTTTTCAACCGATGATATTGGAATAACTGACATCCATATGAAAAAAAATGGACCTCAACCTAAACCTCAGAACTCATACAAAAATTAACTCAAAATGCATCACACATATAAATGTATGAAGTAAAACTATACAACTTTTAGAAGAAAGCAGAAGAAAAATCTTTGTGACCTGGGGTTAGACAACGACTTCTAACTTGACACCAAATGCATAATCCATTAAATGAAAAACTGATTAATTGGACTTCATCAAAATGTAAAACTTTCACTCTCTATACGATCCAGTTAAGAGAACAAAAAGACTATCTACAGAAGAGAAGAAAATACTTTCAAATAACATATCCAATAAAAGGCATATCCAGAATTTATAAAGAATCAAATGGTAAGAAAATGAAACTCAAAACTCAACAGTAAGAAAACAAATAACCTAATTTCAAATGGGCAAAAGGCTTGAAGAAGCACACCATCAAAAAGTATACTATGTATGCAGATGACAAGCCTATGAAAAGTTGTTCAACATCATTAGCCATTAGGGAAATACAAACTAAAATCACAATGAGATACCACTGCACATCTATTATAATGGCTAAAATAAAAAACGCAGACAATACCGAGTACTGATAAGGTTGCAGAATAACTGGAATTCTCCTACATTGCTGCTGGAAGTGCAAAATGGTACAGCCAATCTGGAAAACACTTTGGCGGTTTCTTAAAAAGTCAAACATATATTTACCATATGATCCAGCAGTACTACCTGTGGGTATCTACTATAGAGGAATAAAAACTTATGTTCATGTAAAAATCTGTAGATGAACTTTATAGCAGTTCTATTAATAGTTACCAAAAACTGGAAACCACCCAGCAGATGAATGCATAAACTGTAATACAATCATATAATAAAATACTACTCAGCAATAAAGGGAACTATTGATACATACAATTTGGATGATTGTCAAAGGCATTATGCTGAATAAAAGGATTCAGTCTCAAAAGGTTACATACTGCATGATTCCACTTATACAACATTCTCAAAAACAAAACTATAGTGATGAGAATAGAATAGTGGTTTCCAGGGGATAGGAGTATGCACAGGGGTAAGGTCATGGGGATGTGACTATAAGAAATAACGTGAGGGAGTTTTTTAGTGATGGGACTGCTCTGTATCCTGATTGTGGTGGTGGTTATATGAATCTATACATGTGTTACATTAATAGAACTGTGAAAGCTTCCCCCCAACCCACCAAAAAAGGGTCAAATTTACTGTATGATTTTTTTTTTATCTGAAATAAAAACCCCACAGGAAAAAAGTACTCGTTTTAAAATAGAAGTTCAAGAAGTAGAACAGTTTCTTCTGGGCTGAGAAAAAAATTAAAGGTTTCATGAAGGATGAGGTATTTAAAAAATGTATGTTACAGGTACAGACTGTAATACTTGTTCACAATCTGTCTTCTCTGATAGACTATGTATAATGAGGGCAGGAGCAGCGTCTGGCTTGTTCACCTCTATATAAGCAATAATTAAAGCAGTACTTTGCACACATTAGGGACTCAATTTATATATGATTGATCTATTGCTTGTGAGGCCGGGCGCAGTGGCTCACGCCTGTAATCCCAGCACTTTGGGAGGCCGAGGCGGGCAGATCACGAGGTCAGGAAATCGAGACCGTCCTGGCTAACACGGTAAAACCCCATCTCTACTAAAAGTACAAAAAATTAGCCGGGCGTGGTGGTGGGCGCCTGTAGTCCCAGCTACTCGGGAGGCTGAGGCAGGAGAACAGTGTTAACCCGGGAGGCGGAGCTTGCAGTGAGCTGAGATTGCGCCACTGCACTCCAGCCTGGATGACAGAGCGAGACTGTCTCAAAAAAAAAAAAAAATGTATGTTAGAGGTACAGCCTGTAATACTTGTTCACAATCTATCTTCTCTGACAGACTATATATAATGAGGGCAGGAGCAATGTCTGGCTTGTTCACCTCTATATAAGCAATAATTAAAGCAGTACTTTGCACACATTAGGGACTCAATTTATATATGATTGATCTATTGCTTATGATATTAATAGGCAAAGATACAATAACATTCTAGGAAAAGTGAAAAACATTAGAAAATACCTTAAATTTTCATTTCCTCTCCTCTTTCTAAATCCCTCCTATCTCTTCAAGGTCACTTAAAGTTCAGTTACAGAATCAGGTTCCCCTGATTCTTCCAGCCCACATTCATTTTTCCAACTTGTCCAAACTTGCTCTAACACTGTCAAACTTAATCTAACATTTTAGTGTAGTACTACTTAGTATTTTAAAGACTATGCCTCATTTCCTTTAATAGTTATTAAAATGTGTCCTCTTTTTATATTATTTAAATTTTAAAATACATTATATTACATGAGTAAAAACAAATCAAAGCACTACTTAGCTTCAAACTAAACTTCATTCCTTCAGTCCTCCAACAGATTTTCATCTACTTTCATCTACATCCTCTAAATTGGTCAAGCCTTCCCCTCCTCTTCTGTTTCCATATTCACATCATTAGTTTAATGCTTAATGACTGGCATTTATTAAGATTTAATATTATTCCCTAACAGGTTAACATGTAACTCATTTCCTTAGCTTTCTTGTCCTGAGGACAGAGATGACACCTACTACTTATTTATTTTAACTAATTAATATGTAATAGATACATGCTAATTGGATGTCCCTGTGTACTATTCCCTAGCCTAGTCTACTCCTATTTTTACTTCTCTACTAAGAAAAAACTTTTTTTTCAAAAGCCAATTCTGGATACTTTTGTAATGGATATTTAAAAAGGCAGAGAGAAATTTACTTTTTAGTAATTCCGCATACTATATCAGAAATTGCCAGAAAGCTTACAATACTGGCATTCTGGAACGATTTCATTTTCATAACATGCTGACATTAGCCTGAATCAGATAACTGAACTTAAGCTGGCCTTGAATTTAACTTGCTTACTCTTGTATTCAATTGGAAAGGTAAGAATACAATTAAGAATATGTATTAAATGTTGAATATTTATCAACTGTGTCTAAAAGAAGTTGAAAAATATTTAATTTTTGAGAAATGGAACCATACTCCAACTCCTTTATCATATGTAAGTCTTTTTTGTTAAATATTCATATATATTTTTAGAAATGTATTGGGTGAAAAAAAAAAAGTACTCTTTTTTTTTTGAGTCTTACTCTGTCACCCAGGCTGGAGTCAGTGGCAGATCTCAGCTCACTGCAACCTCAGCCTCCTGGGTTCAAACGATTCTCCTGCCTTAGCCTCCCAAGTAGCTGGAACTACAGATGCACACCACCACACCTGGCTGATTTTTGTATTTTTAGTACAGATGGGGTTTCACCATATTGGCCAGGCTGGTTCGAACTCCTGATTTTGTGATCCGCCTGCCTCGGCCTCTCAAAATGCTGGGATTACAGGCATGAGACACAGCACCCGGCCAAGAGCACTTATTATTATTTATTTATTTATTTGAGACAGAGTCTCTCTCTGTCACCCAGGCTGGAGTGCAGTGGGGTGATCTCAGCTCACTGCAAACTCTGCCTCCCGGGTTCAAGTGATTCTCCTGCCTCAGCCTCCCGAGTAGCTGGGATTATTACAGATGCCCGCCACCACGCCCAGCTAATTTTTTTTTTTTTAATTTTATTTTTAGTAGAGACGGGGCTTTCACCAGGTTGGCCAGGCTGGTCTCGAACTCCTGACCTCAGGTGATCCACCCACCTCAGCCTCCCAAAGTGCTGGGATTACAGGCGTGAGCCACTGCACCTGGACAAGAGTACTTATTATTAAAGTACTTTGTTATTTTTTGTTTTTTTGTTGTTGTTGTTTTTGAGACAGTCTCACTCATGTCGCCCGGGCTGGAATGCAATGATGCGATCTCAGCTCACTGAAACCTCTGCCTCCAGGGTTCAAGCGATTCTCCTGCCTCAGTCTCCCAAGTAGCTGGGATTACAGGCGTCCGCCAGCACACCTAGCTAATTTTTATATTTTTAGTAGAGACAGAGTTTCACCATGTTGGCCAGGCTGGTCTCGAACTCCTGACCTCAGGTGATCTGCCAGCCTCGGCCTCCCAAGTGCTGAGATGACAGGCGTGAGCCACCGTGTCAGGCCTACCCCTCAGACTTTCAATAATGATTCCTAGAGTTCCTGGCTCACACATTACCTCACCACATGAATCTCATCTATATCCTCTGAATCAGGTCCACTATTTGCTTTATTTTTCCTCAAATCATTACAGTTCTTTTTTCCCCCAGAAATTAAGCTAGGCTGAGCATCAAAGATAGGCTTTATAAGACTACGTAAAGATAGCAGGGCTAACTTTGAATGCTCTTAAACTTGCAAACTCATGAAGACTCATTAGGAGAAGAAGACTTAGTATCCCCATTATAAATTAGAATATGTTCTCTAATAAGAATGGGTGTTGGCTGGGGGCAGTGTCTCATGCCTGTAATCTCAGCACTTTGAGAGGCCAAGGCACCAAATCGCTTGACCCCAGGAATTTTAGAGCAGCCTGGGCAACATGGCAAAACCCCACCTCTACAAAAAAAAAATATGAAAACGAGCTGGGTGTGGTAGCGTATGCCTGTAGTACCAGCTACTCGGAAGGCTGAGATGGAAGAATCACCTGAGCCCAGAAAAACAAGGCTGCAGTGAGCTGAGAGCACCACTGCAGTCCAGCCTGAGTGACAGAGCAAGACTCTGTCTCAAAAAAAATGGGTGTTATATGCCTGAATATGCATATAGCCATAGTGTCCAATACAGTTTGCCAAAAGCAGTCTTAGAAGTCATAAAGGACCTAACACAGTGCAGAGAAATATAATACTATCCATCTCTCTAATAAATAAAATAATATGCTCACCCTCTGGTGGCCAAAATGGGAAATACACATCCATTTTCTTGGATTATATCCAAAATATTAGTGTAGTATATAATATATTAAGTTTCTGCTTCATATTTAACCTAAACCAAAAAGATTTTAAAAGGCCACTGACTTTTTTAAAAAAAAGTCTACCCCAATATCTAATATAAAATCAATAAAATTACTAAATATAGTAATTTAAGAATATGTCATGACTCATATATATATAACAGTACTTGATACTTAAACTTTAAATTTGTTTTAAAATATTAGAACTATAAAACTTTAAAGTTGGAAGGAGTTACAGTGATCATGTAAGTCTATAATTTAAAACTGCATGTTAGATAATTAGTTTTTTTAATTTGCTAATGAAATAAAAACATCTGGGTAAACAGAACTGAATAGTAATGAGACTTAATTTTTATATTTCTAGTTTTAATTTATAAATATGCTAAAGAATTCAGAAATATTCATACATGTAAATTCATTTTAATTTTCCACTCATTTTATCCAACTATCCTTCCAAGAGAGAATATAGTATATACTTTCTGCCCCGCTCCACTACCTCTCAGCAAGCTGAACTCACTGCCTTAACTCGAGACCTCGCTCTCGCAAAAGGACTACGCGTCAATATTTATACTGACTGTAAATATGCCTTCCATATCTTGCACCACCATGCTGTTATATGGGCAGAAAGAAATTTCCTCACTATGCAAGGGTCCTCCATCATTAATGCCTCTTTAACAAAAACTCTTCTCAAAGCCGCTTTACTTCCAAAGGAAGCTGGAGTCATTCACTGCAAAGGCCATCAAAAGGCATCAGATCCCATCGCTCAAGACAATGCTTATGCTGATAAGGTAGCTAAAAAAGCAGCCATCAAAAGGCATCAGATCCCATTGCTCAGGACAATGCTTATGCTGATAAGATAGCTAAAAAAAGCAGCTAGTGTTCCAATTTCTATCCCTCATGGCAGTTTTCTTCCTTCTCATCTGGCTACTCCCACCTACTCCCTCACTGAAACTTCCACCTATCTCTTCCCACACAAGGCAAGTGGTTCTTGGACCAAAGAAAATACCTCCTTCCAGTCTCACAAGCCCATTCTATTCTGTCATCATTTCATAACCTCTTCCATGTAGGTTACAAGCCATTAAGCCTGCCTCATAGAACCTCTCATTTCCTTTCCATCATGGGACTCTACCCTCAAGGAAATCACTTCTCAGTGTTCCAGCTGCAATTCTACTACCTCTCAGGGATTGTTCAGGCCCCCTCCCTTCCCTACACATCAAGCTCGGGGATTTGCCCCAGCCCAGGACTGGCAAATTGACTTTACTCACATGCCTCCAGTCAGGAAACTAAAATACCTCTTGGTCGGGGTAGACACTTTCATTGGATGGGTAGAGGCCTTTCCCACAGGGTCTAAGAAGGCCACCGCGGTCATTTCTTCGCTTCTGTCAGACATAATTCCTTGGTTTGGCCTTCCCACCTCTATACAATCCGATAACTGACCGGCCTTTATTAGTCAAATCACCCAAGCAGTTTCTCAGGCTCTTGGTATTCAGCAAACTGATGGTCTTTTAAAAAACACCTCACCAAGCTCAGCCACCAACTTAAAAAGGACTGGACAATCCTTTTACCACTTTCCCTTCTCAGAATTCAGGCCTGTCCTGGGAATGCTACAGGGTACAGCCCATTTGAGCTCCTGTATGGATGCTCCTTTTTAGTAGGCCTCAGTCTCATTCCAGACACCAGACCAACTTGGACTGTGCCCCAAAAAACTTGTCATCCCTACTGTCTTCTGTCTAGTCATACTCCTATTCACCGTTCTCTACTCATAAATGCCCTACTCTTGTTTACACTGCCGGTTTACACAGTTTCTCCAAGCCATCACAGCTGATGTCTCCTGGTGCTATCCCCAAACGGCCACTCTTAACTCCCTCTTAAAGTAAACAAATAATCTTTGCTGGCTGGGCTATGCTGAACCTCCTTGGGCACTCTCTAATTGGATGTCCTGGGTCCTCCCAATTCTTAGTCCTTTAATACCTGTTTTTCTCCTTCTCTTATTCCGTTTAGTTTTTCAATTCATACAGAACTGTATCCAGGCCATCAGCAATAATTCTATAAGACAAATGTTTCTTCTAACAACCCCACAATATCACCCCTTACCATAAAATCTTCCTTCAGCTTAATCTCTCCCACTCTAGGTTCCCACGCCACCCCTAATCCCACTCGAAGCAGCCCTGAGAAATATCACCCGGCATTATCTCTCCATACCACCCCCAAAAATTTTCGCCGCCCCAACACTTCAACACTATTTTGTTTTATTTTTCTTATTAATATAAGAAGACAGGAATGTCAGGCCTCTGAGCCCAAGCTAAGCCATCATATCCCCCGTGACCTGCACGTACACATCGAGATGGCCGGTTCCTGCCTTAACTGATGACATTCCACCACAAAAGAAGTGAAAATGGCCTGTTCCTGCCTTAACTGATGACATTACCTTGTGAAATTCCTTCTCCTGGCTCAAAAGCTCCCCCACTGAGCACCTTGTGACTCCCGCCCCTGCCCGCCAGAGAACAAACCCCTTTGACTGTAATTTTCCTTTACCTACCCACGTCCTATAAAATGGCCCCACCCCTATCTCCCTTTGCTGACTCTCTTTTCGGACTCAGCCCACCTGCACCCAGGTGAAATAAACAGCCTTATTGCTGAGAAAAAAAAAAAGAAAAAGATTTCCTACTAAATAAGAACACCACACAATGAAAGCATTATTTATATTTTAATAATAAAGTACATACCATGGACATAAAATGAAAATGCATATAAATTGAATAGATTATTATTTAGGTACATCAGTTAAGTAGCATTTAGTTGTTTAATAAATAACAGACTAAATCTGAAATAATTCTTAGTTTGGTAAGTTCTAAGTATAATTATTTAAGAAATAAGAGAATATATACAATAATATATCCATTCTTGTCGTTCATTCAAAGGCATTACATGTTGACAAACCTGCACATAAAAATAGAAAGCTTTTACTCTCTTTTTATATATTGTTACTTTTGGCTAATTTTTAAACAGGACAACATTTCTAGGCCTTGTATAAGAATATCCCTGTACAGATAAAATTCTACAATATTTGTCCTTAGCAGAGACTAGCAATCTATGATCTGAGGTCTAACAGGATAATCCAGTCTAAATTCTACCCTAACATAGTAGCTGTCAGTTGGTGTGTGTGAATGTGGGTAAAGAAGAGTGGTGGAAAGAGGAGAAAATATCCTTTCCTTGCTAAACCTAGAGCGTTTTCTAAAATCTTAATTGGAGAAACAGAAAAGATAATCTCTTTATCCTGTTCTGGAATGTTTTAGGATTTTATGGACAGTATGGAGAAAGAAAGGGTAAGAATAGGAAGCTTTTTCCTTTCTCCCTTCACTTGCCCAGTAGGTAGCTCTATTGATCTGTCCCTGCCTTTGAACCCCTGGCTAAATCAGAAACCCAGAGTTCTGCTAACACCAGAACTACAGCTTTTTCTAGCTCTTGACTTACTTGCTTATTTAAAACTCAGAGGCATTGTCCCTCTCAGGATACTTTAGAAAATCTTAATAATGCAGATAAAAGCATTTTGGGTTATCAAAATTATTGTTACTATTAATACTTTACATTTCTATATGATGTAAAAAGTACTTTCATGTACATACATCATTTTATTTTTATCCTTACTTTAACTTTGTGAAGTACATAAAACTAGTGATATTATCTTTTTTTTTTTTTTTTTTTTTTTTTGAGACAGAGTCTCACTCTTGTCGCTCAGGCTGGAGTGCAATGGCGTGATCTCAGCTCACTGCAACCTCCACCTCCCAGGTTCAGATTCTCCTGCCTCAGCCTCCCGAGTAGCTGGAATTACAGGCGTCTGCCACCATGTCCGGCTAATTTTTGTATTTTTGTAGAGATGGGGTTTCACCATGTTGGCTAGGCTGGTCTTGAACTCCTGACCTCAGGTGATCCACCCACCTCGGCCTCCCAAAGTGCTGGGATTACAGGCGTGAGCCACCGTGCCCGGCCTAGTGATATTATCTTAATTTTACATTTAGAGAGACTGGAACATAGAAATAAATGAACTTCCCATAGTCACTCAACCAAACAGTGACAGAACTGGATTAGAACCAAAGTCTCCTGTCTCTGAGTATAGAATGATACTGATACAAATATCATACTTAAAATAATTTTCCACTCCATTTTATATTTACATTTTACTCATAGCATTAATAGCAAATTTTTTTCAAAGACATAAAACAAAAGGCTTTAATTAGAAAATAATACATTACCATTGTAGATTTGGGTCCCACTTCTACTGCAAATATGTTGAGTCCTCTGTTGTTTATGCAGTTTTTACTTAGCTCATTGCTGATGTGAATAATCACTTTCTCATCTGACTATTAAAAAAAGATTTCATAAGCTGCTATTCCTTTCTTTAATAATTACAGACAAATATAAGCCTCAGAATAAACCCTGAAATTCTGTTTTAACATCATATAGTGCACTACAAATTCATACAAATTGGCTACTTCTTTCAACTTTGTTACTTTTTCTCATTGATTTTCTTTCCAATCTGTCACCATTTATATAAACTTTTTCTTTTAAATGTGACTTAAACTTACTTACCTTTTAATCTTCATTCCCAGGGTATTATGGACACTAGGGTCACATTATTTCATCCTTGACTTATGATAGCAATAGTGTCTATTTCTTTTGTTGTTATCTCTAGTTTTTTCAACTTCCATTCATTTTAATACTACCTTCCAACTAATATGTCTAAAACATCTTTTTACTCCTTCATTGACAATATATAAACAAATATATTTATTATCAACTTTGTATCAGGCATTGTTTTAGGGTCTAGGTGCACTGAGATAAAAGATAGAATTACTGACTCCTAGCTCACACTCTAGGGGAGACAGACAAATAAAATGACAATTACAAAACACTTTGCTGAGTCTTGTAACAGAGGTATTTAGAAGGATCTATAGAAACACAGAAGATGAACATTAGCTCGGACTGGGGTTTCAAGAAAGACTTTATGGAAGAAGTGACAACTGAGATAAAAGACAATGGCCTCTAGGATGGATAGGGAGCAAGGGAAAGCAGAATGACACTGATAAATGGAGAAAATGCAGGAATAAAAATATTCCCCTACTAAGAATCTGCGATCATACCCTAATGACTATAAAGGGGGTAGTATAATGTTAGACTACCTGAATTTATTTGTCAACTCTTCTACTACTTAGCTGTGTAATCATTTGCAAGTTATTTAACTGCTCTGTGCTTCAGTTTCCTGTTTGTAAAATGAGAATAGCACTTATGTCATAGGGTTGTTGTGAGAAGTAAATGCTCTAATATATGTAAATGCCTGGCAAACAATAAGGTCTAAAATGTTCACATTATTATCACATTTTGGTGAAGAGAGTTGAATTTTCCTTGAGGAAAAAGGAGGCAGAGAATTGAGAACTAATAGGTGGTAGCAGAACAGAGGGGTTGGGGTAACGTAGTAACTCCCTTCACCTTTTTAACCCTAATAAAACATAGAGGGCAGAAAGGGAACCATGATGCATCTTAGGAATCACCCTCTGAGGCATGATTGGTCCATTTGAAAACTGCAATCTACTAGGTGGGGACCCAAGCTTAGTTAATCAAGTCTAAACTCCTCTATCTCGTTTTCAAGATAACATATATAATTTGGATCCATTCTGTATGTTATTTACCTCCTAATCCTCCTCCAAATAAAGCTGTCTATTGCTGCAAAGCAGATATTCTCACTCTTTCCTTTATACTTCATATATACCCTTCGCCTTGTTTCGCCTTACACTGTTTCCCCTGCTTCTAAAGGCTGTCTGTCTGCATATCTAAATCCTAGTCATCCTTCAGTGCTCAAATCCCATATCACAGTTCCCTTGCCCCTCGTAACAAATCCTTCCCCAACCTCTATGGTCCAAATTAACAACAACTACAAGAGAAACAGAATAAAACCCCTATTGCACACACAAACAGTACTACATTATGTAACGTTTAATTATTCTCTGATGTCTTTCAAGAGTATTAATTTTGTCTTTCCAATTATAGCCCATAAACTCCTTGAACGCAGAGATCAAGTTTTACACTTTCTGGTTGCTCCTATTGTGACTAAAATAGTTACATAATATATTCTCAGGTTGACTAAAAACGCTGCCACATCTTAAGTATTTTAAGAAATTTATGGCAGGCATAAAAATATGTCTCACGTAGGACCTAAAAGAAATAAGTCAACAGTACTGAGCACCTAGCCATCTTATATAAAGTTTTATGAAAATTTATAATTTCTAGAGAACTGGATATTTCTGACTAAGAATTTATGCTCGTATTCTCTTGACCTGTAATATCAATAGTATTAATAGCAGGGAAGAGAGCCAAAGGTAGAAATAATCAGCTTGATGAAAGCAGGTCTTGGGACAGTAGAATACATTTAGTTATATTAAATAATAATAATTTATAGGATCTCTGCAACGTTAGTGTAAAACGCTGGGTTGAAATTTTTCCTTTGCTTATAATATTTCTTTAAAACATGATATCTATTATTAAAATAGCTATGTATACATAAAAACTTTTAGAAACAAACTAAATAAAATACTTTGTACCCAGATTGTGCTCTATATTCACTAATATCCAAATGTTTAATTTTCCTAATATTTTAAGAGAAAAAATTGGAAACCTTTAAAAATCATATAAAAATTACCACTCCCAGTTTGAGTTAGAAACCTGAGGAGAAAAAATAATTATGCATTATAAACATTATTAATGTGATGGGATACTTAATTACCACATACGAATAGAGTAAGGAATAAGATGAAATATATTAGTAAGCTTTGTAGCAAAATGAGGAAAACCACCTCATAATTGATACCTTGTTTTCAATAACTGACGTTATCCAGGTGTCACAACTGTAAGTATGCACGATTATATTTTCATAGCCATCCATTACTTTGGCATCACCGTTGCTAAGAACAGATTTACAAATGGCCTTCTCAAGTTGTCCACTACATGCCTCCATATGGACAGCTTTAATTTTTGGCTTGCATTTTTCTGCATAGATATCAATGACAAATGGACATGCCTGATAGGAAAAAAAAATCTTGTTTCAGCCTTTTGATAGAATTTTAAATAAATTATTAATATGTTACCATATAAGAAGATATGCTATACCTTCTAGCTTGTCCTTCTAATAAACTTTTAGAGGAAAATTTTAGTACTATGAATTGAGTAATAAGCAAGCATGAAATCCTGACTTTTTGGTAGCATATTAACTGATAATGTTCATAGAAAATAAAAGAAAATAATAACCTCTAGCAAATCAGTAATATACCACCTTCTTTAAACCATAATACCATCTCTTCATTTGGTTCAATGCTAACAAATACCATGTTATTTAATTTTCTTTTCTAAAGTGAGGGTTACAGAAAGAATTCATCAAAGGTTTCTACAGAAATTATTACATTTACAATTGAAGCTTACTGCATGGATACAGAGCACTGACTAAACGTTTAGTCTAAAAACACCTTTAAAATATGAGACTTAAAAATATTTTCTGCATTCCGAATGAAATTTTTCTAATATCTACCTTAGTCTTTTTACCACAGCCTACAATGTGGTAAAAAGCCAATGTGGTAAAGAGCCTTTGCCTCTCCATCCAACCTGGTCTCCTGTGTCTCTATGCAACAGCTATCCTGATCTTTCAGATCCTAGAGCAAATGAAGCCCTTCATACGTAGTGTTCTCTCCACTGGGAAGATTATCCTTATGTATTTTCACATAGGTACCTTGTCTTCCTGCTTCAGGTTAAAGCTTAAGTGCCACCTCTGCAGAGGGATCTGCTCTGGCCCCCCAATCTCCCTCACTCCCCCACTGTTCTCTGTTCTCTACTTCAGCCTTTGAGTTGTTTCAAAACACCTTTGAAATAATTTTTTTTTTTTGGAGATGGAGTTTTGCTCTTGTCGCCCAGGCTGGAGTGCAGTTGGGTGATCTCAGTTCACTGCAACTTCTGCTTCCCGGGTTCAAGTGATTCTCCTGCCTCAGCCTCCCAAGTAGCTGCGATTACAGGTGACCACCACCACACCCAGCTAAGTTTTGTATTTTTAGTAGAGACAAGGTTTCACCATGTTGACCACACTGGTCTTGAACTCCTGAACTCAGGTGATCTACCTGCCTTGGCCTCCCAAAGTGCTGGGATTACAGGCGTGAGCCACTGCACCTGGCCGATATAATTTTATTTTAATTAATTAATCATTCTCCTTCATGAAATATAAATTTCATAAGGGCAGGAACTTTGACTATTTTATTCATCTTTGTATCCTCAGTGCCTCTTTCCTGCAGTTATCACATAGTAGGTATTCAATAAGTATTTGTTGAATAACTGAATAAATTCACAAATTGGTGGTCATCTTTTAAGAAAATAAAAGAAAGAAGTCTGAAGTTAATTTTAGTAGACTATAAACAGAAATTTGTGTTTTAAAAAATATTTTAATAATATAAAATAAATAAATATAAAATAAAATAATTATAAAATATTTGTATAATAAAAATATTTTAATCACTTCAACCTTTGGCAATAATAAATTTGCCTTTTTAAGAGAAATAGTAGAATGAAAAATCATTGGACTAAAAAGTAGAAGACCTGGGTTTATTTTTCATACACATCACCTTTGTAAAAATTTTTAAAGATTATTTATAATAATTATGAGTATGGCATTTTTAAAGGTTTATTTGTTCAGTACTGGTAAATTCTGGTAATATTCTGCCATTTTTTAAGTCATGATTATCAGTTTTATTCAACCAAAGAGGATCAATATTTGAATATTCACTGAAAGCAAAACATCTTAAAAGGTCCATGTTAAAACATATTCTCTAATTTTTTTTCTTTTTTTTTACACTTTTAAGTTCAGGGGTACATGTGCAGATTTGTTACACAGGTAAACGTGTGTCATAGGAGTTTGTTGTAAGATTATTTCATCACCCAGGTAGTAAGCCCAGTACCCATTCGTTATTTTTCCTGATCCTCTCCCTCCTCGTACTCTTCACCCTCTGATAGGCTCTAGTGTGTGTTGTTCCCCTTTATGTGTCCATGTGTTCTCATCATTTAGCTCCCGCTTATAAATGAGAACATGTGGCATTTGGTTTTCAGTTCCTGCATTAGTTTGCTAAGGATAATGGCTTCCAGCTCCATCCATGTCCCTGCAAAGGACATGACCTCATTCTTTTTTATGGCTGTATAGTATCCCATGGTGTATATTTACCACTTTTTCTTTATCCTGTTTTCCACTGATGGGCATTTAGGTTAATTCCATGTCTTTGCTACTGTGAATAGTGCTGCAATGAACATACATGTGTATGTGTCTTTATAAAACAATTTACATTCCTTTAGGTGTATATCCAGTAATAGGATTGCTGGATTGAATGGTATTTGTCTTTAGGTCTTTGAGGAATCACCATACTGTCTTCCACAATGGTTGAACTCATGTACACTCCCACCAACAGTGTATAAGCATTCCTTTTTCTCCACAATCTCAACAGCATCTTTTATTTTTTGACTTTTTAATAATAGCCATTTGGACAGGTGTGAAATGTGGTTTTGATTTGCATTTCTCTAATGATCAGTGATGTCGAACTTTTTTTCATATGATTGTTGGCTGCAGGTATATCTTCTTTTAAAGCGTCTGTTCATTTGCCCATTTTTAATGGAATTTTTTTCTTGTAAATTTAAGTTACTTATAGATATTGGATATTAGACCTTTGTCAGATGCATAGTTTGCAACAATTTTCTCCCATTCTGTAGGTTGTCTGTTTACTTTGTTGATAGTTTCTTTTGCTGCACAGAAGCTCTTTAATTAGATCCCATTTATCAATTTTTGCTTTTGTTGCAATTGCTTGTGGCATCTTCACCATGAAATCTTTCCCCATGCCTATATCTTGAATGGTATTGCCTAGGTTGTCTCTCAGAGTTTTTACACTTTTGGGTTTTACATTTCAGTCTTTATCTTAAAATTTTTTTGTTGTTGTTGTTTTTTTTTTTGAGACGGAGTCTCGCACTCTCGCCCAGGCTGGAGTGCAGTGATGCCATCTTGGCTCACTGCAAGCTCTGTCTCCCGGGTTCACACCATTCTCCTGCCTCAGCCTCCCGAGTAGCTGGGACTACAGGCACCTGCCACCATGCCCAGCTAATTTTTTGTATTTTTAGTACAGACGGGGTTTCACCAGGATGAAGCCAGGATGTTAGCCAGGATGTCTTGATCTCCTGACCTTGTGATCCACCCGCCTCAGCCTCCCAAAGTGCTGGGATTACAGGCGTGAGCCATCACACCCAGCCCTAGTTAATTTTTGTATATGGTGTAAGGAAGGGGTCCAGTTTCAATCTTCTGCATATGGCTAGCCAGTTATCCCAGCAACCATTTATTGAATAGAGAATCCTTTTCCCATTATTTGTTTTTGTCAGATTTGTCAAAGATCAAACAGGTGTAGGTGTGCAGTCTTATTTCTGAGTGCTCTATTCTGTTCCATTGGTCTATATGTTTGTTCTTGTACCAGTACCATGCTGTTTTGGTTACTGTAGCCCTGTAGTATAGTTTGAAATTAGGTAGCATGATGCCTCCAGCTTTGTTCTTTTTGCGTAGGATTGCCTTGGCTATTCGGGCTCTTTTTTTTGGTTCCATATGAATTTTAAAATTTTTTTTCTAGTTCTGTAAAGAATGCCAATGGTAGTTTAGTGGGAATATCATTGAATCTATAAATTGCTTTGGGCAGTATGACCATTTTAACGATATTGATTCTTCCTATCCATGAGCATCAAATGTTTTTCCATTTGTTTGTGTCATCTCTGATTTCTTTGAGCAGTAGTTTGTAGTTCTCCTTGTAGAGATTGCTGGCCTCCCTTGTTCACTGTACTCCTAGGTGTTTTATTCTTTTTGTGGCAATTATGAATGGGAGTTCTTTCGTGAATTGGCTCTTGACTTGACTATTGTTGGTGTATAGGAATACTAGTGATTTTTGCACATTCTAAAATTTTTAAATTAAAATCTTATCACATCTAAAAGAACTGCCCTATAGTTTTATTTTTTCTTTTCATGGGCTTGATCTTTTATTTACTTATTTTCTTTATCCTACTAACTTAATATAGGAAGCAAACAACAAGCAAGAAAACTATTAACTGTAAATTATTCATTGTAAAATTATTAACAATATATGTGATAAGGAAGACGGGGAAGACTGCAATAATAAAACCTAGATTATGGGATGTTACTTAAATTTAGCACAATATTTAGCTCTCAACTACCTGTTAACATATACAAAAGGGAAATAAAAAGTTATGTAGTGCTTAAACTCTAAAAAAGAAAGTAAATTTTCCCAGTTCTGAATCTAGAAAGAAATTAATATCATGAAATTCTATTTTAAAAAGGAAAACAGAAAAAAAAGGGGGGCAAAACTAAACATGTAAGTTTCACTTCTCAAATTCAGTAAAAGAGCAACTATTCAATTACAGTATATAGGGGCAATGCCCTTATAAAGAAGTTATATTGCTCTTTAACAGAGGATCTTCATAGGCTGATACAGGGAATGTGTAATCAGTAATTCTACAGCCTAAATTAGAGAATTTAATAAGGAAAAATAAAGAAATAAGTAATAAGAATTTAATAAGAAACAATAAAGAAATTTAGTAAGAAAAAAGATTTTAAATCTGTTCAACTGATGAGGAACAGCTCCACTTCAATTAACACACTTATGTTAGGCAACCAGTGTCAGCTCCTCAGTTTTGAAAGTCAGGCAATCAGAGATGGATTCACATCAGTAAATACACTGCTTAGTGCCAACCAATCAACAGTCTCATCCAAGTAACCATGCTTCCCCAGATAGTATTAACTCATTTATGCCTCTAAAAGCCAGGCAATCCTTGAATTCCATACCTCCCCAAAACCCTATATAAATGAGCATTCTGCTCTTAGCCGAGAGACTGTGCCTGATCAGCATAGCTCTCCTTTATAGTAAGCAATCAATTCAGCTTTGTCTTTTTATTTCAGTTACTGAGTGGCAGTCTCATCATCTATTGATACTTTCCAATGTATACTGTATTTTTTTTACCTTTTGAATTTAAATGATACAAATAACCTACTCAATAAATAAATGAAATTTAAATTAAATTAAATGTTAGCTCAGAAATCCTTCTTGCTTATAGTTTCAAAGGTAAATGACATCAGTAACTGTGGTAAAAAGTCTTAAATTGCTCTTAACTAATTTCCCTAATAAGCAACAACATGGGTAGCACAATCAATATTGTTCCTAGATTAGATGCTGATTTTACACATGGTTAAAATGTGGGAGTCACTGACTGTTAGGCTCAAGTAGGATATAAATAGTTACCATAACTATTCACCTCCTATTTCTAAAAATGGGGAAAGAATAGAGAACCTCTCACCAAACAGGTTAATGAAGGTTTTGAATGATGTCAAAACTAGGAATTAAACCAAAGTCTAAATGTATCTAAAATAAAATTTGTCAAAGTTAGTATTGCCCTCCTAAGTTGATTCAAGTATGGAAAAAGGACAAATACTATTTTTAATTTTAAGAGTATAAACAAATGTACTGTTATGTAACTTGTGGCCTGAAACTGAAACTCTTAAATTCTATATTTTAAATCTGACATAAAATATAGAAATTAGCCTGGGTAAAACAGTGAGACCCCCATCTCTACAAAAAAAAAAAAAGTTAAAAAATTAGCTGGGCGTGGGGGCATGCACCTGTAGTCCTAGCTACTCAGGAGGCTGAGGCAGGAGGCTTACTTGAGCCCAGGAGGTTGAAGCTGCAGTGAGCTATGATTGTGCCACTGCACTCCAGCCAGGGTGACAGAGTAAGACCTTGTCTCAAATTAAAAAAAAAAAAAGTTTTATATATATATATATATATATATATATATATATATATATATATATAAATAAATTAAGAAGGCCTAATTTTTAAATTTTTATTACCCCTATGGTTTATTACGAGCCCTGTTCAACTTCTATACCTATCATGTTAATGATAATAATGATGATAATAGCTGATACATACACAATGCTTTGTATGAGCCAGCCACTGTTCCAAGTGTTTTACAAGTATTAACCCCAAAAGTACCCTTTATAAAAAGACCAGAAATCCAAGTTCTAATGCAGACACAGTCTCCTTATTCTAAGAGAGCCTTTAAACTGTTAAGACAAAGTGTTTCCCTATAGAAATGAGACTTTAGTAACTCAAACTGCCTTTTCCAATTTTAATTTTTTTAATACCAAATTTTTTTCCTGCATATTATATGCTTAGACTCTTTTGTCTTTGAATTATTTTAATGTTGGCAGTAACTAAATTTCAGGTGAGAACAAGAACTTGTATAAACTAACAGAAACATGTTGTTGCACCCAGGATTCATTCATATACTAAAGTTCAAAGATTTGGGTGCCCAATTCGAAAGTTATATGTCAGGAAAATGTTCATAAAGTAAAATATTATGTACATTAAACCCATTGGCAAAAGTTTAAGAATACTTTACCTCTGTCAACTCCAGAGCTTTATTGTAGCCCATAGAGTGTAGAGTTACCCAAAGGTCACAAGGATCTCCTTCTCGATCATTAGCTTCCATTAGATTCAAATCCATAAATCCTTGTCTTGTTAGTTCATTCCTCTTTGTATCAAAATTCTCTGTTTAAACAACCAAAAGTTTTTTCTTACATAATTTAAAAATTCATAACTTTAATAAAATGTCTATGATATATTATTATTCATAGATATTTATTTTAAAAGAGGCCTATGAATCTATGAGCAGGATAAAAGTGGAATAAAAATGGCTCAAAACATTATTGAGAGCTATTCTTCTAGTTTCCCATAACTCAGCATAGATATATCGTAGTACACAATTTCATTTTTCAAAAAATCCTAAAGTTATAAATAGTGCAAATATATTCTAAAATTAGAGGAAACTGTAATATTTCTGGGTAAATTCCAATCTGCCTGGTTATTTAGAGCATACGTTGTTATATATTTCAAAGAATTAAAATGCTTCATATGTATTTGCCACTTAAAGCCAGCAGAAACTGGATGAATTTGATATAATACTCCCCAAACTACTGAGTTTCAGAAAGAAAAACGGGAATAGTGTCATATTTAAGGAGATTACTATATGCCTGATTCCTCTAATTTTAGCTAAATTGTCCCCAAGTCTTGAAAGACTGACAGATAATGGGGAGCACTTTGGAATCCATGAATCAACTACATTTTCCCAGGTAAGTCTATGCCTGTTTTAACACTATTTATGAGCAAAACTAAATTTACCTAGAAGTATCTAGACATGCATAATTCCTGAATTTGTCTGTAACATGGATAATAAGTCGTTATTTATTATGGATATTTTGTTAGCTATCCTACAACAGGGAAGATTTTATTTCCTAACTTCCATCTATAATATATCCAAGGGAAATGGGTAGTCTTATTTGAGATGGCATCTCTTTTGTGTGCATTATTGTGAGAAAAGCAGCAGAGACATAACTGTGTAAAACCGGTTGACTGATTAATAGCTTAAAACATTTAGAAGCCGGGCACGGTGGCTCACGCCTGTAATCCCAGCACTTTGGGAGGCCAAGGCAGGTGGATAGCCTGAGCTCAGGAGTTCAAGACCAGCCTGGCCAACATGGTGAAACCCCATCTCTACTAAAAATACAAAAAATAAAATTAGCCCGGCATGCTGGCATGCACCTGTAGTCCCAGCCACTTGGGAGGCTGAGGCAGAGAATCACTTGAACCTGGGAGGCGGAGGTTGCAGTGAGCTGAGATCGTGCCACTGTACTACAGCCTGGGTGACAGAGTGAGACTCAGTCTCAAAAAAAAAAAAAAAAAAAAAAGTTAAGAGTTTAAAGTTATTCATAACTTTTTCAAGGGGAAAAAATAAATGCAGATTAAATTCAATCATGAAGAGAAATGGTAGCCACAAAAATCGAGGTTAGAGCTACTATGTAGAAACGATGAAAAAAATATTTGACATATAATACAAATACATTAAGAAACCTATCTAGATACTGTACTATAGAGACTATCAAAAACGAATCTACTTTTTAAAACTTAAAATTCTCAATCCTCATTAATTTTTAAAAAATTAACACTTGGGCCAGGCGCAGTGGCTCACGCCTGTAATCCCAGCACTTTGGGAGGCTGAGGCGGGCAGATCATGAGGTCAGGAGATCGAGACCATCCTGGTTAACATGGTGAAACCCCATCTCTACTAAAAATACAAAAAATTAGCCGGGCGTGGTGGCGGGTACCTGTAGTCCCAGCTACTCGGGAGGCTGAGGCAGAATGGCGTGAACCCGGGAGGTGAAGCTTGCAGTGAGCCAAGATCACGCCACTGCCCTCCAGCCTAGGCAACAGAGCAAGATTCCATCTCAAAAAAAAAAAAATTATTAACACTTGACTCCAAGACTTACTATAAAGCCACAGCAATCAAGACAGTGTGGTAATGGTGAAATAATGATGAATAGATCAATGGAACAGAATAGAGAGCCCAGAAATAGACCGACATAAATATATTCAACTGATATTTGACAAAGGAGCAAAGGCAATTCAATGGAGAAAGGATAGTCCTTTGTAAATGATATTGTAATGGTGGATACATGATGTTACATATTTGTCAAAACCCATAGAACTGTACAAGACAAGAGTGAACCCTCCAGGGGTTTGAGACCAGCCTGGGCAACATGGTGAAACTCATCTCAACAAAAAAATACAAAAATTAGCCAGGTGTGGTGGCACACACCTGTAGTCCTAGCTACTCAGGAGGCTAAGGTGAGAGGATCGCTTGAGCCTGGAGGCAGGGGTTGCAGTGAGTTGAGATTGCACCACTACACTCCGTCCTAGGCTAACAGTGACTCAAACAAACAAACAAAAAGACTGAACCTAATGTAAACTATGAACTTTAGTTAATGATTATGTATCAATAATTCACTCATCAATTGTAACAAAGGTATCATACAAATGCAAGATGTTAATAATAGGGAAAACTTGTGGGTGAGGAGGAATATATGGAAGATTTCTATTTTTTTTTTTTTTTTTTTTTTTTGAGACAGAGTCTCACTCTGTCACCCAGGCTGGAGTGCAGCAGCATGATTTTGGCTCACTGCAACCTCCACCTCCCAAGCTCAAGTGATTCTCCTGCCTCAGCCTCCCAAGTAGCTGGGATTATAGGTACCTGCCACCACACTTGGATAATTTTTGTATTTTTAGTACAAGTGGGGTTTCACCATGTTGGCCAAGCTGGTCTTGAATTAATGACCTCAAGTGATCCACCCACCTCAGCCTCCCAAAGTGCTGGGATTACAGGCCAATTTTTTTTTTTTTTTCTTTTTAAGAGACAATTTGCTCTGTTGTCCAGGCTGGTCTTGAAATCCTGGCCTCAAGTAATCCTACTGCCTTAGCCTTCCAGAGTGCTAGGATTATAGGCATGAGCCACAGCACCCAGCCTGTTTTTTCTGTAAACCTAAAATTGCTCTAAAAATAAAGTTTATTAGGAGGCAGTGCTTGCAGTGAGCCGAGATCACGCCACTGCACTCCAGCCTGGGCAACAGTGTGAGACTCCATCTCAAAAAAATAAATAAATAAATAAACAAAATAAAGCTTATTAATAAACAAAATAAAAATAAAGCATCTTTAAGTGTAAAAAAAGTTTATTAAAATAATCTTACAGATAAACAGTACATTTTCTTATTATTCAGGGGAAACATTAAAACCTTAAAAGCTCTCATTTCTTTGCAATATTATTAATGTTGGTAAAGTAGACATTCCTCCAAATCATTTTTCAAGTCAATAACTCTTGGAGACTTTTTGATAGCATTGAGTTCAAAGTTCTGGAGCCTATCTGTGAAACTTTCTTGCTGTGTAGCCTTGGTCAGGTTACTTAACCTCTAATTCTATTTCCTGATTTATAAAGTGAGAATAATAAAGTACTACTTCATAGAGTTGGTGTGTAGAAGTGCATAGATCAGCAGCTGGTACATGGTAGATGGTAAGCTATCAAAAAATGTTAACCGTCAACTCTGCCAATTCAATTAAAATTTTAAATTAGAATTTTACTTATCACAAACTTTACCATCAGAAAGCCACAAATTCACTCTTATGGAATGTTCTCTAGTGCCAATTAAAAGATTATATCATTAAAGTTACAAGATAATTACATCTTCCTATAGGTAATACTCTATTATGTATATTATGAATTTTATTAATCACAGTTTAATATTATAAATCAATATACATGTATTGCTGTTGATTATATTAACTTTCAGCTAAAATAGAAATACTGAAAGATTCCTTTATATAAATAATATACTTCTCTACCCTACTTGCTGTCTAGGTAAACAGACTCCCAACCTGGCTCACTTTGCCAAGCTTAGACCATTTTAAGACCCACATATAGCTATCCCAGTGAAAGCATACGTGAGTTAATCTCTCTTGACTGAATTCTGGTCTCCTCATACCTCTTGTTCTGTGATCTATAGTTGGCTATGGCTTTTTGGTTTTCCCTCGACCTTGGGGTCTTTGGCTTAAATATGCAAGTATGTCTTCCCAGACTCCTTCTAAGTGATAACTGACTTTGCCTCATTCTCAGTGATTTTCTTTGTCCATCTTGGCATTTTTGGCTTCAATATTTCCATAAATGGACTTTTTAAATTCAACTCAAATACGAAAAGCACTGAAGAATGTTTAACATGTATAATATAAGCAACTTCCTGGAAACCTTAATTTGTGAGTAAAACTCTAGCTTTTTGGCTTTTTGCTGCCCTCTCCTGGTCACAGTTTGTGGTTCTTGACCACTTCAGGCCCAGTGGTATCAAGCGCAAGGACAAGTTTTTTGTCTTCTAAACCCCGAAGAGTAGAGAATCAAAACTAAAATTATGATTAAGTAATTCACACTTTCTTTTAACTTGAGTATTATACCAACTATCGGTTTAAGAAAAATAAATGTTTAAGTTTTTATGATCTACAAACAATACTACTTTCAAACTGTCCTAAATGCTATAATAATATTTCATGCAGAAGTTTGACTTCTCATTTCTTAGAGATGAAAAGGTGCTATATATATATTTTTATACATCTGTTAAGGAAAAGAAAAGTGCTTACCTCTGCAGACAGCCCAAGCATCTTCATCACATTTCTCACCACTTGTTCTCAATTCAAAAAAATTATATTCTTCAAGGCTAAGAAGACCATTTCCATCTAAATCAATTACTTCAAATATATCTGATAAAGTAGACCTAAAATTATAAAAATAGCTAGTTATTTCTTGTCACTAAGGCAACTACGCTGAAGAAGGGTTTTTTTTTTTTTTTTGAGACGGAGTCTCACTCTGTCACCCAGGCTGGAGTGCAGTGGCGTGATCTCGGCTCACTGCAAGCACCGCCTCCTGGGTTCACGCCATTCTCCTGCCTCAGCCTCCCGAGTAGCTGGGACTATAGGCGCCCGCCACCACACCTGGCTAATTTTTTTTTTTTTTTGTATTTTTAGTAGAGATGGGGTTTCTCTACTAAAAATTTTAGCCAGGATGGTCTTGATCTCCTGACCTCGTGATCCGCCCGCCTCAGCCTCCCAAAGTGCTGGGATTACAGGCGTGAACCACCGCGCCTGGCTGAAGAAGGGTTCTATGAGGATAACATTCAAAAGGAAGTAATATAGCGTTACACAATTTCTGTAAACTATAAAGTTAATGTAACCAAATACAGTTTTGGCTCAGTCCAGTATTACATGAGATAAAAAAGCTTCTAGAACAACCACAGTATCTCAACACACAGTAAGAACTCAATGAATAGTAGTAGTTCCCTTCTTTTTTCCTTTCTCCAATCTACTTTCTTCTTCCTCTCTACCAATAGGGAGAAATTGTCGATGTTTGACTGAAGTTGACTTGCCAAATGTGTAGAACCCACAAGTAAATGAAAATCCCAGATCTGCAAATGGAGGAACATTTTCAGATGCCTAGAGAATGAGCTGTTTTGTTTTGATATATATATTTATGGTGTACAATGTGATTTTTTGATATATGTAGACAATGTGAAATGACTAAAGCTAATTAACATAGCCATTATCTCATATATTTATCATCTTTTTTTCTAGTGGGAACATTTAATATCTATTCTCTTAGCAATTTTCAAGGATACAATATATAACTATAATCACCATATTGTCAACAGATCTCCTGAACTTATTCCTCTTATCAAACTGAAATTTTGTATCCTTTCACCAACATATCCCCAACCCCCCCACTACTTCCAGCTGCTATAACCACTCTTCTACTCTCTGTTTCTATGGGTTTGACTTTTTAAGATCCCACATATAAGGCTGGATGTGGTGGCTCACACCTATAATCCCAGCACTTTGAAAGGTTGAGGCAGGATGCTCGCTTGAGGCCAGGAGTTTGAGACCACCCTGGGCAACATAGCGAGACTCCCATCTCTTTAAAAAAATTAGCCAGGCATGCTGGCAAGCCCCTGTAATCCCAGCTACTGCTACTCAAGAGGCTGAGCTGGGAGGATCACCTGAGCCCAGGATTCTGAGGCTTCAGTGAGCAATGATTGTGACAGTGTACTCCAGCCTGGGTAACAGAGCAAAACTCTGTCTCTATTTAAAAAAAAAAAAAGTTCCCACATATAAGTGAGATCATGCAGTATTTATCTTTCTGTGCCTGGCTTATTTAACTTAGCAGAACATCCTCCAAGTTCATACAGGTTGTTCACAAGAGTTGAATTGGTGAATTAGAATCTGAGGATGGGGGTGGGAGCTGGCCAAAGGGAGTAACACAGGCTATTAATATCTATCCAGTCTAGATGTTATAATTCTAACATTAATAAACAAAACTTACTTAAATTCCTTTGTAAGGAATAATTCCCCTGTTTCATCTCTATATACAAGTTGGGCTTCATCTGTTACTGGTTTTATTTTTTTCCTCAGCCTACAGCCAGTTGTGGAAGGAATTAACCAGTAAATTCCAGGTCCTAGTTCACCAGTCCATCCAAACACCTTTTCTCAAAACAATGAAATAAAACAATCATCAGTCTTAATCTTTTCATCTTTTAATTTAAAGCTTTTAATATTTCTTCTGAAAGGGACACATTAGAAATGATTTTTAAATCAATATTTACAAATTCTATTATAGTCCTATCAGTCTTTTTACAGGTTTCAAATTCTTTTTGTTAATGGTAATCCCATTATGAGATCATTAGATACAGCAGTTCTTTATATATTTTTGAAACAAATGCCTAAAACTGTAATAGGTAAGTTATATATCTTCTAAATCTTCCCCAACAATCTTCAAAAATATCTGTGATGCAAATACCTTCAACAGGAAGCAAAGATAAATCGTAGGGTAATTTTTTAATGCAAATACTGAGCTCCTTTGAAAAAAAGTAATAATATTCTAGATTATGGTTTCCTAATTTGATTCAAATATATGATATCTAAATCAGATTTCAATGACATAAAATAAAAATTAAATATATTTTGAAATGGTTTACTATTTGTATAAATTAATCACATTTGTAAGAGCTCAATTATGTGGATGAAAGCACTGGAACTTCACTTTTTTTAATGTAATATGGACTATAAAATAAGACACAGAATCCCAAATAAACCAGCTTTATATGAAATTCTGTTTCCTATCAAATGTTGGATATTTATCATGGGTACCAGAACATTTGTACAGGAAAACATTTTATTCTCCAGTTCTATAAAGAAAGCAGGCTGGGCATGGCGGTTCACGCCTGTAATCCCAGCACTTTGGGAGGCCAAGGTGGGTGGATCATTTGATGTCAGGAGTTTGAGAACAGCCTGGTAAACTTGGTGAAACCCCACCTCTACTAAAAATACAAAAATTAGCTGGGCATGGTGGCGGGCGCCTATAATCCCAGCTACTTGGGAGGCTGAGGCAGGAGAATCACTTGAACCCGGAGGTGGAGGTTGCAGGGAGCTGAGATCGTGCCATTGTACTCTAGCCTGAGTGATAGAACGAGACTCTGTCTCAAAAACAAAAAAACAAAAGAAAGAAAGAAAGCAAATGGTATCTCTCTATGTACCTCCTAAGAGCTTTTTGGAGCCCAAAGGTTTCCTATAAAAGCTAGCAGCTGTCTCTGTTAAATATATTAAATCTAAACAATTCTTAGTTGTGTGTAATAGCTAAGTGCCCTTCAGCACAGACTAACCCAAGAGAATCCTTTCACGTATTATGTCCAAAAATTCCTTTTAAAACCCAGGTATAAGGCCAGACACGGTGGCTCATACCTATCATCCCAGCACTTTGGGAAGCCAAGGTGGAAAGATTGCTTGAAGCTAGGAATTGGAGACCAGCCTGGACAACATAGCGAGATCCTATCTCTAAAAATAACAACAATAATAATAATGCATCTATAGTCCCAGCTACTTGAGATGCTAAGGCAGGAAGATCATTTTCACCCAGGAGTTCAAGGTTACAGGGAATTGCATCACTGCACTCCAGCCTGGGCAGCAGAGTGAGACCCTATCTCTAAATAAATAAACAAACAGACAAACAAAAACCAACTTAGGTATATTTTAGGTCATTCTGGAGACTCATATATGAAATAATGTTGCTCATCTAAGTTCTGGGTTTAGTTCCATTTCTGCCCTGGCAACTCAGAGAAATCATAATCTTCTTAAGGTCACCAGGTCCTATTTTGATACAAGAAGAAATCCAATATAACCGAAAGTCATTTTTAAGACTAAATGTTGGCCAGGCTGGTGGCTCAAGCCTGTAATCCCAGCACTTTGGGAGGCCAAGGCAGGCGGATCATGAGGTCAAGAGATCGAGACCATCCTGGCCAACATGATGAAACCCTGTCTTTACGAAAAATACAAAAATTAGCTGGGCATGGTGGCACACGCCTGTAGTCCCAGCTACTTGAGAGGCTGAGGCAGGAGAATCACTTGAACCCGGGAGGCGGAGGTTGCAGTGAGCAAGATCGCACCACTGCACTCCAGCCTGGCGACAGAGCAAGACTCCGTCTCAAAACAAACAAACAAACAAACAAAAATGAAATGTTTACCAAATCCATCCTTTGAAAAGCATAACCTTTGAAATTGGCTAGATGTAGACTCAGGAGTGAAAAACCAGATCTTGCTGCTTCCTAATATATATTATCCCATGATCCTTCCTTATCTCCACACATAACCTTGCACTGCCACTGTGGATGACAAATGGAAAGTTTTTTCATGGGCACAAAACTCATCTATAAGAAAATAATTGTGAAAGTATAAATACAAATAAAAAATCCTTTGTAAATACAACATATTACAGATAAACAGAAGCCTATAAAGAGGTAAATAGAAACTCATGCAAACTCTATTATAATTTTGCTATATACTAATTTTTTTACACATGCAATCTCATAAGAGAGTAATTTTACCCAAAACAAAGTGGAAACAGCTACTGTTTTAGACAATGCTTTATCTTGAACTTAACTTTGTAGTCAGTTCTGAAGAAGAGTTTAGTCAAAACATTAACTTCAGCCAATTTTATTTGTTTCTTGCCTATTCTTGTCTGTAAGGAAGCCTACAAAAAAGACTTTTATATAACATTCTATCAGGGAAATGTTTGTGTGTCATTGAGCCTATATAAAGATTAAATATGATACTGTAGTAAGCCCTTAAATAGCATTATTTCTGTTTTGTGTAGCAGATGTATTTTGTAGTCCTCATAAAATAAATAGCCACATTTATGTATTGGCTTCACATATTTGGCCTCTGAGTAAATATACTATTAGAAAAGATCAGAACAACCCCATGGGCAACATATAAAAACATTTAAAAGCATTTTTTCATATCAATCTATTTTTGAACCCTATAAAATAAGTCAAGCCTGAGGATAGTAATCTTAAGTTTTTCTGTTTTGCAGTAGTAGTATAAGTAAGACAAACGTCTACAGCAGCTTTTCCAAAGTCTTGAATTGCTTGCATTTAGGGAAAAAAAATGTACTGGCATCAACCTTTTTTATTGAGTATATCAAATGTTCACACATGAGGCATCAGGGCATTTAGAAAAGATGAAAGTAAGGTACAATATTATACAACTTAAAAGGTATAAGCCAAGACTCAAGACTGCCAACCAATCCTCAATTCTTTATTTAAATTTTTTTTTAGAGACAGGGTCTGGTTATGTTGCCCAGGCTGAAGTACAGTGGCTATTCACAGGTAAGATCATAGAATAATATGGCTTTGAACTCCTGGGCTCAAGTAATCCTCCTGCTTCAGTTTCCCAAGTAGCAGGGACTTCAGGTGCATGCCACCATGCCCAGCTCCTCCCATCCTTAATTCTTAAGAAATCGCAGCAAACAAGAAAAAATCCTTATAATTATTTAATTTAATTTAATATGATTAAATTAAAAACATATAATATCTATAGTGTTTAAGTGCTGTTTATACCTTAATTGGAAGGTATATGAAAGCTTAAAAAATAAAATACAGAAACATACTTTCCCCAAACTGCAGTTCATACTATATTTAAAAATTAAACATTAGAAAATAAATATGTATACTTCTCTATTTCGTAGTTCGGTAAAACACACAAGCTGTAGATTTGCTTGACTCTCATTTTCCTTGAGAATATACAAGGCAGTATCAACGGATAACCAAGGGGATGGTTTTCCTACAAACAAAAAAAAAAGCCCAAACACCTTAAAATAAGCAATCACTATCTATTCTTTCCTATATAAAAAATAAGTTACTAGTTTCTTCTTGGATATTTTCTTTAGAAATACATATTCCATGTTTTTTTTTTTCAAGACGGAGTCTCACTTGGTCACCCAGCCTGGAATGCAGTGGTGCGATCTTGGTTCACTGCAACCTCCACCTCCCGGGTTCAAGCGATTCTCCTGCTTCAGCCTCCTGAGTAGCTGAGACTACAGGCATGTGCCACCACACCCAGCTAATTTTTGTATTTTTAGTAGAGACGGGGTTTCACCACATTGGCCAGGATGGTCTCGATCTCCTGACCTCATGATCCACCTGCCTGGGCCTCCCAAAGTGTTGGGATTACAGGCGTGAGCCACCACACCCGGCCCATATTCCATTTTTATGTGTAAACATGATAGCATTTGCAATAAGGCACAAACCTAAATACAGCAACCTTGTGAGAAACATTTTCTATATACTCACTTTCTAAAAATCATAACTTTTCTTGAACTCATCAAAAGCTGAGGTTGCAGGGCAACCAATTAGCCTGAAATCCAAGGAAAAACAGAGATTTTCAGAAAAAAAAGAGGATTTAAGTACTGGCTTACCTGTGGTGGAGCACACGAGGAAGAGATGCCAGACATCTATGTGCTGACAACCCCAAAATTTATATCTTTAGGATCTTTCCTCTGAATGTTAGACCCATATAACTGTGTATTTAACATTTCTACCTAGATTTCTATTTCCAAAACTGGACTTCCCTAGTCTTTTTTTAAAACGCTGCCCATCTCAGTTAATGGTAACTCAGTCTTTCCAGTTGCTCAGGTCAAAAATCTTGGAATCTTCTTTAACTCTTTTCTTTTCTCACATACCAAGACCAATCCTTAGGAAATCCTATGGTTCTGCCTTCAAAATATACCCAGAATCTCTACTACCCCATCTCCCACCAACATCCTGGTTCAAAGCATTGCCAGTCCTCTTCTAGAATTCTACAATAATGTCCCAGCTGGATTCCTTGCTTTCTCCTGCGTATCCTTCCATCTACTTTCTTTTTTTTTTTTTAATGTTTCAAATCTATTTTTAATGTTGCTTGTCGAACATTAACATTTTCACAATTCCAGAAATGACATTAATAAAAATATAAACAAATTGATATAAAAATCTGTGTAGACTAAGCTAGAATTTACAAACTCTTAATAAAAGGTGTATCTAAGTTTCTCAATTATGGGACAACAAATAATAGACTTCATTGCTTCATACTAAAATGGTATTTTTGACTAATCACAAGGAAACTTAAACTACTGTATAGTTATAATCATAGGTATTCAGTCCAAAGAGGAAAAAAGTTTTAGTAGTACTATGAGAACCTGTATCTCTGAAAATGTTAGCTCCATAAGTGTAAGCACTCCCAAAGATTATAAGATAATAAAATGTGGAAACAGGCAAACTATGGGGCGATTTAAAGTTTCTACCACTTCCTAAAGATTTTCTTCAATAGAATCATTCGTGCTAAGTGGATAAAAGTTACAAATTACAAAAGAAAGATACAGAATACATCCAATAACAAATTAATCAGACTAAGGAATATTTAGTGTAAAACTGGCTTAAAATTTTTTGTCAGAAGAATTTCTCAACATCTAACCCTATAGCAAATAATACAAATAACAAGGAAATTCTTCAAGCAGTTGGCATTTCTTCAAAACACAAGGGTCCAACTATAAGAAAAATATCACATTATTCAAAGTCCTACAGAATTAGAGGAGAATCTGTACTACTCATGTTTTTTGCATAAATTCCATGATTTATAAATAAATAAACCCAAAATATAAATTATAAACATTTAATTTCAGTATAATGTAGACAAAAACAGCAGCTAACTTGTCATCTTTCACAGTAATTTTAACATAAAAGGTTTAAATATTTATTTTGCCAATATATTTTTCATTGCATATAGGCTTAAAAAAAAGACAATGGAAGTTATAAGTAATCCCTTGACATGTGTAAAATAAAATTTTTTAGTAGATGGGAATGTATTGATGATAGTCTCTTATTTCTTCTCCCAGATATGCAAGCGATATATCTAAATACTTACTAGAGCCAAATCTGTCTCAAAAGTTTAGGTCATTTTTTTTTCCTTTTTGATAGTATTCAACGAGAAATAACACTTTAAATAAAACTTTTTCCATGAGGAAGGTACAGTAATTATCCACCTCCTGGATACTCTCCTGTAGTCCTCTGAGTAAGCTCCAAACTCAATCCATACTCCAAGTAACAGACTTAAGATGTTCAATATTGGAACTCTTTGGCATCAACTAAAAAAGAAACCTTGGTAAAAGCAGAATTTACAAACATTTTGTTCCTTGCAGTACACCTTTCAAAAGACATCTTCATCAAATAGGTAAGAAAGGTAAGAATTGCTGAGGTAAGTAGAGGTCTCTTTTATTATGGTCTTCATTCTATCATTATTAAACCTTAATCTCATGTCCTGTTCCAAAGCATTATGTGAGTATTCAATCAAAGAAGTGAGGCTGTTCTCCAGAATTGGTTCTCTGCTACAGGTCAAAACCGACTGCGCCAGCCTTGGCGAAGCTCCGCCTACTGCCCTTTGCTCCAAGTAATTTTTGGCGATTTTTAAAGTAATTTTTCCGGCGGAGTCATAGTGGCGCTATACTCTTGGATAGGTTATCCTGTCTCTTCCGCTAGATTGATGAGATCAGGTATCACTCGAAAATGGCGCCGAAAAGTGCTGAGGCTCCTCATTCAAATTCGTTAGAGCCAACCCTGCCTTCTACCTACTTTCAATACAGTAACCTAACTGCTCTTGTTAAAATATAAATCAGATTATGTCCTGCCTTCTACTCAAAACCCTCTAATGGAGCAGAGTTGGGAGAATATTGCTCCTTTCCTAACAATAAGAAAAAGTTAATGAACTACAAAATCATAACTTTTCTTGATCCCATCAGAGCTGGGGTTACAGGACAACTATAAGCTTAAAATCCAAGGAAAGACAGATCTTTCCCAGGAGAGACGAGATGCAAGCACTGGCTTACCTGTGGTGGAGCAGAACAGGAAGAGATGTCAGGTACCATACAAGTGGAAGAAGAAGAAAGAGGGCAGAAGAAATATTTGAAGAAATAAGGCAGAGGATTTTCTAAAAATAATGAAAGGCAACAAGCCACATATCCAAGAAGCTCAGAGAACCCCAAGCAGGATTAATACCAAAAAACAAAAAAACCCAGGCAACAGCATCAACAACAAAAACAAAAACTACCTAGACACACAGTCAAACTGCTGAAAATGAAAGATTAAGATAAAATCTTGACCTTATATATGGAGAATAAAACTCACAAAAAACGAGGGGGAAACCTCATTTCTCTGATCAAAAGCCCAAGTCCTAATTATGGCAAAAAGAAACCTCTTCCTGATTTTGTCCTTGTTTCTCCCTGGTTTCATCTCCTACAACTCTCTCCTCACTTACTCCATTTGAGACACTCTAGCCTCTGTTCTTTTAACACCAGTACACTCTCACAGAGCCTCTGCACAGAGTATTCTGTCTACCTGGAATACTCTGCCACCTCCTCCACTCTTCACCCATCCCTTCCAGCACCATACACCCACAAGGCTTACTCCCTTGCCTTCTGTGGAAGACAGCAAAAATGGCTGTCCCCCTCAGTATCTACAGCCTTTTGCAATGTGACTTTGCAGCTTTTCCATCAAGAGATCAAGTCTATTTCCCCAGCCTATGAATCTGGACTTGCCTTGTGACTTTCTGTGAGCAACAGAATATAACGAAGTAACATTGTGCTGGTTCTGAGCCCAAACCTCAGGAGATCCTATTGTGCCAAGAGAACAGGTCCAGGCTAGTTTACTGAAGGATTATTAAAGATCATATGAGGCTGAGTCAAGTTGTCCCAGATGGGACTTCATACGTAAGAAAGAACCCAGCCAAGATTAGCAAAGCCAGCCACCAGCTAACCTGTAGCTAACCATAACTGTGTGAGCAAGCCCTATAGAGAAAAAACAAGCCTGGCTCAGACTAAGAACTAACAGATCTACTGATTCATGAGTGAACAAATGTTTAATTGTTTTAAGCCACTGAGTTTTGGGGTAGTTTTTTATGTAGCAGTTGGTAACTCATACATCTCTTTCAAAGTCTTTATTCATATGACACCTTCTTAATGAAGCATATACTAACCACTCCATTTCAATGGCAACCCACATTCCCTCAGCACTCACTAACCCCCTTTCCCTCTGATTTTCCCATAACACTTATCACTTTCCTACATACCATGTCATTTACTATTTATTATGTTTATTATGTATTGTTTCCCTCACTAAAATTTAAGTTGACGAGGGCAGGGATTTTTGTCTTTTTTTAACTCTAATGTATCCTAAACACCTAAACTGATGTCTGGTATATAAGGCCCTCGATAACTATTTGATAAATAAATGAATAAAGGAATCTTGTTAATAAGAATACAGAGAATTAACAACTACACTGAATTTGCAGGGCTATCTTGATTCCTCTCTCTGAAAAATAACTATTGTTATTGTCATTTAAAAGTATCATCTGCCAAACATTATACGTATCCCACAAGAGATGCAGTGAAAACTTTCAAAATCTCTACTTTAGGAGGGAAAAAGAATGGGGAGGTGGGAATCCTTTAGTAAGAAAATGCTTGTATGTAAACATTATAAAAGAAAAATAAATATTGATTTAGAACAGCCAACATTAAAAAAGGTTATCTAGGGAAATCACCCTTATAGATAGATATCTTTCATTGCTTAAAAATTACATAACCATTTTAGACACTAGAAAAGTATTTTTATCTAGAATATTACCATGAATACAAAGATTATTAATAAATATTGTCTAAGTCACAGACAAAGGGTTTTGAAGGTATTTAAAAATACTTTCAGCTTCATATTGTTCCAAATTATCCCCTTGCAGTACTTCTCTTTGACATATTAATTTTAAAAATTGACAAATGGAAAAAGCTAAGATTAATTAGCAAATAAAAACTTAGTTCTGGCTGGGCATGGTGGCTCACACCTATAATCCCAGCCCTTTGAGAGGCCGAAGCGGGTGGATCACCTGAGGTCAGGAGTTTGAGACCAGATTGGCCAACATGGTGAAACCCTGTCTCTACTAAAAATACAAAAAGATTAGGCGGGCGAGGTGGTGTGCACCTGTAGTCCCAGCTACTCGGGGAGGCTGAGGCAGGAGAATCACTTGAATCCAGGAGGCGGAGGTTGCAGTGAGCCAAGATCGAGCCACTGCACTCCAGCCTGGGCAACAGAGGGAGACTCCGTCTCAAAAAAAAAAAAAGTTAGTTCTATATCATGAGGAAACCAGTTAACATTTTTTTTCTTTTATTTTCTTCTATCTTAGCTGTAGAAAAGTTTGGAAAAAGTTCTTATTTTTAATAAAACATGCTTTAAACATATAAAGCAATCTACTTGCTTTTCATATGATTAACACAGTTCATGTATAAGCCAACACTTTCTTGAAATGTAACCATAAATTCTTACTTAGGCAGATTATTTTCTTCCCTAACTAGGACTATGGAATACTTACATAAGTACTTTCAAGGAGGGTACAAATTGACATTTTAAAAATATACAAAAAACTTAAACTTGCCTTCAACTTGACTCAGGTTTAATGGCTTAATTGTTAGATAAACCATGGACCTCTGAGCTATTTGCATCCTGTACTGATGACTAATGATTTCACCATCTTCTTCTAAGAAGAAGCAACCTTTTGATTGCATGTGTTGCCAGTCCTGAAATGAAGGAAAAAATTATTTCAAACAATATTTATTAAATGTTTCCAGTATGCATAGTAATGAGGAGAAAACACAGGGGGATATAAAAGAAATGTCAAATATAATCATTGCTCTCCAGGAATGTGCAACATAGTTAGGAGGTAGAAAACAGACATAACAAAATCCTATTATACACAGGGCATGGTGGCTCACGCCTGTAATCCCAGCACTTTGGGAGGCCAACGTGGGCGGATCATCTGACCAACATGGAGAAACCCTGTCTCTACTAAAAATACAAAATTAGCCGGGCGTGGTGGCACATGCCTGTAATCCCAGCTACTCAGGAGACTGAGGCAGGAGAATTGCGTGAACCTGGGAGGCAGAGGATGCAGTGAGCCGAGATCGCGCCATTGTACTCCAGCTTGGCAACAAGAGGGAAACTCCGTCTCAAAAAAATCCAATTATAATTGGCAGTAATATATGGTTAACACAAAAAGATAATTATACATGGAAAATAATTTACTATAATCTAAGTTCCTAAAATAGTGCCTAACACATTGGCTCAACAAATATTTACTGTCTAATTGATTGGGGTTGGGGGACTGATGTAAACTGAGTGTGCAACTGATGAATTATATCATGAAGAATAGATAGCATTTCAATAATGAAAAGTTAGGAAAAGATATAAGGTAAAGAAGAAGTAAGAAAAATAAAGTTGGCTGGGCACGGTGGCTCACATCTGTAATCCCAGCACTTTGGGAGGCTGAGGTGGGTGGATCATGAGATCAGGAGTTCAAGACCAGGCTGGCCAACATGGTGAAACCCTGTCTCTACTAAAAATACAAAATTTAGCTGGGCATGATGATGAGTGCATGTAATTCCAGCTACTCGGGAGGCTGAGGCAGGAGAATCACTTGAACCAGGGAGGCAGAGGTTGCAGTGAGCCGAGATCACACCATTGCACTCTAGCCTGGGCAACAGGGCAAGACACCGTCTCAAAAAAAAAAAAAAAGAAAGAAAAGAAAAATGAAGTATTGAAAAAAGTAATAAATAAATATGTTGCTGTAATAGAATGAGATTAGTGCTAGGAGCACAGTAAGAAGGAAGAATTAAGGATTGCTAAAAGAAATATATTGAAAGAAAAAATGACTTTAAATGTAAGAGCAAAATAATTGCTTCAAGTGTAGATAACTAGAAGCATGCTGAATAAAAGTTTCACAGCTGGCCGGGAGCGGTGGCTCACGCCTGTAATCCCAGCCCTTTGGGAGGCCAAGGCGTGTGGATCACAAGGTCAGGAGTTCAAGACCAGCCTGGCCAACATGGTGAAACCCCGTCTTTACTAATAATACAAAAATTAGCCGGGCACGGTGGCGTGCGCCTGTAGTCCCAGCTAGTCAGGAGGCTGAGGCAGGAGAATTGCTTGAATCCGGGAGGCAGAGGTTGCAGTGAGCCAAGATCATGCCACTGCACTCCAGCCTGGGTGACAGAGTGAGACTCTGTCTCAAAAAAAGAAGTTTCACAGCTACAGAACAATGCCGATGAATATAAAATATCACTTTTGAGAAAGACTTTTCTATATTGGCTTTACCATTTCTTGGTCTAGCCAAATCCCTTCTTGTCTGAATTCATATATGGGATCTCATAACTAGAAATGAGTAAAACTTGGCCAGCCACAGTGGCTCACACCTGTAACCCCAACACTTTGGGAGGCCAAGGCGGGTGGATCACTGGAGGTCAGAATTTCAAGACCAGACTGGCCAACATTGGCAAAACACCATCTCTACTAAAAATACAAAAATAGTTGGGCGTGGTGGCGCACACCTGTAATCCCAGCTACTCCGAAGGCTGAGGCAGGAGAATCGCTTGAACCTGGGAGATGGAGGTTGCAGTGAGCCATGATCATGCCACTACACTCCAGCCTGGGAGACAGAGTGAGCCTCTGTCTCAAAAAAAAAAAAAAAAGAAAAAAGAAAAAAAGAAAAGAAAAGAATAAAACTTGAAAATGGCATCTTGGACACAAAGTAGAAGATTCTTTATTGAAGTTATGAGAAAATTGTGTCATTACCATAGCTATGTGCAAAAATGCTTTTCACTTTATTAGTAGGCTTGCCTACCTGAAATGTAAGTAAGCATATTTAAATAATAAGTTCAAGGCTTTAATAATATTGATAACTACTGAAAAGGTGTATGCTAGCTGTATAATAATAACATCATAAATGTTTTCTAATTCATTATAGAAAGATTTATTATATCACTGCAAAGGCAAAAATAATTTACATTGAGATCGGTTTCATGCTCACATTTTTAAGAGAAGACTAAATTATCCTAACATACTTACATCTCATTTTTCTATTTTATGTCACAATTATTTTCATATTTTATTAAAAATCTCTATAATTCTAATGCCCTACTTAGATTTTCATGTAATCCTTTCTAATACTGACCTTATGTAGAAACCTATTTTTTACATTTTAATAAACACTGCTTTATGTTCTGCTTTTAAAAATTAATTTTATATCCAAAATATTTTGCTGTTGAAAACGAATAAAGCTAGAGGACTCAGACTTTCTGATTTCAAAACTTACTACAAAGATACAGTAATCAAAAGGGTGTGGTACTAGCATGAAAACAGACATACAGAACAATAGAACAGAATGGATAGCCCATAAATAAATCCTTGCCTATATGGTCTAATGATTTTCAAAAAGGGTGCCAAGATCATTCATTGAGGGCAAGGACAGTCTTTTCAACAAATGAGGCTGGGAAAACTGAATATCCATCTGCAAAAGAATAAATTTGGGCTCTTATCTTATGCAACACATAAAAATTAACTCAACCTGAAGACCTAAATATGCTAAAATTATAAAACTCTAAGAAGAAAACATAGGGGGAAAGCTGACGCTGGATCTGGCAATGGTTTCTCAGATATGACAACAAAAGCACAAGCAACAATCAAATAAATTGGAATTCATCAAAATTAAAAACTTTTGTGCATCAAAGGACACTACCAACAGAATGAAAAGGCAATTCATGAAATGGGAGAAATTATTTGCAAATCACATATCCAAAAAGGGATTAATATATAGAGCATATAAAGAACTCCTACAATTCAACAACAAAACAAACCACCAGATTTTTTAAATGGGCAAAGGAATCATCAAATGATCACCTCTCTAAAGAAGATATATAGAAGGCCAATAAGCAAATGAAGAGATGCTCAACATCACTAATCATTAAGGAAAGACAAATCATAACCTCAATGAGATACCACCTTACACCCATTAGGATACCTATTATCAAAAAAACAGAAAACGACAAGTATTGGTATGTGGAGAAATTGGAACCCTTGTGCATTGTTGATAGGAACATAAAATGCATAAAATGGTGAAGCATTGTGAATAATAGTATGGTAATTTCTCAAAAAAGCAAATCTAGAATTCTATATGACCTAGCAATTCCAGCTTCTAGGTATAGAACCAGAAGAATTAAAAGCAGAGACTCAAACAGGTATGTATGCCAATGTTCATAGCATTACTGCTCACAATAGCCAAAAGGTAGAAACAACCCTAATGTCAATTGACAGAAAAATAGATAAACAAAACATGGTAAATACATACAAGGGAATATTATTCAGTCTTAAAAAGGAGTAAAATTCTGGCACATGCTATACATGAATGAGTCTTGAAGACATTATGCTAAGTGAAATCAGCCAGACACAAAAGGACAAATATTGTATGATTCCACTTATATGAGGTTTAAGTGAATTTGACCACTTCAAATTCAGAGAGACAGAAAGTAGAATGGTGGTTGCCAGGGGCTGTGGGGAGGGGGAAATGGGGAGTCATTGTTTAATGAATAGAGTTCCAGATGAAAAAGTCCTGGAGATGTATGGTGGTGGTATTGATGGTTGTACAACAGTGTGAATGTACTTAGTGATACAGAACTGTATACCTAAAAATGAGTAAAATGGTACATTTTATGTTTTGTATATTTTACCACAGGAAAAACCATTTTGCTATGCAATATTCAAAATTTCAATTTAAATGGTTCTATGATTAAAAATTGTGTTGGGGCTGGGCATGGTGGCTCACTCCTGGAATCCCAGCACTTTGGGAGGCCAAGGTGGGTGCATCACCTGAGGTCAAGAGTTCAAGACCAGCCTGGCCAACATGGTGAAACCCCATCTCTACTAAAAATACAAAAATTAGCCGGGTGTTGTGGTGGGCACCTGTAATCCCAGCCTCAGGAGGCTGAGGTAGGAGAATTCCTTGAAACCGGGAGGCGGAGGTTGCAGTGAGCTGAGATCGTGCCACTGTACTCCAGCCTGGGTAACACGGCAAAACTCCGTTTCAAAAAAAAAACAAAAACATTGAGTTGGTATACCATTATTTAGTTAACTATTTCTAAAATGTTAGACATTTAGGTCATTTCTAATTTCTTATCACAATATTAATAGAATACTGTTTTGTCTAAATGCTTTTCTTCTGATGAATAATTTCCTTGAGAACTTCTAGGCAAAAATGTATGTATATTTTTAAAGCTATTGACATGTGTTCCCATAGTGCTTTATAAAACAGTACTGCCAATTTTACAATACCACCAATGGTATATAATGTAATAATTTTACCATTATTTGGTTAGTATTGTTTTATAAAAAAATTGGGTGATGTGGGATGATTTCATAAGCAAGGTGTGGGTACATAAAGCATTCATTATGGTATTCCATATATTTGTATATGCCTCAAGTATTTGATAGTAAAAATGGTATTGTAGTAACTTTTGCATTAATTTGAATTTCTCTGATTATTAATACCAAGGCTGAACATTTCCCTCATGTGTTTATTATTTATTTTGTATAAATTACCCATTCTCCTATTCTCATAACTCTGTTGCAGACTTAGCATTTTTCTTACATATTTTAATAAATTCTTTTGACTATTTTAGATATTAACCACTCTGTGAGTGTTAATGAATGTATTTTCTCTATTTCCTTTTATTTTCATTTTGGTTATTTCTCAATTTATACAAGTTTTCTATTTTTATCTTTATCTTTTCTTTGGAAATTTCTTCTTAAACTGCATTTTAAGATTTTATCATTATAAACTGAACTATACTCAAGCTTTCAGTCAGTCATTAATCACCTGCACTGTCACACCTTTGGGGTATACAAGATATGTGTATTTTTAATTCTAAGAAATTAAGATGTGACCTTAACTTACTGAAATTTATCTTGTTAAGTATATTGCCCATGACAGAAAGAAGTCATTATATATAATATTTCAACAACATCACTATGAGGCAGTATGGGGTAGATATGAATTAAGTCATTTTAATAAACAGAAAAATTGAGGTAGCCAGAGATTATATGGGTTCAGAGTTTTATAAGGAGTTTGTAGCAATATTAGGTCTAGAGTCCAAGACATTTGGCCTCTACATTTAGACCAAGTTTCTAAAAGAAAATGTACTCAGGGTACGAATTCAAATTTTTTATTATCTGTGATACAATGAGGTTCAAAGTTGGGCTTGTGGCAGAAGTTGAAGTTCAACTTTTTTTTTTTTTTTTTTTTTTTGAGATGGAGTCTCACTCTGTCACCCAGGCTGGAGTGCAGTGGCGCCATCTCGGCCCACTGCCACCTCCACCTCCCAGGTTTAAGCAATTCTCCTGCCTCAGCCTCCCGAGTAGCTGGGATTACAGGGGCCTGCCACCACACCCAGCTAATTTTTTGTATTTTTAGTAGAGATGGGGTTTCACTATGTTGGCCAGGCTGGTCTCAAACTCCTGACCTCAAGTGATCCGCCCACCTCGGCCTCCCAAAGTGCTGGGATTACAGGCGTGAGCCACTGCGCCTGGCCCAAGTTCAACTATTAATGATGAGTAATGATACACAGACTTTCATTTAGCTTCCCTGTAAATCTCTTGGATGGGCATATATATGGACTAACAACAGATGCTGGCATTACCTCAGACCCAATTGCCCTTAACATAATCAACATGACCTTGGATGGTGATGACTGCTAAAGAATAGAAATGAAAGAAATGTTATACAGCATTTAGACAAGTTACACTTTGAGACAGTTTGAATTATGATTCTGACATTAAATGGAAAACATTTAAATGCTTTCAATCAGTTTTGATTATAGCATCAGATGGAATTTCATCCAATATATTTTATATTTTTTATATTTACCTATTTGGAATGGTAAAGGATAATACTTTAGAATTACAGACTTATAAAAGTAGAAGAAATCTAAAAAGCAGTCTAGTCCAGACTTCTCTTTTGATTGACAAAAAAGTCTGAAAAATAAAGTGATATATGTGAACAGCTATAGTTCTCAATTGACTGCAGAACTAGAACCAAAAGCTAGGTCTCCTTACTTTCTCTCCAGTGTGTAAGTTATATTCTAAGTTCTGTTCTATTTCACATTTAAATATCTGCAGTGATTTTTTAAGCCAGTTTTTAAAATAAACTTTATGAATATATTACAATAAAGTATGGTAAGGCATTATCAATCGGGATTCCATACTTTTAAGGGTTAAGATAAACTTAATTATTTGGTTTTCTTACTTTAAAAATGTAGAATTTAGTAGCTGCAAAATTTCTTAAATTTGTACTGTAATCATCAGCACAGCAGCCCTACCCCCAGCTTTAAAAAAATGGTTAAATTAAGCTTTAAAAGATAATGTACTTTGCCTGGTACACTGGTAGTAAACATAATTTGTGCCATTTAGGAAACTCAAAGATTTCGGAAGAATTTTTCAATGTGCTGATGCTACCTCTGGGGCAGTGCCACAGATTAACAGGACATAGCTTTATAAAATTTAACTGGGGAACAAGTTAAACATTTTTATTATAAGTCTTTCCTAAGTACCATGTCTAGAAAATAATGCTATAATAGAAGAGAATTTGTGAGTTTCTTTGGAAAGACAGCCAAACTACATACTATAACATTAAATATGGATTAATATAGCTGGAAAATGGTAGAACAACAGTTATTAAAGTAAGACAAATACCACATTATTTATATCAACCAAACTTCAGTGTAATATACAGATCAATTTGAATTCTAAATAACTTCACTAGGAGAACTTATAGCTCCTACTGTTCAAAAGGAAACATTCAACTTAAGATCTGCCAGAGTTATTAAACATACAATGCTTACTCAACTTAAAATTTCTTTTCAAGGCTGGGTGCGGTGGCTCACGCCTGTAATCCCCAGCACTTTGGGAGGCTGAGGTGGGCAGATCACGAGGTCAGGAGTTCAAGACCACCTGGCCAATGTGGTGAAACCCTGTCTCTACTAAAACTACAAAAATTAGCCAGCGTGGTGGTGCACACCTGTAGCCCCAGCTACTCAGGAGGCTGAGGCAGGAGAATCACTCGAACTCGGGAGGCGGAGGTTGCAGTGAGCCAAGATGGTGCCACTGCACTCCAGCCTGGGCAATAGAGTGAGACTCCATCTCAAAAAAAAAAGAAAAAGAAAAAAAAATACCCTTTCAAACAAATAGACTTTCAATCATACAAAGCTTTTTCTCTAGGACCTAGACTAAAATGTTATGAACTAAAAGAAAAAATTACTGACAAATTGGCTGGCTCATTCAAATAAATCAGTTTGAAAGGATTATAGATTAAGCTGACAGTTTGAGTATTAAGAGAAAAATGAAAGAAGGTTGAGTTTTGAAAATAATTTTAGAATAAGAGTAAGAAATTCCATGTATGATATAATTTTTTGACATTATAAAGCAGAAATAAAATAATAGCTTGTAATTCTTATATAGGGCATGAGGTGGTGCTGTATTCTACCAATTCAGGTAAATTCATATAAGTGCAAACTGAACTGTTATTTCCTTTATTTGTCATATACAAATTTTACTTATTTTCATTCATAATATATAACGAAATGCTGAAAAGTACAAAACCAAATACTAAAGCAAAAAATTCTTGTTATCAAAACAAATACATCAGTATAGTCCCATTTTTCTTGGAACACTGTAGTGAATGAAAATGATTTGTTTTAACATACAAATTCTGTATTATTAAAATTTTCAGTGAGAAAGAATTATTAAGCAGTAGATCTGCCATAGATTTAGTCAGAGGAGGAACTCATCACTATCATTATCATCACTACTGCTTTTTATAAAGATTTCCTATGTCACATACTTATTAGGAAGCTATTTGCTTTGGGGTATGATAAGACAGGTAGGTAACCAGTTGTTGCACTTTTTGTTATTAAAGAATTGTAAACTATACATACTTAAAAAATAAAAGGTTAAATAGATAATTTATGGAGGGTAAAATTGATGTGGCCTGAAATCTAATTGACAGGTTGAACTGATCAACATTTTGAAAATGTGAGAAACTTATAAGAAAATTATTATCTGGAGCTTTCACAAAAAACAGATAATGAACCATTTGGAATTTCAAATGTTTTTATTTGTATTGCCATATATAGACATACACATAACATATAAATGGTATACAATGTAGATGCTATATATGTTTTGACATTTATAATATATAGGTTGTACAACATGTGTGTGATGTGTGTGCATATGTTGTACTATATATGAATAAAACATAAATGTAGGCATACTCTAAGAATCTGAATATAGGAAGTATTGCATCTCTGGAGTTTACAACTGATAGTTTGGGGCTTACTCTAATTCTAGACATGACTGGTCTTAGCAAGGAAGGTGAAGCTATTCCTCTCTGAAAGGAAAATTCCTGACATTCCTTGACCATCACAGAACCTAAGTAAATGGATAGAATTCGGGATTTTAAAAAGAATAATAATGCAGTAACTAAGTATGGCCAATGGAAAGTAATATGCGTATAGTACCTGTAAGGATCTTATTTTCCTTTTGTAATTCAAGTCCTTTACCAATTGTGTGGTTTTGTGGTTTAAAACATGGCTTACCCTTATCTATCACAACAATTTTCTAATTTCTGAAAAGTCCCTCCTTCTCTGTCCCAATTCCATACTTTTCTGTTCCACATGAAGTTGAGATACCCAAACTTGTTTAAAATAAATTTAAAGTATCTGGAAAATTAATTTAACAATCCTTTCAGTAATTTATTCTGTACATTCACAACCAAGTACTTTTCAGAATGGTTATAAAACCTCAGGAATATATGAAATTTATGAAATAAAAAAAGAAAACTTCAAGTATTACAGTTCTTTTAGAATTTGTCTAGCAGGTTCTCTGTTTTTCCAGAAAACCACCCAGGAAGAAACAAGACTTAAAGAAAAATGTGGCCAGGCGTGGTGGCTCACATCTGTAATCCCAGCACTTTGGGGGGCCAAGGCAGACGGATCACTTGAGGTCAGGAGCTCGAGACCAGCCTGGCCAACATGGTGAAACCTCGTCTCCACTAAAAACACAAAAATTATCCAGGCATGGTGGCATGCTCCTGTAATGCCAGCTACTTGGGTAGCTGAGGGAGGAGAATCACTTGAACCTGGAAGGTGGAGGTTGCACTGAGCCAAGATCCCACCTGCATTCCAGCCTGGGTGACAGAGTGAAACTCTTGTCTTAAAAAAAATGCATAAATAAATAAAGAAAAGAAAAATGTAAACAAAGAACTGAATGCTGCTGAATAACAAAAGAGTCACTTACTTAAAAAAATAATAATTTCAGCTCATCTAAGAAATAGATAGCAAGCAACAGTGGGCAATATCAAGATCCGAAACAGGATATTAAAAGGTAAGATATACAGAGCTATCAATTATTTCCAAAAGACATTACATTTTATATGAAACTCACAGTATTAAAAAGTTGACAGTATGCCCTTTTCTTTTAATCATTAAATTATCTTAGTACCTTTTACCTAATTCCCAATTATCATCCACACCATTCCCTGCTCTTGACTTACATACAAAACTTTAGTCTCTTTGTTAAATAATCGTTATGACTTACAGACTAATTTTGGCATTTTTCTATTACACCTGCCCCTATCGTATTACATTAAGTACTATCCTAGGCCAAGTTATCATCACTTTATATTTGGAAAACTCTATCGGCCTCTTAGATGGTGTCTCTGAGGTCTCTATATATAACACAACAGTAGATTAACTTTTCTTAAACTATACTTTCATCATGTCGTTCCCATACAAGCATCCAGTTATTTCTTCGTTCTATAATAATATTAATACTAGTATTTATTAATGTCCTTTGTATATAATAAATAGTATTAACATTATTAACACTATTCTTTATTAATGTCCTTGGCATTGTGCTAAATGCTTTACATATGTTTACATACGATTTAAATCTTTCCAAAGCACACTAAATATAATTACTCCCTATTTATAGGTAAGAAAACTGAAACTCTGAAGGGCTGCTGACAAATTCACCCAAGATCACACAGTTATTAAGTGATAAAGCTAAGATTCAAGCCCAGGTAGATCTCTACCCAAAACTCTAGATCACTAATCTAATCAACATCTAGAACACTGGCACACAGTAGTCATTCAATAAATATTTGTTGAATAAATGAATGAATAAATACTATGCTATAGTGTAGCATATACCAAGGTAGTCCTTGGTATACTGTTAATAGTCAAATGAAAATTTATATTTTTAAATTCAAGCTCATATTTTACACTAAGCAAAATAACTGGCACACATTACATGCTTAGTGAATATTTGTTGAATTGAACTAAATTTTAAAAATTATATTGGTATGAGCCCAACTAATGACACAGAGACAAAGTCTTACTATAACTTAACATAATCCACATTAATATTTATTTATATCTCTCTTTACAGTGGCTAAAATTACATTTATTTGTGCTTTTGAATCAGGTAAACCATAATTATTTAACTAAGTTAATTTTATTAATAATTAATTTAGTTGCAAAATACAAAAAGGTTCCATTGGTGGAAAGTAATATTGTTGGAACACTAAATATTGTGTATGAACATGTTGGACATGCACACCAAATTGCTTAGGGTGTATAGATTCCTAAACAGTCTGAACAAAATTCCTTGGAGATAATGTTTTAAAATTTTAATATAGAACAAATGTCACTCTCTAGCAATTTAAAGATATAAGGGACTTCAGAGTTCAATAACAAATACAGAGTTGTTATTTGAAACAAAAATGTGGCTCTTGAGAGCAATCAGTTCAGTTTTCTAACAGCAGTTATAGTATGTGGTCATAACCATTTTTTCCCCTTTTACAGAGGTCTCTAGGTGCACATTTTTAATGTATCCTAGCAGTTTCCAGTTAATGTTTTATATTTCTGTAACTATTATTTTCTGTTGAAAGAAAACTAGTAAAGGTTGAGTCTAGAAAGGGAAAACAAAGAAAGAAGATCAATATTAACACTCTACAAATATTGACTTAGCAAAGTGACTTTGTTGTCATTCTCTCACAGGAATTGAAATTGAATGAATGATTTATTTATATGAAACACCTATGGTGAATATTTGTTAAACAAAACAAAAAATTTGCTTCCCAAAGTATATAACTTGATAATCTACTCATCAGGTTATAAAACTTGAGTGTTACCATTTTCAAACTGAAGACCTTATAATAATATTCATCATTTTTAATTTAAAAGTATTACACTAGCTTACAGGTAGAAATTACACAGAAAAACCTCAAATTACTTCATAAACTTTACTGGTTCCCTGTAGACACTGCACAGTTATTAATAAACTTAATGTCAAATTTTTTTCAGAAAAAGTCATCTGTTAACTTAAAATACTATACCTTTATTAAATTTGGCTCCATTAACTTTGAGTTTCGGTTACCATTAGCCCCCATGGTAACTGTGAAGGAAACAGATGTTTTGAACTTCCTGGTTGCTGACAGTAAAGAACTCCTGGTGTCACCTGCAACAAGTAATGATTATTTGGTCTGACATTATGAAAAGTTGTCAATAGGAGTTTTTTCCAAACACAGTGCAGTATAAAAGATCTACTGTATTACTTTGATTCTCTTTGTTCTCCCTATTGAAATAAAGTCAGAAGTTTTATATTTATCAGGCTTTAATGATCCCTAATTTATGGGCTTCTAATAAGAATTCTTATTTCAATATGTCACCTTTCAGTCTGAAATTTTAGTTTTAATAAAATATAATGAGCATAGCTAAGTCAAGTTCCATAATAAAATTTTACTTCAATAGATTTTTACAGCTGAAAGAGTCTAGAAATAGTAGCTAACAAAAGTTAGATTCTCATTTGTTTTATCACTGATAAGCTGAAATGGAAGGAAAAATTTATCTGAATATGACTCTTCATTTCTGATCAAGAAATTCTTAGTGTTAAAAGTAAATACCTTTATTTAAGAATGTTTCTGGATCAGTTTTTCTTGTGATTTTAGGTGATGGTTTTGGTACTGGTGATGGGTCCCTTTCAGGGGACCCTTCGATGTGGTTTCCAAACTGGTGACGCATCAATTTACTGTCAACCTCTAGTTTTTCTAGTGTAGTCTTGAGACATTGCTCGTTGGTTGTCATATATAATTTACAAAACTACAGGAAAAAAAAAGTCCAGTGGGTAAAACATTCAATCATACACTGGGGAAGAGGAGAAAGCAAATGCACATTAGTAGGCAAGGAACAGACTGATAGATGGAATATATTTCCTATTGATGGTTACGCATTTTATTTTTTTGAATCAGATTGACCAGCCTCAAGTGACCTAGTGAAATGTAGCCGTGATTCAATGAGGAGTTCATACTCTGTGTGAAAATAAAATGTTACACAAGGAGAGGTGATTTATTATTATTTTTTTACAAGATGTGTAGGCTTGCATTTGTTCAAAATAATTTTTATGATTCTTCCACCCCAGAAAAAGTACATTTCTGAGTAGAGTCTCTATGTTTATGTGTGTATCTGTCCGTGTGTGTGAGCACACATGTTTTTTAACTTGGTTATATTATTTTAATGTAGTCATCAGATTGCAATTATGGGACTGGAAAAATTAAATTTCATGCACAATATTTAAGGATGTCATTGCCAATATTAAAAAGATGCATCCCTTTAAAAATAATTTGCTGACATGTTAATTAGTTGACATGTTAACTGATTTAATTGTTTCACAATGTATACATATATCAAAACATTGCATGTACACTGTAATGTCAATTATACCTTAATAAAGCTGGGGAAAAATAAAAACACTTTTCCAACACAGTATGTAAATTTACATCAATGTGAGCTTATGTACCTTGATGTAGTCAAATTTGCCATCAGCATTTACATCAGCCAAATTTATTATGGCATTTACTTCTTCTCGAGTCATCTTCTCACCTCTCTGAAAAAAAAAAACAAGATTTATTTTAAAGCAACATGATTACTCCTTTGTTATTCATGGGGACAGTGGAAGCACATTTTAATCTTTTCCACAAGTAAGTCTGAATGTATTGCTTCATTATAAATCATGAGTATTATATATAAAGAAAGAATGAGGCGGCTATATAAATTTCACAATTTTATTAAATTTTGTGAAAGTGTGCTGAATTTCAGTTTACTAAATAGTAACTAACAATTGAATAGTATAGAGTCAGTTATAACTGCTATTGAGTTTAGGGGAATGATATTTTCTAACATTGTATCAAAAAACAGAATGGATTCCTAATCCCATTTATATTTGGTTTTCCTTTTACTTATCACATATGGAACTATCACTGATTTTCAAAGAGTTCTGAACAGGAACCAATTAAATAGGAGAACAAGGGGATGGTAACATAAGCTCGATTTTATACTTTATCTTTTATTTACAAAGAACATTTCATCCAGAAGGATTCCTAAGTACGTTATAAATAACATGTAAGTAATTCATTTAACCTCTCAATGAAATACTTATTTTTAATGTGGACTTTGGTAGTCAAAGCTAGATTCCAAGCTGTTTTAGAAAATATGCACATTACAAAACAGTTTTACAGATCTTACCTTTGTTAGAAATTTATAAAGGTCAGTGTGTAAAATACAGCCATCATCATTTACATCTAATTGCTTAAATGATTTTAGTAGTTCTGCTTTTGAAGTAGGTTTTTCCTTCCTTAAAATTATACAAAAATCATCAAAATTCAGTTTGGCAGTTTGAGGAGTCCAATACTTATTAATGGTCTTTTGGGATGGATTTCTTCCTGCATGCTGAAGAGCTGCCCAACAAGACAAGTATTATTTGTGATTGTAACACCTGGAATTTGTACTTAAGCGCATTTTTTTCTTCAAATCATTATGTATTATGATATTTACAAAACACTATACATATACCAGTACATTACTTTGGTGTTGACTTATCTAGTGATACCAAGATAGGCCTGACTTTGAAAAACAAAAATATTTATGCCACCACCTAAACATTCTTTAATTATTAATACCAGAATTAAATAGATTTTCCTTATTCTGACAGTTTGGTTCTCAACCTACATGGTTTAAATAACTAACAATATCTGATTACTTAAGAGCTTCTAAAAGCTTCTAAAGGAAATACAAGATTAAAAACAACCATCCACTTAATTGTTTGGGGGACAAAAGGATAACACAAAAAGTATAAATTAGTACTTTTTCTGGCTAAATAAATACCTTAATGACTATTCAGCCATAAAGAAGGAGGAAATCCTGTCATCTGCAACAACATGGATGAACCTGGAGGACAACATGTTAAGTGAAATAAGCTAGACGCTGAAGACAAATACAGCGTATCTCACTTGTGTGGAATCTTAAAAAAAAAGTTAATATCCTAGAAGTAGAGAATAGATCAGTGGTTACCAGAGACTGGGAAGGGGAACTTAAGTACTATCTAAGTACTCTGGGGGTAGGGGAGGATGGGGAGAGGTTGGTCAATGGGTACAAAGTTACAATCAGATAGTGGGAAATAGGTTCTGCTATTCTATTGCACAGTATGGTGACTATAGTTAGCATTAAGGTACTGTATATTACAAAACAGCTAGAAGAGAGGCTTTTGAATGGTCTCACCACAAAGAAAAGATAAATGCATGCAGCGACGGATATACTAACTACCTTGATTTGATCATTATACAACATATAAATGTATTGAAATGTCAAATTGTACCCCATAAATACATACAATGTGTGAATTTAAAAAACAAATATCTTAATGAAATGAGAAAATCATTCATTTAAGAATACCAATGTCAATAAGGCACGATATCTAAAATGTTCATCTTTGCTAGGTACTAAGCTTTCAAAAACATTAATCATGTTCCAAATGTCAAATATATGCACATAAAGTATCCCTTTGCAGGCATGGTCCTGCTAAAAATCAAGAATGTCAATATACTGTGAGAGAAGATTATTATAGAGATGCTATGGTCAAACTACTCTTCATTTTTAACCATATCCTTCTATCTATGAAGAGCAAAGAAGTACATGTGAGAAAAGCTTTGTATATTTATGTATGTCATATCACTCTAAAATAAAATGGTTAAAGCAACTGCAGATATTTTGAACAGTTGAATAGAAGTAACTTGGTAATTTGCAAATAAATCTCTGCATACTGAAATATAACATTTTCTAAAATGAACCAATGATAAATTTCCTAAGCACCACAGAAGGAATTAACATAATTTTAAAAGATACAATTGTCCTGAATTGTACTGCCAAATTCTATTACAAAATCTTATATTGGATAGTTCCAACTATCTTTATAGAAATTCACAAGATCTGCGCATCACCAATCAGCATCAAAAAATGATAATCTGGATATTGTACAATTTAATGTAATAAGGACCAGTAAGTATAAAACAATTTCACTAAAGAAATATCCTCATGGAAATAGAAACCAGATCAGGGTAATAAATACAGATATAAGTGAGTCAGTTATATTGAACATTATTGTGCACAAGTATAGTATAGGGTGATTTTTGTTCATCAATACAAACTTTTTAGTTCCAAAGAAATTTTATATTCTAGACTGGCGTGGTGGCTCACACCTGTAATTTGGGTTTACAATTATACTTTGGGTGGCCGAGGTGGGCAGGTCACCTGAGGTCAGGAGTTCAAGACCAGCCTGGCCAACATGGTGAAACCCTGTCTCTACTAAAAATACAAAAATTAGCCGGGCCTGGTGGCCTGCGCCTGTAATCCCAGCTACTTGGGAGGCTGAGGCAGGAGAATCGCTTGAACCTGGGAGGCGGAGACTGCAGTAAGCCGAGATTGAGCCACTGTGCTCCAGCCTGGGTGACAGAGGAAGACTGCATCTCAAAAAAAGAAATTTTATTTTATTATTATTATTATTTTTTGAGATGGAGTTTGGCTCTTGTTGCCCAGGCTGGAGTGCAATGGTGTAATCTCGGCTCACTGCAACCTCTGCCTCCCGGGTTCAAGTGATTCTCCTGCCTCAGCCTCCCGAGTAACTGGGATTACAGGCATGCACCACCACCCCCAGCTAATTTTGTATTTTTAGTAGAGACGTGGTTTCTCCACGTTGGTCAGGCTGGTCTCAAACTCCTGACCTCAGGTGATCCGCACGTCTCGGCCTCCCAAAGTGCTGGGATTATAGGCATGAGCCACCGCGCCTGGCAAGAAATTTTATAATCTAAATAGGAAGTCTACATCTGACTGTAAAATTGCTATCTATGGCCATAACTCATGGGTTATAACATATTAAAAATCCATAAATAAAATTCTCTTCTCCTCTAGATTATGCCAGTGACTTTCAGAGCTAACAGAAGTTGTAGTTGTGGTAACCGCCATCTTCCATATACCTATAAAGGCTTTGTGGAAATTCATTGCATTGGAGATAATATAAATGTTTTTATTCCCACAGTTTTATTTTGGATGTCGACAAAAGCCCTGATTACCATGCTGCCCTAGCAACAACAGGTAAGTAAGTATTTTGCCTAGTGTGTAAATGAACTATTCCTTAATTCAGCTGTTTACAGAATCAAAGAAATGGCAATATGTGTTTTAGGATTCCAACCCCAGCCAGCTCCTACCCTTTAAAAGCTGGGAATACAAGTAGATGTAAATGAAGTTGTAATTTTTTTTTTGCCTCTAAAATATTTTTATTTTAAAAAGGCTTAGTGTGCAAAGATGTTTATCATATTGCTACACTACTGCTACTAATAATAAAGGAAACAATGTTCAAAGAATCAAGGAGTGGTTAACTGAATCATGGTACATATACAGAACACATTTACACAACTACTAAATTATTTTTATGACAATGAATATTATATAAAATTTCCTGCAAAATTTCTTCCTTATTGTTAAGCCTAAAGTGCCTTTTTTCTAAGGTTCTTTTTTTTAAATCTTTAATTTTTGGAGATACATAGTAGGTGTATAATATGAGATTTTTTGATACAGGTATGCAATAATTACATCAGGGTAAATAGGGTATCTGTTGCCTCAAGCATTTATCCTTTGTTTCAAACAATCCAATTATACTCTAATTATTTTAAAATGTACACTTAAATGATTTTTTTTACTAGTGTCACCCTGTTGTGCTAGCTAAATACTAGGTCTTATTCTTTCTATTTTTCTATTTTCTATTTTCTCCCCCTACCCCCACTACCTTTCTCAGCCTCTGGTAACCATCATTTTACTCTCTATCTCCATGAGTTCAATTGTTTTAATTTTTAGCTCCCACAGATAAGAAAGAATGTGTGATGTTTGCCTTTCTGTGCCAGGCTTATTTCACTTAACATGATGACCTCCAGTTCTATCCATGTTATTGCAAATGACAGGATCTCATTCTTTTTTATGATAGCTGAATGGTACTCCACTGTGTATATGTACCACTTTTTTTATTTTTATCCATTCATCTATTGATGAACTCTTACGTTGCTTCCAAATTTGGGCTATTGTGAATAGTGCTGCAGTAAACATGGGAGTGCAGATATCTCTTCAATATGCTGATTTCCTTTTGGATATATACCAAGCAGTAGGATGCTAGATCCTATGGTAGCTGTATTTTTAGTTTTTTGAGAAGCCTCCAAACTGTTCTCCACAGTGGTTGTACTAATATACATTCCTACCAACAGTGTAAGAGGGTTCCCTTTTCTCCACATCCTTGCCAGCATTTGAAGTCCACATGAAAGAAAATTATATCTTCTGTTCAGTTTTGAGAAAAAAGGTATGTAACTTTTTCTCACAAGTGGTAGCTTAGCATATGCTTGCTGCTATCTTTAGTAACAAAGAAAATATTGTTTTAAAAAATGTACTGGTAATTAGACAAGAACAACTTTCTCAGAATAAAATTAATTATGCCAAAACATGTACTCAGTAAGCAGATGTCCCCATAGCTAAGAAATTGATACAATCTATTTCCTACTAACTTTAATCTCTAGGTTTAGAATTAGCTGGATCTAATGATTAAGTTTGATGATAGTAAAAATATCACGTAGCTGTAGATATTTAAATTTTGACACCATGATATGGATCTTTTGCCAGGGTTTACTTTAAAGTTCTGACATGCATCTATAATCCTGTATTATTTATAAATTGACAAAAAAGGAACTTAAAGCTATAGTAATGCTACCGCTGTCTCTGACCTTAAAATGGAAATGCACATAAGTGGCAGAAGGATATAGATGAAAGGTGTAGCAAGAAGCAGCAGCTCTAGTTCATGTTACTCCTTTTTAAAAAATAGTTTATCTAAAATCAATTATTACAACGTTAAGAGAGTATTCCACCCTAAAACCAAAAGTGTATATAACACTGAAGAGACAAACACTGTATAGTTATCCTCCCAGATAATTTCATAAGATTGATAGCACCTTAGTAATACATACACATTGATTCACAAACTAAATGCCATAGTAGTGGAAGGCATGTTAAACTTTTAAACTTAGCAGATTCCTTCTCTTAGTATATTTTCAAAACAGTAACAAAAAAAAACTCGGATTATTTTAGAAATAATGGCAAATTAGAAGTAATTTTAATTTATTGGCCAGGCGTGGTGGCTCACGCCTATAATGCCAGCACTTTGGGAGGCCGAGGCAGGCAGATCACCTGAGGTCAGGAGCTCGAGACCAGCCTGGCCAACATGGCAAAACCCCGTCTCTACTAAAAATACAAAAATTAGCCAGGCATGGTGGCGTGCAACTGTAATCTCAGCTACCCAGGAGGCTGAGGCAGGAGAATCGCTGGAACCCAGGAGGCAGAGGCTGCAGTGAATCAAGATCGCGCCACTGCACTCCAGCCTGGAAGACAGAGCAAGACTCCGTCTCAAAAAAAAAAAAATTTATTGGATGTCTGCCTAAACATTTAATGTATATGAATTAAACACAAATACTTAAAATTCAAAATAGAGCATTTTAGTAATTTTAAAATTATGTAAATCAAAATTAAACATGACTTTAAAAGTCAGTCATGTGCATTTGCATTTAAACTACTTTACAAATAATGTATTTTATTTAGACATCAAATAAATTTTAATCTTGTCAATTCTTGTATTCCTCAAAATACATTTCCTCAAATAGATCTTATTGGATACAAACTCAAGACACTGCTGCACAAATATGTCAGGGTTTTGGTTTAAGAAAATTCATTATAAAATTGGCAAAATAACTCAGTTTCTCTACCCATAAAGTTATTAGCCTTGATGAAACTGACATGAGTAGTCAGTGTTATCTAGTACTGTTGTTTACTACTCTCTCATGACTAAAGATGTCCAAATCATTTGATACTCCTGGAAAGAACCAAATTTGGTGGTTTTGGGGACCTTTGTAATGAGAGGAATTTTTAAATGTGATAAAGGACAGAAGCAATAAAAGACAAAACAAAAAATAAAAATAAGAAATAAAAAAACCCCAACTCAATTCTCTTTTAAAAGTTCACTTATCTCTCAGTACTTCACTTTTTCAGACATTCCACCCATTTTTACACATCCTTTACACTTTCCTCAGTATGGGTCAAATTCAGGCTAGTGACTTAAGAGGCCAAAAGCGTTTTAATTTTATTATGATAAATCTTAAAGCACCAAAATGAGAATTAAAAGTATCTTAAGCAAGTAGTAATTGATAGAAGCTTTCAATTACCCATCTAGTTTGTATAAACATTGAAAGTTTTATTTTGTAGTTCCTAGAATATGTAACTATATGATATGACATAATAGCTTACTGTAGTTCCATTGCTCAAGCTTCACTAAGAAACTGGGATGATTCAACAAGGTAATTCTAATTTCAGTCTTTCGGACCTATTTATTAACTTTCAACAAAAAGGTGAAAGATTTAAAAATTTTAAAAATTTACCTAAGTAAAGTTGATCTTTAGAAATAATGTTTTCCAAGCTGCTTTTGAAGACAGTTAAGTAGGCAGCTCTACAATTCATATAAAATATTTCCTCTTCAGTTAGTGGAAATTTCTTTGTTCGAGGACTCTCTGAAGGTGTTGATTTCTGACTGGAGAAAGTTGCATCGCTTCGTGGACTGATCGCCATTCTATTGGAAAATAATTTAAAAATGTGTTTGTCAATGTGAGTCACTAAAACACAAATGTCACCATGTCTTTCAAATACAGGGAGGAGAATCAAGATTTTATACATAGAAGAAAATTTATAACATATATGAAAAGATCAAGATATTAAAAGTTTTATATGTGGAAGTAAAAGACGAATACTATAGTTGTATATGGACGTATTATATATTAAACAAGAATAAGCCTTTGGCAGTTAATTTCTAATTTTAGATATATACATATGTATATATATAATTGTTCAAATATGTGATAATAGCCAAAAGAACAAAGATATACACAAGAGAAGAATCACTGAACAAAGGAAGAGCACACATCTATTCTCTCAAAATACGAAAGTCAGATGACAGTCTTCATCAGGTTTTTAAGAGGAGCAAATCAGTTAATACATGTGAAGCATATACAATATTGCTTGACACGTAGTAAGTGCTAAATAAACTGCAGATAATGAGAAACTCCAGAATAATGAGAATCGGGATATGAGTGGTAGTTGACACCCATCTTCCACAGCAGGATCAACAAGATCATTTCATTAACATCTCAATAATGCAGCCCCACATTTCAAATAGCTATATTTTAAAAGTCTTATTTATAGCATTATCATAGTTTTACTGTGTTCCTTTATTAATAACAATATTTGGGGTTTGTATAGCACCTCTGTACATAAGAGCTTAAAGAACTGTCATACATCTTGTCTTATCCCTATTACAGCGGTCAGGTATTTTTTTGTCCGTTTTACAGATGAGGAAATTGAGGGGTAGCAATGTCACCCAGCTAGCAGTAAGTGGCAAAAAGCCGTAAATTTCACGAACAGTTTCTTCTTTGTTAATGTGGATATAGTACTGAACAATGGTTACTATGGGGTATTAGATTCTACTGGTGGTCTAACAGCTTCCAATATTACTCTACCCAGCTTTGACTTCTAAAAATAGATCTCCAACCTAATAAATTGAATATTTCAAGTTCAATAATAAGATAACACAGGTAGGGTCCCCTTCAGGACTCATTGCATTCCTACTCAGGAGGCCTAAATCACTTGCACCTTTTCGAATTATATAGATCATTTACACTTGGGAAAGAAAGATAATAATTGCTTATCATGGATGAAGTACCCTATTTATAATACGCAGGCCGCCTGCCTGACACTTTCATATTACACCAGATTTAGAAGGACCCCACAGGGATGTGGTGTCACAGTCTGGTTACTGCAAATTGGTAATACTATAATTAAGCATCAGAGTTCTAAACACATATGTGTGCATGCATCTCCTCACAAATGTGAAAGAAAACTGTTTCAAGAAGTAAGGGAGAATGAATTTCACTTTGCAATAAGCAATTTTAAAATATAAGTATATTTTAGGATCGTCCTCAAATATTCTTTCCAAACAAGGCAACTCCCTCACATGGAAATCCCAAGGCAGAAATGTGCCAGAATTTTATTCTTTTCCTTTCTGTGACGAGAAACCAAACTAAAGCTTAAATAAACATATAATTGCACCCCCCGCAGGCTTGGAAACCTCCCTTACTTAAAACTCCGGCCCGAGACTGAGACAGGGGCCTAGAGAGTACATTGCAGCAAACGGCTCCATAAATAACCAGCCACACAATAGCAAGAAAAATAAACTGTTAACAAGCGCCTAAGGCTTCTACAGGGCCAAGTGAAAACAGAAAGCCGTCCAGTCACCGTCCCTACACAGTGAAATACCGTCACAGGTAATCTCGGGCACCATCTCTCTATTTTTGTATTCCTCTGGAAATAAAACCGCATTTACATGTACATTTTAGGTACATACATGGACCAAATGTTTATGACAGAGAAGTAGACAAAGCAGAGGAAGGAGAAGCAGCTGCACAGAGAGGGACAGAGGGAGCGAAGAGACAGAGACAGCGAGCTGTTTGCTACCTAATTCTAGCTCACAAACAAGGAAGCGCAGCCAATTCTCTTCGGCGATTCAGCGTTCCTCTCACCGCAGCTGGACAGATCTCGGCCTTTCTCTAATCACCATGGCAACTGCACCTCACCGCCACCGGAAATAAGATGCAGAGCCCTTCTCCAAACGATCCGGCTAGAAATCTAGGAAGCGCTGATCCGGAGCGCACAGAGACAGCTGTGTTGCTCCTCTATCGCGGGGGTGGTATGGCCAGAGTAGTGAGAGAAGGTGCTCTGTTACACCAGCAGGAAATAGGTGCTGTCCTGGGCCTAGAACTCCCCGCTCGCTCCTTTGCTCGCGCACACCCGGATCCTTCGTCGCGGGGAGGATGTTTCCGCCCGGCCGCGGTGGGCTTGACGCAACGTCCAGCGCGCGCTTTTCATGCCTTGGCGTTTCCTTTGGCGGATTTTCTGTTTTCGGAAGTTGCTGGGTTCGTTTTATTCAGCGGCAGTGGTGCTTTCCCGAATCTCAGAATGCCGTAGGTATCTCCTCCCCAGGTATTGCTGTTTTGGGGGCCCTCTGCAAGAAGAGAAGATATTATGTGGCCCAGTAGCCTTTCTCGTTTTCCTATTTTTTCGGAGTATGAACTTGTCTCCTCTGTCCACAGGCAATTCCCTTCGCTTGGTACCCTCAACTCTACGTCTCCTCCAGCGGTACTCATACGATAGTCCTCCTTCGCTTTCTGTTTCTACGATGCTTTTGACAGATTTCGTAAACTGTGGGCTGTATTTAGGTGATGTCTAACTTGAAATAACATAAATAAGGTTGACACACAGGATGGGACAGAGTAGATGAAAACACGCCTTCGTAGTTTGTCAGTCCCTTGCCTTCATTAATGTGGCGCGTTCGTGTAAACCCGTGGGAGAACTCATGGACTGAGTGGGTCTAGATACCTGGATTCCAGATAAGACTCTTTCACTGTTGGGCAAGTCACTTATCGACCCTGAGCTTCGTTTTTTTTTACTTACACAAATAAGTTTGTACTGCATGATCTCTAAATTCCCATCTATGACCAATAATCTGATTATTGAGAATGACCATAGTGGGAATAGGCATTGTGCTAGATAAGATTCATCTGTTTTTCATATCCTTCATCCATCCTATATTGAGATGCATAAAATAGTTGCTACCCTATAGAAACTTAAAAAAGCCATTAAAGGTTGGGGGAGTGGGGTGGATATCAAACACCTGTAATTTCTCCTTGGCCGTCCTTGTCCTCAGGTTGATTTAGGTACCCCCTCTAGTGTAACCTGTTCCTTAGTTTATTTCAGGATTAAGTAAAATGCAAAGTAACACAGCTGGGGAAATTTTTGTATCAAATAGGAATTGACATGAAAGGGGAAAGCTGTACAGAAATGATAACCTATATTTATTGAATCTTGAATTACAATGTGGGTGCTGTATTAATCAATTTATCTACGTTTTTTCATTGAATCCTAAAATACTTTAGGGGATGGGGGCTGCTATTATCTTTACAGATAAAGAAACCCATCACCTAATAGGGTGTTCAACACAGCTGCCAATAAATGCATGTTTTACTGATGCCCTTAAAAGTTATGGATTATTGAGGAGGTTTTCCTTTCCCCAGAATTAAGCAAAGAGACTTGTTTCCCTACTCTTGCATTAGAAAAATCATCCAGTTCTCAAATAAACAAAGCTGCAAAGATAATGTCACACAATCACACACACAAAATCCCTAAGAATACAGTGAAAACAGAGGTGTATTTGCCAAACAAGTGGTAATACCTCCTGAACTGTGTGTATCTGTGTATAGGAGTGGGGAACCAAAAAACTATGAAAAGTGGAACTTTTTTTTTCTTTTTTTGAGGCAGAGTCTGGCTCTGTTGCCCAGGCTGGAGTGCAGTGCTGTGATCACAGCTCACTGCAGCCTCTACCTCCTGGGCTCCCACATGCCACCATGCCTAATTTTTTTATTTTGTAAAGACAGTGTCTCCCTGTGTTGCCCAGCCTGGTCTTGAAGTCCTGGGCTTAAGTGATCCTTCCACCTCAGCCTCCCAATGTGCTGGGACTATAGGAGTTAGCCACTGTGTCAGGCCTAAAAGTGGACCTTTTTGACAACTGTCTTCCTAACATATGCACACAAGATGTTATATTAGGCTTTTAGATAAGTATATTCTGGTAATAAATACACAACCTTAAAGTTGAGGTTAACATCTCACATATATAGCTAATATATATGTGAAACTAGCAATTACTTTGCTAATTTTCTAAGTTTTAGCAAAGTGATTTAAGACTAAATCAACAGTTAAGTAATGCATAAAACGTAATGGCATGTTAGTAGAGAATCTCCATCATTGTTAGTAAATTAAGTGTTTTTTTTTTTTTTAATGTGGTTACTGGTGAGGTCATAAATGAGTGGTGCAAATAGTTATCTTGGCAAGTTACATATGCAGGTGGATTCATTTTTAAGTGATGTTGAAATGGTGACTATTTGGTATGTATTTGGAAGACTAAATGTGTAATATAACTTACGGGAGGGTGTGATCTATCTTTTTTCTAATTTCTTAGAACCTTGAGCAGAAAAAACTTCAATACAACAATGAGTAGTTGTGAAAATATATATGGTCCAAATGAATCTAAAATAAATAAGAAACAGCAAATGTTCAGTGACAATAGAGCGGATGGATGAATCTTAACATAATGAGTGAAATAACCAATTTGTATGAGACTACATTTGTTATCCTTATAAAACTTAAGAACACGCAAAAATAAGCTACTTATGGTTATATATGTATATGATAAGATTATTGTTAAAAGGCAGAGAAATGATAAATACAGAGAAATGATAAATACAGTTTAATAGATGCCTTTTGGGGGAAGCAAATAGATGCATGTATACCCAGTCATATTGGTAATGATCTAGTTCTTAAATTATGTGGTGAGTTTATGCGTGCTTATTTTCTAATGTTTTATAACTTGCACAGCTTACATTTTTTCATTAGTATCCATTATTCATTAGTATTACATTTATTCATTTAGTATGTACTACTTAAAATGTTTTTTAAAAGGATTTAGAGATTACCTATCTTAAGTCCTCCCTAAGTGTAGCTTTCTCTGCCTTCTCTTTGATCCTTTGGAGGAAACAGATGAATTAGATAAATGCTGCTGTTGGTTTCATTAGGCTAATCATCTTCCCTTCCAATCTTGCTCCTCTTTCTGTGTACATTCTGAAATTAGTGGCACAGTCATTTCTCTATCTAGGTTGAAACCTTCACTTTTTAAAGATTTGAAGTGGAAAAATCATGGACTTTGGAGTAAGACAAACCAGGATTTGAATCTTGAGTCTGTTAACCAGCTGTGTGCTCCTTAGATTGTTACTCAGTGTCCTCATTGATAAAATAGTTGCTCAATAAGTATTTATTAATTGAATGATAAAGTTGCTACTTTGGAAAGATTTCATTCTATGTAGACAGATACATGTCTTTTTAGTAGCTCTTGCTGTAAGTAATCAAATCCCATTCTAGACCTTTTTTCTTCTTCTACCTTTTCTTTATAAAGCTTCCTTTAAAAAGTACCATTTGTTTAGTCTTGCTAATTAGTGTACATCATCATGCTAATTCAGCCAAAGATACTCTCTACCAGAGTTAACTTTATTCTGTTCCAAGCTATGACTGAACTAAAGCTATAAAGTTGGAATAGCATTAGTGTTGTAGAAAAACTATTCGTAACAGTAACAGTGGGGGCCATTCTGCTGCTGTATTTATAGTCTGAGAGTTTTCTGAGAGAACTTTAAAATGTGCTATATTTTTTCCAAGATAAGGGAAAATGAATATAAACATATTCTGGATCTTTATTGTGCCTATATGCTGTAATCATTTTGATGCTACTGCCAGGTACAATGATTTTTATTTTGTGGGTTGATTATAAAGAAGTAGGTGGGTGGAATGATGTGTCAGGCCAAGTAAAAGTTAACCATTAAATAAACATCCTTTGAATTATAGTAGATATTCAAAGTTATATAATTTCTTTTATAAATAAAGTGTCCTGCATTTTAAAAGAAGATTGGTGAAATTTTTAGTACTTGATATAAGAAAAATATGAAATTTAAATGCAATTCTTTCCTGCTTGTAAAAGTCAGTAAAGTCTAATAGAGGAAGGTATAATAGAGCCTTTTTGGCTGAGCGTGGTGGCTCTCACCTGTCTATTTAACTTAGAATTTTTTGACTTCATAATAGTGTGAAAGCAATATGCATTCAGTAGAAACTACTTTAAGTACCCATACAACCATTCTTTTCTTTACTTTCAGCACAATATTCAATAAATTACATGAGATGTTCAACACTTTATTTTAAAAGAGATTTTGGGTTAGATGATTTACCCAACTATAAGTTAATTTAAGAGTTCTCAACATGTTTAAGCTGTGATGTTCAGTAGGTTAAATGTGTGAAATGCATTTTCAACTAACATTTTCAATTTACAATGGGTTTGTTGTAACATAATCCTGTTGTAAGTCAAGGAGCATCTATATATTTTTTGCTTGCAACTTCTTAAAAAGGTGAGAATGTTTAAAGCAAAAATTAAACACTATTATGGGGTTATATGTAGACATAATATATATGATACCAGTGGCACAAAGTGTAGAGGGAGTTGACTATAATGTTGCAAGATTCTTCTCTTTTACATGAAGTAGTACTGTATTATTATAACTCTAGATAGACTGTGGTATGTTAAAAAGGCATACTGTAATCCCCAGAGTAACCTCTGAAAATGCAGAGAGGCATACCTAAAAAACAAATAGAGGAATTGAAATGATATATTTAAAAATAATGTTAATTCAAAAGAAGGCAGGTAAAAAAGAACAAAGGAACAAAAACAGATGGGACAAATAGAAAACAACTATCTAAATGGTAGCCCCAACCAGATAATTACAAGTTTAAGTGCAGTAAAGACATCAGTGAAAAAGGTAGAGAATATTATAAGGCTAGATTTTTTTTTAAAGCAAGTCCTAACTCTTTACTGTCTATAAGCAACAAAGTTGAAAGTTAAAAAAAAAAAAGAAAGAAAAGAAAGGGAAAGGTAGATATAACAGTCTAACAGGAGAGAAACCAAATGATCAATATCCAGAATGAAAGGGTAAATTGTACTTAGATGAAAGAGAACATAAACTATCAATATCCAAAATGAAAGAGCAGAATACCACTAAAGATGCTATAGATATTGAAAGAGGTAATATCATTAAAGCCTTTATTCCAGTAAACTTGACAACTTATACAAAATTGACAAATTCCTTGAAAAATACAACTTAGCATGATGGCATAAGATGATACAGAAAATCTGCATAATTAAGGAAATAGAATTTGTTACTAAGAATCTTCCCACAAAGACCCAGACGATTTCATTGGTTAATTGTACAGAGAACATACCCATTCGTGAGAAAATAAAACCCTCAGCAAACTAGGAATAGGAGGCAACTTCTCATTTCTTTGAAAAACCTATAGATAATATATTTAGTATCGAAAACTTTTTTAAGATTAGGAAAAAGGCAAGAACGTGCCCTCTCACCACTTCTATTCAAAAAAGCACACACAGAAAAACACCCATAGTGTTAAAAAGGAAAAAGTGGGGCCAGGCCCAGTGGCTCATGCCGGTAATCCCATCACTTTGGGAGGCTGAGACAGGCAGATTGCTTGAGCCCAGTAGTTCAAGATTAGCCTGGGCAATATGGCAAAACGCTGTCTCTACGAAAAAATATGAAAATTAACAAGGTGTGACGTTACGTGCCTGTAGTCCCAGCTACTTGGGAGGCTGAGGCAGGAGGATCACTTGAGCCGAGGAAGTCAAGGCTGCAGTGAGCTGTGATTGTGTCACTTGCATTCCAGCCTGGATGACCCTGTCTCAAGACAAACAAAAACAACAACAACAAAAAAGGAAAAAGTAAAATTAATGATTCAACAATGACATCATGTATGAAGAAAATCCTAAAAAATCTATAAAACAATTTTCAGAACAATTTAGCAAGGATGTAGGATGCAAAATCAGTGTACAAAGATCAATATATTTCTATATTTCAGGAATAAACACCTGGAAATTGAAGTTTAAGATTTTTCATTTATAATTACATAAAAACATATAATAATTTAGCATAAGACATGCAAGACCTCTACAGTGAAAATTACAAAATGTTCCTTAGAGAAATTAAAGATGAAGATAAATGAGAGTATTTTTATTTATTTTTTATTTATTTTTATTTATTTTTATTTTTTTATTATTATACTTTAAGTTTTAGGGTACATGTGCACAATGTGCAGGTTAGTTACATATATATACATGTGCCATGCTGGTGAGAGTATTTTTAAGTGATAAATGTGGTATTATTAAAATGTTAGTTCTCACCAATGTTTAGATTTAATGCAATCCCTGTCATAATCCTAACAAACATTTCTTTTTAAGTTTTGCTCTTTTTTTATTTCTACTGTTTAAAATGGATCTTTTTTAAAAAAAGTTAAGTGGATGAAAACTTGTATAATAGTATTTGGTATTATCTTTATCTTTTCTGTTTTATATTTCATTTTTCATGTAATCTAATTTTCCTTCTTTGTACTTTCTTTTTTTGAGTATGATCATTTATACCTAACTTATTTGTTTTTATTTTTTATAGACTCAGGGTGTATATGTGCAGATTTGTTACAAGGATATATTGCATAATGGTGAGGTTTGAGCTCGTAGGTGCCCATCACACAAATAGTGAACATTGTACCCGAAAGATAATTTTTCAACCCTCACCTTCCTCCCATACTTCCTCCTTTTGAAGTCTCAGTGTCTATTATTTCCCTCTGTATGTTCATATGTACCCATTGTTTAGCTCCCACTAATAGATGAGAACATGTGGTATTTGCTTTTCTTTTTTTTTCTTTTTTCTTTTTTTTTTTTTTTCATGAAACAAGGTCTTACTCTGTCACCCAGGCTGGACTGCAGTGGCATGAACATGGCTCACTGCAACCTTCACCTCCTGGGCTCAAGTGATCCTCCTGCCTCAGCCTTCCAAGTAGCTGGGACTACAGGTGTACACCACCACACTGGCCTAATTTTTAATTTTTTTGTAAAGACAGAGTCTCATTGTGTTGCCCATGTTGATCTCAAACAATCCTCATGCCTTAGCCTCCTAAAATGCTGAGATCACAGGTGTGAGCACTGCCACACCCAGTTGATTTTCTTTGCTTTCCTTTCCTCTTTTTTCTCTTGTTTTCTTTCTTTTCTTTCCTTTTCCCTTCCCCCCCCCTTCTCCCCCACCTTCCCCCGCTCCGCTTCCCTTCCCCTCCCCTCTCCTCTTTTTTTTTTTTTTTTTTTTTGAGACATGGTCTTGCTCTGTCACCCAGGCTAGAGTGCAGTGGTGCAGTTTGCTCACCACAACCTCTGCCTCCCAGGCTCACTCTGGACTCAAGCAATCTGCTCAGCTCAGCCTCCCAAAGTGTTGGGATTACAGATGTGAGCCACCATGCCTGGCCTAATTTTCTGCTTCTGAGTTATTCCAGTTAAGATAATGATTTCCAGCTCTATTCATGTTGTTGCAGAACAACACGGTATCATTCTTTTTTATGGCTGCATAGTGTTCCATGGTGTATATATACCACATTTCTTTATCCAGTCATCCATTGATGGACACAAGATGATTCCATGACTTTGCTGTTGTGAATAGTGCTACAATAAATGTACAAGTACATTTGTCTTTTTGATATAATGATTTATTTTCCTTTGATAGATACCCAGTAGTGTGGTGGTTGCTGGGTAGTTCTTTTTTTTTTTTTTTTTTTTTTTTTTTTAAGTTGGAGTCTTGCTCTGTTGTCCAGACTGGAGTGCAGTGGTGCAATCTTGGCTCACTGCAACCTCCGCCTCCCGAGTTCAAGTGATTCTCCTGTCTCAGCCTCCTGAGTAGCTGGGACTACAAGCATGCACCACCATGCCTGGCTAATTTTTGTATTTTTAGTAGAGATGGGGTTTCACCATATTGATCAGGCTGGTCTTGAACTCCTGACCTTGTAATCTGCCCACCTCAGCCTCCCAAAGTCCTGGGATTACAGGCGTGAACCATCGTGCCTGGCGTTGAATGGTAGTTCTATTTTTAGTTCTTCAAGCAAACGTTTTTTAGAAATTGAAAACTGATTTCAAAATTTGTATGGAAAGGCAAGTGACTTGCAGTAGCCAAAACAATTTTGAAAAAAAAGAATGAAGTTGGAGTATGTACACTAACTAGACATGGCATAAAGTGTTGGTAATGAACTCAATGTGGTTTGGGCATATAGAGAAATAGGTAAATAGAATAGAATAGAAAGTCCAGAAATAGACCCACAAAGGTACCAAAGCAGCTCAGTGGGGATAACAGAAGATTTTCTTCCCAAGTGGTGCTGGCATACCCAGTGGGGAAAAAAACAAAACACCTTGACCTTCACCTTATATTACATACAAAAATTAATTTGAGATACATTTTAGTCCTAAATGTAAAAAGGAAAGTTTCTGGAGGGAAATATTTGAGAATATTTTTACAGTCTGAAGTAGGTGAAATTTCAGGCAAGACGCGGAAAGCAATAATTATAAAAGAAAAAATGATAAATTATGCTTCATCTAACTTTTAAACTTTTGCTCATCAAGAGATACCGTTAAAAAAAGTAAATTTTCTGTTTTTCTTTTTTTTTTTTTTTTTTTTGAGACAGAGTCTCGCTCTGTCACCAGGCTGGAGTGCAGTGGCACGATCTTGGCTCACTGCAACCTCCGTCTCCTGGGTTCAAGCGATTCTCCTGTCTCAGCCTCCCGAGTAGCGGGGACTACAGGTGTGCACCACCACACCCAGCTAATTTTTGTATTTTTAGGAGAGATGGGCTTTTACCATGTTGACCAGGATGGTCTCAGTCTCTTGACCTTGTGGTCTGCCCACCTTGGCCTCCCAAAGTGATGGGATTAGAGGTGTGAGCCACCATGCCCAGCCAAAAAAAGTAAATTTTCAAACAACTGACTGGGAGAAAGTATGTAACAGATATATATCAGACAAAGGATTTATATTTAGGATAAGAAAGAACTCTTACTAATCAACAGTAGAAAGACAAAAATGTTATTAAAATAATGGCCCAAAGATTTGAACCAATAGTTAATAAAAGAAGATACACAAATGAACCATAACATGTTGCTAGACATTTTGGCAGTTTCTTATGAAATTAAATAAATATACACCTACCCAATGATCTAGCACCTCTACTTCTAGGTATTTATTTATCCAAGAAAACTGAATGCAGTATAGCTAAGGAAAACAAAACAAAACAAAAAAACTTGTAAAAGGTGTTCTTGGAAGCTTTACTCATAATGGCTAAAAACTAAAACCAAGTGTCCATCAACAGGAAAACAAATAAATGGCTTATTAAGATAGAATATTAATTAAAAATAAATGATCTACTGATGTGCAACAACCTGGGTGAATCTAACAGTTATGCTGAGCAGAGAAAATAGACACAAGTACATACTGTATAGTTCTATTTATATGAAATTCTAGAATAGGCAAAAGTAATCTATGCTGGAAAAAATTAGAAAAGTAGTTGTGTATGGTATAGATTATGGACTTGGAGGGAGCCTGAGGTACCCTCCTCATATGATTCAAATATTCCATATCTTGATATGGATGTGAGTTTCAGGGATATAGTACATGTTTGTTAAAACTCGCATCTATACACTTAATATTTGTGCTGCTTGCTATATGTAAATTTTACATTAAAAATATTAGGCAAATACTGAACTTGAGTAAGAGATTTGCTTTCCATGGTGGTATGTGTTAGCACTTCTGAAACTAGTTTTTATGTGTTCTAGGCTTGGTCAAATGAGTAAGTGTATTGTGGATGATGGGAGCCAGTTTCTCACCTTTGGATGGAGGAATTTCAAATTTCTTGACTTGGCATTGGAGATGTCAATATGAAATCATAGTTTTTAAAAATATACATATTAAAGATAGAGGTAGATAGAAATGTTTTTGTGTGTGTGTGTGATGTGTGTTCCAGCTCTGTCCTCTGAGAGAGACTGTAAGCGATGACGTAAGTAACAGTGAACACATTTAGTGCCCAGATTTTGGTGTCTAAATACCATTGTCCACTAAAAAGAGCTAGGTCTCATTGGAGAAAAAGCTGATTCCAAAGCTGGTGCAGAGAAAACTTTTTGTGTATGCTGGAAAGGTAGGAAGTGCTCAAAGCGTTATGGGTACATAGGTTAAACAGGAGCCAGGGTGAAGGGGAAGAATGGTCCCATTGCCAAATTTGGGACAGTTAAACATCAAAATAAATAATGATAGGAATGGCTTAAAATCCATTGGCTAACATAAAAATCTGTGACACTGTAGTGATATAAATGAATAAAGGAAGGAGAACTGAAAGGCTTTTCTTGGAATGTAATGCTAACTAATAAATATAAAAGGAATGATCATTAGTGGCTCTTTATAAGATTTCTTATTTACTACATTGGAGAAAACTGGAAGATAATATCTTAATGGTCAAAATTTATATCACTGATATTACAATACATCAAGATCAAGTGCCTCAAGTTATGCTCTCAGAAGGATGCAACATCACTTCTGTGATATTTATGCCAAATATGCATAACCTAATCATGGGGAAATATCAGATAGGCCCAAATTGAGGGATAGTCTACAAAAATAAAAATAAAAATGGCCTGCAGTCTTGAAAAATGTCCAGGTCAAGGAAAACAAAAGGTTTACATTTAAGGAGTCACATGGAATGTGAATTTGGCCATTGCCTTTCATCAAAGGATTTCTAAGAATCTCACAAGCATACTCAGTAATACTCTAAACACTCCTGTGAAGTTGTAGCTGGCAATATTATCATCTCTATTATAGTGTGGAGTAAATGGAAGCACTGAAATACTCAGTGATATTTTTATCTTCCACTCAGAAATTTCTTACTACTTTACAGGCCTGTGTTATTATCAACTTTATGAAGCTTAGTGAGATTATGTGATTTGCCCAACCTTAGGGAAGAATTTGGCATAGCATGAAGGCTCCCTGAGTCTTAACTGCTTTACTAAGTTTATTCTTTACCCCCCATTCTTCCCCTCAGTCCTGTTATTCAAAATTGTATTTAAACTAATGTTTTAAAAGTTCTATAAGAGAAGCTCAAATCATAAAATTTTGTGATTTTCTGAGGTGTCATTCCTGGTTTTTTATTAGGAATCAAATGATAGGGTTTTTTTTTCCTAGAATAATTTCTTTAATACTGTAACTGATGTTAGTCAATAACATTGTGTAATAAAACTCATCTGCTTTTTCTGTTCTGATGAACCAGAGAATCCTATTCAGGATACTACCATATGTTAAGCTAAATAGAAAAGAGGTCAGTCTTAGAGAATAATATAATTATACAAACATAGTTACTCTCTCTATAAAATTGCATGTCAAATGCTTTCTATCTTTTTAAAATTCTCAACAGCAGTATTTCTGGTAGCAACCAGAATTTTGATCCCAGTGAATCTAAACCTAGTATACCTAGAAATATAATATAACTTGTAAATTACGGGCATAGGTGGAAATTTGGGTAAGTTGGAAGTTAGAAGTTACCCACAGAGAGGTTACCTGTAAAAGGGAGGTAATTAGGACACAATAAGTAGATATCCTTTAAAAAAATTATCTATTTTTAAATTGTGCTAAATTATATATAACAAAATTTACTATTTTAATCATTTTTTAGGTGTCCAATTCAGTGACATTAAGAATGTTTACCTTGTTGTGCAACCATCACCACCATTCATTTCTAGAATTTTTTTTCATCTTGTAAAACTGAAAGTCTGTACCCATTAAACAGTAATTTCCCATTCCTCACTCCCTCTAGCCCCTGGCAACCACCATTCTATTTTTTGTCTCCATGAACTTGACTACTCTCCTATGAGTGGAATAATACAATATTTGTCCTTTTGTGACTGGCTTATTTTACTTAGCATAATGTCTTCAAGGTTCATCCATGTTGTAGCACATGTCAAATTTCATTTCTTTTTTTTAAAGCTGAATAAGATTTTGTTTTATATATATATCACATTTTGTTTATCGGTTCATCTGTCAGTGGATATTTGGGTTGCTTTTCTACCTTTTGGCTATTGTGAGCAATGCTGCTGTGAACATTGGTGTACAAATATCTGTTTGTGTCCCAGCTTTCAATTATTTTTGGAAGTGGAATCATGGAATCATATGGTAATTCTATTTTTAATTCTTTGAGGAACTGCCATACTGTTTTCCATAGCTGCTAAACCATTTTACATTCCCACCAGCAGTACACAGGGATTCTAGTTTCTCTACATCCTCACCAACACTTATTTTCTGTTTGTTTTTTTTGTTTTGTTTGGTTTTTTAATAGTAGCCATCCTAATAGGTTGTGAAGTAATATTTCATTGTGGTTCTGATTTGCATTTCCCTAATGATTAGAGATGTTGAGCATCTTTTCATGTGCTTATTGGTCATTAGTATATCACTTTGGAGAAGTGTATATTCAAGTCCTTTGTCCAATTTTGTGTGCCCACTTTTTTAAACCAAGATAGTAGCCACAGGAGCTGCTTATAACTTTACAGAACTACCAGATAGATATCACTTTTGTTAGCTAATACTGGTAACAAAAGAGTAAATATTTTAGGAAAATATCCCATATATCTAATCAAATTTTACCTATTCTTCCTTCATATGTTTCATCCGTCTCTTCTATTCCTACTAACAGTAAAGTAATCAATTTAGTATATTCTCGTCATTGTGTTGTAAAAGAGTGGTTGGGCCCAGTTCTAATATAATATTAAGAATAGATGGTCATAAACTCTGTAGTGGGTTTGCTCTTCTCTTCCCTTCTTTAATTCCCTTCCCCTCAATTCCATAAAGATTTATTATGCACAGGGCCTGAGATCTGAGTTTCTCTCCCTCAAGATGTGTGACAATAGGCAAGTTGCACAAACTGTTTTCCCTATTGGCTGAACTAAGTGATTTCTTAGATTTCTTCTAGTCTTGTCTATTATATCTTTTAAGGATTCTTTTAAGTATTATAACTTTTGGTTATTAGATGTCCGAATTATCTGAATAGTACACTACCCTCAGTAAATAATATTTTTAGATTGTCACCAAACATAAAGTGGGAGATGACAGCCTATTTTAACTCAGCTTACTTTCTTGTTTACTATTTTTTACGTATTTCCTTGGGTTTCTTAGATCAACCTGGGGCCTAATCTGTAAACTTTTTAAAAGCAAACATTTAGTTACTTTGTCTAAGAATTAACCATTGATAACAAAGCAATATTTTGAACAGTTAATATCAGGATGGAATATGTCTCCTTCTAAAAGATACTATTGCATCTTAATAGCATTTAGAAACAAAGGATAAGAAATGCTGTACTGTTTAACTTTAGTTTTTTAATTTCTATTTTCTTTTTCTTTTTTTTTTGAGACAGTTTTGCTCCCGTTGCCCAGGCTAGAGTGCAATGGCACGATTTCCGTTCACTGCAACATCTGCTTCCCGCGTTCAAGCGATTCTCCTGCCTCAGCCTTGGGAGTAGTTGGGATTACAGGCACGCACCACCACGCTAGGCTAATATTTTGTATTTTTAGTACAGACAGGGTTTCACCATGTTAGGCTGGTCTCGAACTCCTGACGTCAGGTGATCCACCCACCTCAGCCTTCCAAAGTACTGAGATTACAGGCACGAGCCACCACGCCTGGTGTAATTTCTATTTTTGAAGCGTTATAAATACCAGAACATCTTACATACCCAAATAGGGCAATATGTATTCCAAAGCTAAATATAAATTTTAAAAAATTATCTGCATTTTAGTTTGTTTGTACCTCTGTTTTCTTCTTGCCTCATTGGGAAATCAGATTAAATTGATATTAAGTAGATTTCTAAAAGCATAAATAATTCTTTAAACCAGTTTAATCTCAAGAAATAATGTTGTGATAGGGTAATGTGGATATAGTAGCAAAATAATCTTTTAGATAGATTAAATTTCTGTACTGTATATTTACTGTTCAATGATTTTCTTAGATTGACCATCTCTTCTATTTTTTCTTATTCCTGTCCTTTGTAAATCAATAGTTACTTACGAATAGTCATTTTCTAAGATCAATACAAACTTTTGGGGGATTTCTGTAATATAACATAGTACAATCTTTTTGCTTTATGCTCTAATTCTTTAATATTTTAATTCTATTTCTATTTCTCAAGAATCAGGAAGATACTTTTAACACTGCATTTGTCACTGAAAAAACTAGTTTTAATTTATATTGACCTTTTTCTCCTTTGAACATTTAGTCTGCATTGAATAAAATGTTGATGACTGCTCTTTAGAAGACAGCTGTATGAAATAAAGTATTATAAATATTCAGCTTCCCTTTCTAAGCATTGTCACCAACAGCTGGGCATCCAGTTTAGCAGAACAGATTTTGCACACAGAGAGCCTGGCATATTCCTGAATCAGTTTAGTGAAGGAAACAAAAAATAGTTTCTTATGGATTGGGGACTTATAAAGACATAGAGCATCTGTTCCTCAGTTAAGTCATAGTCTGGTTGCACTGAATCATGTTTAAAGCTAGAATAATGTGCAAAACTTTTTTTCACCATGCTCATACCTTTAACACCTAGTGCACTGTTTCTGTACTGTACTTTCAACATCTCCACTGAAAGTGTATAAATTATTTTGCTCTTATATATGATATTGTAATAGTGGTATTTTAAAGCAGACAAACATACTAACTTTTATAAGAGTTTTTATAATATAGGACTGATGTTTAAATTGTACGGTAGTCCTTGTATATATAACTGCATATATTTTTTAAAGAAACTCATTTAAATATTTAATTATGATCCCATTTAGAGATATGCAATTAGAATCAAACCTGTCATCATAAATAATTGCTTTCTTCATATGGTATTCTGCTTTAATACATAATATAAAAATTGGTTGGTAGAACTAAGAATCTTTGTTTATATATCTTCCCTTAATTATTGGGCTACTTTAAATAAAGCGTGTCAAATCTAAAATTTCTTTAAATTTTTTGTTTGTAGTGTTAAAAGATCACTGAAGTTGGATGGTCTGTTAGAAGAAAATGTAAGTATTTGCTTAAAAGTTTGTCATTGAATAAGATTGTGTTTTCAGTTTTTAACTACTGATTTATCTCGTTAAATATTAAAATTATCTTGATAATTTTAATTATATCACAGTGTGATATAATTGTGATTGGTACACCATTTTCTGCATATAAGATATTTTAGTTTTTGTGAATCTAATATGTGGAAGTTCCTGGCCAGCTTGAGGTGTTCAGTTAAGAAGCAAATTAATTATTTAAAAACCTTAATGAAATAATTTAGTAGAAATTAATTCACTATTTGTGGAAAAAAATAGTCTGCCACTTAAATGTACAAGAAACAATATGGGACAATGGCAGTACTTTTAATCTGCATACTATAATCTGCTAAAATGAAATGAAAACATTAGTAGCATTTTTATATCAAAAATGTAATTACCTTCCTCAGCTATGCTGGCATGGATTAAACAGCATAATACTAACACCGTAATAAATTGCACCACAGTTATCACAATGAAAATTAAATTGTACTGTTGCCATTACTTTTTGTAAATTGAGTTGTAGCACATTCCCAGTGCCAGCATATCATGACATATGTTAGTTTATTATCTTTTCATACCAACTATGGATCTAGATAGAAACACTAATACTGAGATACTTATGACCTCAGTAATCTTAAATGCAGGTAAATTGGTGAGAAAGTAAATTAAAACAAATAGCTAGTCAATAAGTAGGCTCCTCCAAATTCACATATGAATGCCATTTCAATAAATGGGTTTTATATGGAATTTTTCTTTGGAAGACACGCTGGTATTTAACAAAACAGAAATTTACCATTTAGAAAACTTGCTACATGCTTTTTAAAAATTTTTAAACAAAGGTGGCAAAGTACTGCAATGACACTTAAAAAATCATTAACAGTATAATTAGCAATTTAGAATACCATTATCCAACTTGTTCTGTGCAGAATGCAGCTGTGACTGTAATTCTGCATCTGTTTCTTTGGTCAGAATGGTTTTTTGGTAGATGAGTAGTCCAGCTTGAAATGAAATACTGTTCTTTCCTACCCCAAAGCTGTTCTTTGGGAGATGGTAACATTGTTTAAATGGAAAAGAATGACCGTTTCAGAACCCGTTCTCTTCATGAAGTAAATTGTCATCATGGCAGGCCTTCTTTGTATTTTTTCTTCAGATGAAGATGTGTCAAGGTAGCCAGTGCCACAGCTGACATCCTGTATTAGAAAAATACATTGTTATGTTTGGCCCAGTTCTGTACCTTTCAACAGAACTTAAATTGATTTAAGCTTGTACCAACTGATTTAGTAGTACCAGTTGATTTAGCTTGGTACTACATGACCACATCTGCCCGAAGGAGGTTCCTAGCATACTAGCTTGGGCATTTCTATTTCCTGACCAGTTTCTGGTATTTTCAGCTTTGTCCTCTTGCCTTATCATTTGTTTGAAGCTCTGTATTTACATCTTAGAGCTAACAGCTTTTGTTCTGTTCTGGTGTTAAGTCTGGGCTTCTCTCCATGGCTACATACACACTTCATCTACTCTAGTAACAACTTAGCCCTGAAGCAACCTGGCTCCCAATTATATACTCACATGGCCTATGGCCCCATTGAGGCTGCCTTAGCCCATGCAAAAGGAAATTGGACATTCAAAATATATACCTACAATTTTAGGAGTACTTAATTGTTGTGAAGCTATATTGGAACTAGTAGTAACTTTGTGGTCATTTTACCTTACCAATATGTTGCTGAAGGGGGAAGGCTCTGGTTTCTAAGGGAAAGAGATGGCCCTTATATGCCAGTTGGTTGAAGTGGAGCCTGTTCATCCTAAGCAATGGCCATATCCAGAGATATTTGGAACTCCTAACTCCCAGTGTTCCTAATGCAGCTACAGATCTTCATGGAGATTAATGCTTCATGATGTTTGGGCAAGGTTCAAATGCCATTTGCTTATGGCTCTTGATATGGTTTCCTGTGTCCTCACCCAAATCTCATCTTAAATTGTACTCCCGTAATTCCCACCTGTTGTGGGAGGGACCCAGTGGGAGATAATTTGGATCATGGGGGTGGTTTCTCCCATACTGTCCTCGTGGTAGTGAATAAGGCTCACTAGACCTGATGGTTTTATCAGGGGTTTCCACTTTTGCATCTTGCTTATTTTCTCTTGCCACTGCCAATTAAGAAGTGCCTTTTGGGCAGGGGTTGCAATCCTAGTCTCTGATAAAACAGACTTTAAACCAACAAAGATCAAAAGAGACAAAGAAGGTCATTACATAATGGTAAAGGGATCAATTCAACAAGAAGAGCTAACTATCCTAAATATATATGCACCCAATACAGGAGCACCCACATTCATAAAGCAAGTCCTTAGAGACCTAGAAAGAGACTTAGACTCCCACACAATAAAAATGGGAGACTTTAACAACCCACTGTCAACATTAGACAGATCAACGAGACAGAAAGTTAACAAGGATATCCAGGAATTGAACTCAGTTCTGCACCAGGCGGACCTAATAGACATCTACAGAACTCTCCACCCCAAATCAACAGAATATACATTCTTCTCAGCACCACACCACACTTATTCCAAAATTGACCACATAGTTGGAAGTAAAGCACTCCTCAGCAAATGTAAAAGAACAGAAATTATAACAAACTGTCTGTCAGACCACAGTGCAATCAAACTAGAACTCAGGATTAAGAAACTCACTCAAAACCGCTCAACTACATGGAAACTGAACAACCTGCTCCTGAATGACTACTGGGTATATAATGAAATGAAGGCAGAAATAAAGATGTTCTTTGAAACCAACGAGAACAAAGATACAACATACCAGAATCTCTGGGACACATTCAAAGCAGTGTGTAGAGGGAAATTTATAGCACTAAATGCCCACAAGAGAAAGCAGGAAAGATCTAAAATTGACACCCCCTAACATCACAATTAAAAGAACTAGAGAAGCAAGAGCAAACACATTCAAAAGCTAGCAGAAGGCAAGAAATACCTAAGATCAGAGCAGAACTGAAGGAAATAGAGACACAAAAAACCCTTCAAAAAATCAATGAATCCAGTAGCTGGTTTTTTGAGAAGATCAACAAAATTGATGGACTGCTAGCAAGACTAATAAAGAAGAAAAGAGAGAAGAATCAAATAGATGCAATAAAAAATGATAAAGGGGATATCACCACCGATCCCACAGAAATACAAACTACCATCAGAGAATACTATAAACACCTCTACGCAAATAAACTAGAAAATCTAGAAGAAATGGATAAATTCCTCGACACATACACCCTCCCAAGACTAAACCAGGAAGAATTTGAACCTCCGAATAGACCAATAACAGGCTGTGAAATTGAGGCAATAATTATTAGCTTACCAACCAAAAAAAGTCCAGGACCAGATGGATTCACAGCCGAATTCTACCAGAGGTACAAGGAGGAGCTGGTGCCATTCCTTCTGAAACTATTCCAATCAATAGAAAAAGAGGGAATCCTCCCTGATGCATTTTATGAGCCCAGCATCATCCTGATACCAAAGCCTGGCAGAGACACAGCAAAAAAAGAGAATTTTAGACCAATATCCCTGATGAACATCGATGCAAAAATCCTCAATAAAATACTGGCAAACCGAATCCAGCAGCACATCAAAAAGCTTATCCACCATGATCAAGTGGGCCTCATCCCTGGGATGCAAGGCTGGTTCAACATATGCAAATCAATAAATGTAATCCAGCATATAAACAGAACCAACGACAAAAACCACATGATTATCTCAATAGATGTGGAAAAGGCCTTTGACAAAATTCAACAACCTTCATGCTAAAAACTCTCAATAAATTAGGTATCGATGGGACGTATCTCAAAATAATAAGAGCTATCTATGACAAACCCACAGCCAATATCACACTGAATGGGCAAAAACTGTGAACATTCCCTTTGAAAACTGGCACAAGGCAAGGATGCCCTCTCTCACCACTCCTATTCAACATAGTGTTGGAAGTTCTGGCCAGGGCAATCAGGCAGGAGAAGGAAATAAAGGGTATTCAGTTAGGAAAAAAGGAAGTCAAACTGTCCCTGTTTGCAGATGACATGATTGTATATCTAGAAAACCCCATCGTCTCAGCCCAAAATCTCCTTAAGCTGATAGGCAACTTCAGCAAAGTCTCAGGATACAAAATCAATGTACAAAAATCACAAGCATTCTTATACACCAATAACAGACAAACAGAGCCAAATCATGAGTGAACTCCCATTCACAATTGCTTCAAAGAGAATAAAATACCTAGGAATCCAACTTACAAGGGATGTGAAGGACCTCTTTAAGGAGAACTACAAACCACTGCTCAATGAAATAAAAGAGGATACAAAGAAATGGAAGAACATTCCATGCTCATGGGTAGGAAGAATCAATATTGTGAAAATGGCCATACTGCCCAAGGTAATTTATAGATTCAATGCCATCCCCATCAAGCTACCAATGACTTTCTTCACAGAATTGGAAAAAACTACTTTAAAGTTCATATGGAACCAAAAAAGAGCCTGCATCGCCAAGTCAATCCTAAGCCAAAAGAACAAAGCCAGAGGCATCACGCTACCTGACTTCAAACTATACTACAAGGCTACAGTAACCAAAACAGCATGGTACTGGTACCAAAAGAGAGGTATAGACCAATTGAACAGAACAGAGCCCTCAGAAATAATGCTGCATATCTACAACCATCTGATCTTTGACAAACCTGACAAAAACGAGAAATGGGGAAACGATTCCCTATTTAATAAATGGTGCTGGGAAAACTGGCTAGCCATACGTAGAAAGCTGAAACTGGATCCCTTCCTTACACCTTATAAAAAAATTAATTCAAGATGGATTAAAGACTTAAATGTTAGACCTAAAACCATAAAAACCCTAGAAGAAAACCTAGGCAATACCATTCAGGACATAGGCATGGGCAAGGACTTCATGTCTAAAACACCAAAAGCAATGGGCAACAAAAGACAAAATTGACAAATGGGATCTAATTAAACTAAAGAGCTTCTGCACAGCAGAAGAAACTACCATCAGAGTGAACAGGCAACCTACAGAATGGGAGAAAATTTTTGCAATCTACTCATCTGACAAAGGGCTAATATCCAGAATCTACAATGAACTCAAACAAATTTACAAGAAAAAAACAACCCCATCAAAAAGTGGGCAAAGGATATGAACAGACACTTCTCAAAAGAAGACATTTATGCAGCCAAAAGACACATGAAAAAATGCTCATCATCACTGGCCATCAGAGAAATGCAAATCAAAACCACAATGAGATATCATCTCACACCAGTTAGAATGGCAATCATTAAAAAGTCAGGAAACAACAGGTGCTGGAGAGGATGTGGAGAAATAGGAACACTTTTACAGTGTTGGTGGGACTGTAAACTAGTTCAACCATTGTGGAAGTCAGTGTGGCGATTCCTCAGGGATCTAGAACTAGAAATACCATTTGACCCAGCAATCCCATTACTGGGTATATACCCCAAAGGATTATAAATCATGCTGCTATAAAGACACATGCACACGTATGTTTATTGCAGCACTATTCACAATAGCAAAGACTTGGAACCAAGCCAAATGTCCAACAACGATAGACTGGATTAAGAAAATGTGTCACATATGCACCATGGAATACTATGCAGCCATAAAAAATGATGAGTTCATGTCCTTTGTAGGGACATGGATGAAGCTGGAAACCATCATTCTCAGCAAATATCGCAAGGACAAAAAACCAAACACCGCGTGTTCTCACTCGTAGGTGGGAATTGAACAACGAGAACACATGGACACAGTAAGGGGAACATCACACACCAGGGCCTGTTGTGGGGTGGGGGGAGGGGAGAGGGATAGCATTAGGAGATATACCTAATGTTAAATGACGAGTTAATGGTTGCAGCACATCAACACGGCACATGTATACATATGTAACTAACCTGCACGTTGTGCACATGTACCCTAAAACTTAAAGTATTAAAAAAAAAAAAAAAGAAGTGCCTTTTGCCTCCCGCCATGATTCTGAGGCCTTCCCAGCCTTGTGGAACTGTAAGTGCAATTAAACCTCTTTTTCCTCCCAGTCTCAGGTATGTCTTTATCAGCAGCATGAAAACAGACTAATATACCTCTTCTAATGAGGGAAGCAGAGATATGGACCATACCCTGTGTTCTTCCTATAATATACGGGATGTATACTGCCAGTACCACAATTTGCTAAACCTCACAAATTGTTGGGTGTTGTAAGGAGGTGAAGAAAGTTCCAATTTATAATCATCTACTGTATTTGGCCTGCTTGAGTTGTTGCTCTCCAAGCATTGTTCCTAGGTAGATTTTCAGGAATGAAGATGAATTATATATTACAAACTGTTGCCGATGGCAGTCCAGATGAATTTATATGGACAACTGGCTACCTGGCCATATACCAAGCCAGCTTGACCCAGTCTTTTTCAGGACACTTCAGAGAGAGAATAGAAGATGCTACGGTTGGGAAGAGAAGAGCATACTTCTTACCAAGGCCAGCTCAATAGGCTTCCTGCCAGAGGAGTAGTGGTGCAGGTTTTGTTGGGGAGGTTTGCTGATTTATATATAGATATCCAGTCAAGGGTACTCCATAACTTATTAGTAAGACACTTTTTTTTTTTTTTCGAGACAGGGCCTCACTCTGTTGCCCAGGCTGGAGTACATTGTTATGATCACAGCTCACTGCAGCCTCAACCTTCTGGGCTCAAGCAATCGTCTTACCTCAGCCTCCAGGGTAGCTGGGACTACAGGCACAGGCCTCTATGCCCAGCTAATTTTTTGTATCTATTTTTTTTTTAGTTTTGCCATGTTGTCCAGGCTGGTCTCAAACTCCCGAGCTCAAGCAATCTGCCCATCTCGGCCTCCTAGAGTGCTGGGATTACAGGTGTGAGCCACCATGCCTGGCAGTAAGACACTTCTAAGTCAGATTATTCCCATTGCCTAACTTAATCTCTCCAATCCTAGAACATTTCTCTCACCCCAAAAGGAAACCCCATACCTATTAGCAGTTAGTCTCAATTTCCTCCTCTCCCCCTCCCCCTGGAAACCACTAATCTACTTTCTGTCTGTGTAGATCTTCTTCTGACCATTTCATATAAATGGAGTCTCATAATTTTGTGTCTGGCTTCTTTCATTTAGCATAACATTTTCAAGATTCAATTTACCTGTTTCTTTCTTTGATTGTCCTTTTGATGTCATATCCGAGAAACATGTAACCCATGGAAACACAGGTTTTTATCTACGTTTCTAAGAGTTTTATAGTATTAACTCTTTCATTTAGGTCTTCCATTTTGAGTTAATTTTTGTACATGGTTCAAGGTAGGGACTGGATTCATTATTTTGCATGTGTATAACCAGTTACTGAAACAGATATCCACATGTAAAAAAATGAATCTAGTCCCTACCATTTGCTGAAACGACTATTTTTTCCTTTATTGAACAGCCTTGGCACCTTTGTTAAAAATCAAGTGATCATAAATGTATGCATTTATTTCAGAATTCCCAGATAAATTCCATTTGTCTATCTATATATATGTGTTTATGCCACTACCATGCGGTCTTCATTACTGTAAGTTTCTAAGATTAAAAAACGTTTTGATTGTAAGTTTGAAATCAGGAAGTATGAGTCCTTCAACTTTGTTGTTCTTTTTCAAGATTGATTTGGCTATTCTGTATCCTTTGTAATTCCATATGAATTTTGGGATCAGTTAGTCCACTTCTGGAAAAAAAAAGGCATTGGAATTTTGATAAGGATTACATCAAATTTGCAGATTCAGTTGGGAAATTTGCAATCTTAACAATAATAGTAAGTCATCCAAACCATGAATGTGAGATATATTTCTGTTTATTTAGATCTCGCTTATTATCTTTCAATAATGTTTCATAGTTTTCAGTATACAAGTCTTATAGTTTTCTGATTAAATTTATTCCTAAGTATTTTATTCTTTTTATGCTATTAATGGAATTGCTTTATAATTTCATTTTTAGATTAGTCACTGCTAATGTATAGAAATACAACTGATTTTTACATATGGATCATATATCCTGCAGCTTTGCTGAACCCATTTATTAGCATTAATAATTTGGAGATTTTCTTTTTTTTTTGTTTTGAGACAGAGTCTTGCTCTTTTGCCCAGGCTGGAGTGCAATGGCGCGATCCCAGCTCACTGCAACCTCCGCCTCCTGGGTTCAAGCAGTTCTCCTGCCTCGGCCTTCCAAGTACCTGGGACTACAGGTGCACACAACCACGCCCAGCTAAATTTTGTATTTTTAGTAGAGACAGGGTTTCACCACATTGGCCAGGCTGGCCTCGAACTCCTGACCTCAGGTGATCCGCCCGTCTGGGCCTCCCAAAGTGCTGGGATTACAGGCGTGAGTCACAGCCCCCCCGCCCTACTTAGGGTATTCTATATATAAGATCAGGTCATCTGCAAGTAGGGATAGTTTTACTTCTTCTTTTGCAATCTACGCCTTTTATTTCTTTTTCGTGCCCATTGCTTTGGCCAGAACCTCCTGAAAAATATTAAGTAGAAGTGGCAAGAGCAGACATTCTTTTCTTGTACCTGATCTTAGAGGGAAAGAATCCAGTCTTTCATCATTAAGTATGATGTTAGCTCTGAGTTTTTCATACATGTCTTTTATCAGATTGAGAAAATTCTGTTCTATTCCTAGTCTGTTGAGTGTTTTTATCATGAAAGGATGTTAGATTTTTGTCAGTTACTTTTCCTGCATAATTGAGATGATCATGTGTGCTTTTTTCTTTTATTCTCTTAATATAGTGTATTACATTGATTGATATTTGTATGTTGAACCAACCTTGCTTTCCTTGCATAAATTCTGCTTGGCTATGACATATAATTCTTTTATGCTGCTGATTTCAATTTGCCAGGATTTTTACATCTGTATTTATAAGGGATTTGGGTCTGTAATGTTCTGGTATCAGGATAATACTGGCTTCAAAGAATTAGGAAGTGTTTCCTCATATTTTTGGAGAGTTTGAGAATACTTGGTGTCACTTCTTTAAATATTAGTAGAAAGGCTGGGCGCAGTGGCTCACACCTGTAATCCCAGCACTTTGGGAGGCCCAGGCAGGTGGATCACCTGAGGCCGGGAGTTCGAGACCAGCCTGACCAACATGGAGAAACCCCCTTCTCTACTAAAAAATACAAAATTAGCCAGGCATGGTGGCACATGCCTGTAATCCCAGCTGAGGCAGGAGAATTGCTTGAACCCGGGATACGGAGGTTGCGGTGAGCCGAGATCGCGCCATTGCCCTCCAGCCTGGGCAACAAGAGTGAAACTACATCTCAAGAAAAAAAAAAAAAAAAAAACGCTAGTGGAATTCACTTGTGAAGCTACCTGGTCCTGGGCTTTTCTTTGTTGTAAATTTTTTGAATATTAACTCTTATGTCTTTACATGCTGTTGATTTATTAAGATTTTCCTGTTCTCCATAATTCAATCCTGGTATGTTATGTGTTTCTGGAAATTTGCCTATTTCATCTAGATTATCTAATTTGTTAGCATGCAGTTGGTCATAGTAGCCCTTTATGATTTCTTTTATTTCTGCAAGGCCAGTAGTAACATCCCTTTTTCATTCCTGATTTTATAATTTGACTCCCCATCCCTTCCTTCCTTCCACCCTCCCTCCCTCCTTTTCTTCCTTCCTTCATCAGTCTAGCTGAAGATTTACCAATTTTGTTGATCTTCTCAAAATACTGACTATTGGAATCACCACCACTAATATCTGTTGTTTTTTCTCCATTTCATTTGTTTTCTCTTTAATTGTCTTTTTTTTTTTCCTTCTGCTTGCCTTGGGTTTAGTTTGCTTTTCTTTTTCTGGTGTCTTAAAGTAGAAGCTTAGGTTATTGATATGAGAGCTGTCTCTTTTAACATAGTTATTTGCAGCTATAAATTTCCCTCTGAGTACCACTTTCACTACATCCCATTAAGTTTTTCTATGTTTTGTTGCGTTTTGTTCTTAATGTGTTTTTTAAGTTTTAAAAAAATTCCTTCTTTGACCCATTGGTTATTTAGCAGTATGTTGTTTGATTTACACATATTTGTGTATTTTCTAAGTTTTCTTCTGTTATTTTTATTGTCATTCTATGTGACCAGAGAACATTCTTTATGAGAACATTGTATTATTTTCCTCTTTTTAAATGTGTTGAGACCTGTTTTGTGGCCCAACATGTTGTTATCCTGCCAAATGTTTTATGTGCACTTGAGAAGAATGTGTATTCTGCTGTTGTTGGGGGAGGGTTCTATAGATGTCTGTTAAATCTAGTTGGTATATAGTTTTATTCAAATTTTCTGTTTCCTTGCTGATTTTCTATCTAGGTTTTCTATTCATTATTGAATGCGGGGAATTGAAGTTTCCAACTATTATAGTTGAATTTTCAATCTCTCCCTTCCAATTCTGCCAGTTTTTGTTTTATGTATTTTGGGCCTCTCCTGTTAGATATGTTTATGTTTATAATTGTATATCTTTTTTTGTTTTTTGTTTTTTTCCCCAATACCAATAAGTATTTATTCATTGTATTTTCTTGGAAAAAAGAAAAAGGGGGAAAGGAAAAGCATGTGTTACAATAGTGCAACAGAAAAGAAGTGCCCAGTACAGCAAATTGACCATCAAATAAACACACCCCAGTGATAAAGTCATCAGAGTCCAAGGGAGCTCAGTCTCCTGCAGTTCAGGAAGACGGGGAAGGGATCAAGAAAAGAACAGACAGGTACACACTCAGCCTACCTTCTGTCCTTCCCTCTTCATGAATTCAGACTTTTGCACAAAGCTTTAGTTTCTATCAGTAAACATCGAGCTGCATTTGTCCTTCTCTTGTCTTGTGGCCACTTTGACATACATTTTTTGCACCTATATAAAAGCTCCTGAGTGACTTAGATACATTTATCTTCCTTTTCTTAGTCTCCCCCCCAGGATGAGACACATGTCACCCAATACATTCTATTTGCCCTGTTTGAACAAAGGGATGTAAGTTTATAGTGCTTTTACGGCAGGTAAATGAAACTCCCTTTCTCTTTAGCTACTATGACTCTACAATCACTACTGCAACAATGCAGGACAGTGGCTCCAGATACTATTAACAAAAGCCCTTGGTAATGGGTCTAGGTCTCTAAGTCCAGAATGTTCAAAAGTTAAGGATTTTTTGTTTTATTTTATTTTTTTAGAATAGGGATCTCATTCTGTCATCCAAACTGGTGTGCAGTGGTATAATCATGTTTCACTGCAGCCTCGAACTCCTCGACTCAAGTGATCCTCCCAACTCAACCTCCCGAGTAGCTAGGACTGCAGGCACATGCCACCACACCTGGCTAGAAAAATTAAGAATTTTTGTCTTTGCTTCATACATTTATTCCTGGGCAACACAGATGGGTACAGGCATTTCATTTAAAAAACCTATGCTTACCAGCTCATACTTTCAGACACACACACACACACATCTTAATGTGCATGGTAGATTTAGTTTAATCTCAGTGAAGGATAGATCTGGTGTGTGAAGCAAGTCTAGTACTCTAGGATTAGAGACTTGGAATAGGAATCCTTTATTGCATATGTAGACAACTTCATCTAACCTTGTTCCTCTCTAGGCCTTTCACCTGGCCCAGGCTCTAACCTTTCAGCACCACCTTCCTATTCATACTCATGTCCAATCTTCCAGTAAAATGAGATCAAGTCATGGGACAAATCAACTAAAACCAAGTATCCCAAGAAACATTATCAAGCTGGAGGAGCTTTAAGAAGACATTGCAGTAGAAAAGCCAGCCCTTATTGACATAAATGAGATAGTCCAATAGGCTGTATACTCCAAGTAGCTGTTTTTTGTGGTGATAATTTAACAACAACAAAAAGTATTCCTGCTTTGCAGACCTGGAGCAGCTGTCAAATTATCCCTGAGGTTGCCTGTGTACCTCACAACAAAGTATAAAAATAAGGACCTTAGATTAAAATATATAAAAATATTTTTATTAAGGAAAAAAGTTAAAATTCACAAGATACATCATTTGCACACATCAAGTTCAGTTGGCCTGCTGGAGAAAGTAAGAACCAAGGTACAGTTGTTCAAAGGAGCAAATTATAGTGCCAGGTGCAGTGGCTCACACCTGTAATCCCAGCACTTTGGGAGGCTGAGGCTGGCAGATTGCTTGAGCTCAGGAGTTTGAGATCAGCCTGGCAACATCACAAAATCCTGTCTCTACCAAAAGTACAAAAAATTAGCCAGGCATGGTGGTGCGCACCTGTCGTCCCAATTACTCAGGAGGCTAAGGTGGGAGGGTCACTTGAGCCCAGGAGGCGGACGTTGCAGTGAGCCGTGATCGCACCACTGCACTCCCGCCTGGGTAACAGAGCCAGACTGTGTCTCAAAAAAAAAAAAAAAATTGTAGTGGCCCAGAATGAAGTAGGAGTAAGCTTAGGAGTTGCAAATCTGCAGCTGTTTCCTCAACTGCCCCTTTTGCCCATAATCATACCCGTTGCTTGGAATAGTTCCCGGCTCCCTATCTCAAGAATGGGTTATGAGTAGACACATGGAAAAGCCCTGCCCTAATCTACCTGAGAGATTCCCTCCCACAGAATGTTGTGGCTTCTTGGTTGGGTCCATGAATCTGGTTTCATGCTGAATCTTTTCATTCTGGTATAGGAAATATTATTATATATCCTTGTTTAAAAGGAAAAGGGGTTGCCTAGAGTGGAGCCTAAGATAAAGCATCCTGGTTCTAGGGAGATTTTCCACAAAAGCCCTCACTTTTTTTGCTTGAATAGCATGGTTAGAATTAATTTGCCTTCACCCCCACCCCCACCTTCCTCCACAAGGGAAGAGAGAGTGATTGCCATGGATCCTGGCCTGAGATACATGGCAGTGCCAGCTGCCCCCTACCTGCCCCATCCTACTTTCTTTGCTCTTTGCTAGTTGAGTGAGGGAATATATTAGTTAAGTGAGGAAACTGAAATTCAGATGAGTGGTGTGTCCATGATAGCATAGCTGGGGAGCAGCAAAACCATTATGTGAGCCCAGGCTTTCCAATGTTAAGTCTGCGGTTCCTTCCATATACCACAGCTATCTTTCCTTTAGTGTAATTGTTTAAAGACTTCATGATTCTTCATTCTCTTTGGAAAATCTTATTTCTAATACTGTTTTTGGTTCATATTTTTATATTATCTTTAGCAGTTGACTAAATTTGTTAAACGTTTTAAAATACTGGGTCAATTCATTGGGGAAAAAGAAAGTCTTTAATAAATGGTAACCATCTAGAAAAAAATTCACTTCATATACAAAATTCATATGCACTTCATATCTCACTTTATTTACAAAATTTATTCCAAGAAGGATCATAGGCCTAAAGTAAAGCCAAACCATAAAGTCTCTAGAAGCCTGCATGGTGGCTTCTGGCTGTAATCCCAGCTTTGGGGGAGGCTGAGGTGGGAGAATTGCTTGAGGCTAGCAATTTGGGACAAGCTTGGGCAATGTAGTAAGACCCTGTCTCTAAAAAAATTTTGTTTGTTAAATAAGCTGGCATGGTAGTGCGTGCCTATAGCCTCAGCTACTCAGGTGGGTAAAGTGGGAGGATCACTTGAGCCCAGGAGTTCAAGGCTGCAGTGAGCTGTGATAGTGCCACTGCACTTCAGTCTAGGCGACAGAGAAAGACTTTGTCTCTTAGGAAAACAAAATTACAGTGTAAGAGAATGACAGTAATGATACTTTTATTATTAAAATTAATATCTTAATATCTTTAAATTGTGAAAAAATAATTACTACAAATAGAAAAACCAGTGCATCAACGTTTTTAGCCAGTATTTTATTTTTCTTGTCAGGGTGAAATTTGCATATTATTAATTTCAAAGATCTCGAGTGTATAATTCGATGAGTTTTAGCAAATGTATAATTCAGTATCATAGCTCTAATATATTGGTCATATTCTTTCCTTGCTATCCCTGTAAGATCACTAAGATAAGTTCAAAATGTTTCTGTTCTCCATGGCTACCATAAAAACAAAACCCCAAGATTTTTAGAACCATTAAGGTTGATAATTGTAGTAGCTGATAAGAAGGTAGTTGGGGTTGGTTGTGGTATCTCACACCTATAATCCCAGCACTTTGGGAAGCCAAGGCGGGCAGATCATTTGAGGTCAGGAGTTGGAGACCAACCTGGTGAACATAGTGAAACCTTGTCTCTACTAAAAATACACAAATTAGCCGGACGTGGTGGTGGGTGCCTGTAATCCCAGCTACTTCGCTTGAACCCGGGAGGCAGAGGTTGCAGTGAGCCAAGACCGTGCCACTGCACTCCAGTCCGGAAGACCCAGCAAGACTCTGTGTCAAAAAAAAAAAGAAGGTTGTTGGTTGGTATCTAGTACTCTTCTAGGCACCTTAGGCCCAAATTGTGAAACGTCTCTGAGGCAGCTAATGCTAGAGTTTTCTAATGTAAATTTCATAATTAGTACTAGTAATGCATATTAATTATATCTTAGGTGGGACACTCCAATAGCCTAAATAACCAGCATAAGTTTATGAAGAATTATCTCCTTCTAGCTGCCCTTTTGTTTCTAGTTGACCAGACACTACAGTATCTGTATTTTAAATATTTTAGCATAGGCTGACAGTTCAAAATAGTGATAAAGTATCCTTTAAATCCCATATTTTATCCTGCAAGAATTTTTAGTTAGTACTCTCTAGACTGTTTATAATAGGTTTAAAAAAATCAGTAAAATGTAGGCACTTTTTTGGTAGTGTATGCTTTAAACAAGGTGACAAAGTAAGCTACAATTTGTGAAAGAAATTGAAGGAAGGAAAGGAAAATATCATATCTATTTGAAATTATTGAGAGAACATTGATTTTTTTTTCAGGCAGAAAAATCGATGCCCAAATTTTAGTTTTGCTAATGTACAAGATTAGACCTCCTTATAAAAAGTACAGTAGCATTTGGGTGGGGCTGATTGCAGCATCTTAGAATGTGGCATTTCTTTTGTTTAGAAATGGTGTTAAATAACTCTAAGGAGTCAGGAATTATTACAAGCAGGTTTGTTTGTTTGTTTGTTTGTTTGTTTGTTTGTTTGTTTTTTGAGACAGAATCTCCCTGTGTCGCCCAGGCTAGAGTGCGGTGGCGTGATCTTGGCTCACTGCAACCTCTGCCTCCTGGGTCCAAGTGATTCTCGTGCCTCAGCCTCCTGAGTAGCTAGGACAACAGGCGCGCCACCATGCCTGGCTAATTTTTGTATTTTTAGTAGAGACAGGGTTTCTCCATGTTG